>NC_000003.12:58494848-58797878 GCF_000001405.40 Homo sapiens
TTACCTGCTAACATGACACTGTCAGAATTTATACATTAGTCACAATAACCTTTGAAGCTTAAACATGGTTGAATTTTCAGCACTGCTTTATATTCTTTGGGGAGTGGGCAGTGTTGTTTTCACAAGAATTTTATTTGCATCAAAGGTTACATCTTTTCAGGTGAACTGATTTTTCAGGGTCAGAGGCTTCTTTGAATTTTATAGCTGTTTGTGCTCGGTTGCATTTGCTGTCTTTCAAAACCATCTTTAGTTTTAGTAAGGAAAGTCACTATAAAGGAAAAATTTTTTATTGTTACCATTCCTGGTAGATTTTCTGAAATATTAGATATTTCTTTGCTTTCATCAAGTAAAATAGGCCTATTTGATACCCATTTCAAGATCTTCCTTCTGCTGCCTGTCTTGTGGTCATTTAACTTCTCATTAAGCCCTCCACTGGAGACTGTGCCAGAAGGGAGAGAAGATGAAAAGCAAATGAATCATTTTCTAATTGTTAGTAGCTCTGGAAAATGATTCAGTAGAAGAGATTGAAACTATTCTGGAAATTCTTTGGGATTGTATTTCATTCATCTGCATCGTTTCAGAGATGTTCCTAATGGTCGTCAATTCAGAATTCAGAAGCCGATCATTATCCAGCTATTGGATAACAGGGAATTTTTCATGCTTTTTTTTTGTTTGTTTGTTTCTTGCTGTATTTAAGCATCTCCACAGAAGATATTTAGAAGCAGGTAGAGATAAAATTTAAACTAATCAATACTGTTTTTTCCCTTTGAACTCTTTAATGCACAATTTGATTTCTTTAGACAGTTTACTCATTGTTATTGGAAGTGACTAATAGTAACTTTGCTTCAATTTATTTTGATGTATCTTATACACAAGTATAGGAAGGCTTTTGGGTGGTTTTTAAGAAACATGGGCTGTAGATTCCCATAATTGCTTTCCTGAATTATTAAGCGTGAGCTTTCATTACATCTTTGTACCGGAACTTTTGCTTTTGCTGTGGAACAGATTCAGGGACATCGTCTAATTTTTTTTTTTTTTTTTTTAGATAACTGCTCAAGAAGTTACCTTGTTTTGATTTAGCAGTAAAAAAGAAAAAAAGGGTTAATAGTGGACAGACTTTTCGTTAACGGCTGCAACATTGATGTCTGCTTTTTTCCTTGTCTTTGATCTTCTGTTTCTCATTTAATCATTTGGATATTCACGGATTGGAGTTCTTTATGTCACTACAGACAGGACAGCAACCGTTATTCACACTAGTTGAATGGGTTCCTGCCTTTTTTTGGTGGGGGGGCCTCAGGAGAATTTTTACAAACCCATTATGACTGTTTAGTTAGGCTGAGTTACTGTAAAATTTGTAAATAAAACCCTACTGGATGGATAGGGTTAATAGATGGCTATAGAGAGTTTAAAGTTAAGCTTTTTCAATTTCTTGTCTCTTGGATTCTGTTCTTTCAATTTCTACCCTAGGAGGGGATTTATGGAAAAATCTAGACTAAGAGTCAGAACATGCAAGTTCTTATCTAGTTACTTCCCAGCTGTGGCGCCCTCAGCTAGTCACTTAATCTGCCTTGTTTCTCTGTTTTGCATCTTTAAGATGAGGATAGTAATCCCTGCTCGGCCTACTGGTATCAGGAATGTTGTAGGGGGAAAAAAAGTCTTTCATGCCCCTGTCTATTAAATTGTTTCTTCCTTCTAGAATCCCTTCTCAGGTTGTCCGAATTTTCTTTCAAGGATTCAACTGAATGGGCTCTTCCCAGAAGTCCTCTATTTCCCATTTGAAATCTTGCTTTTCCCCTCTCACGGGCCTCTGCTGGTCCATCTGTTATACAGCACTTTGAATTCTGTTCTGTACTTCAGTCATTGCATGTTGCCTTCCATTATAGATGGAAAGCTCCATGAGGGCAAAGATTGTCTTTTTCCTCTTTCTGTGTGTCCGCATTGCACATAGGCACCCCCTCCACTCCATAGGTGACCCACAATAATTGTTGGCTGAATGAATGATTATTGAGGCTGTCAGAATGAATACTTTGGGTGATGGGAAAATGCCAAAGATGAGCATCTTACCAGAACTTTTGGATGAGTGGCCTTTTAAATTGCTCAGTTACTAATCTGTTGTTATCAGTAACTGAATCAGATCCTGGCAAGACAAATTGGCAAAGCCCATTTCTTGGTCCTGTTTACTTCGGATACTATTTGTGAAGCAAGTCAGAGGAATGAAAGACTGTCATAACAGTCTTGAATTTGACATTTGTTCCATTTCTCACCCCATAGCATGTGGAGGCCTGTCTATATCCAACTGCTGAGTGTAAAGAATAAAAACTGACTGCCCCATAGTCTGGTCCACATTTTAGTTGTGTGCTTTGAAGGATTTGCAAGGTAGAGAAATAGATGCTTCAGGCTCTGATTTCAGCCCATGCTGTGCTATGCAAATGTTCTCTACATGCCTGAGTGACCTTTTGAGAAAGAGCCTTTGTGATCTTCTGTAGCTAGGGCTTGTTCTGGGAATTCTGTGCCAGATTCCTCTAAAAGTGGGAAAAGTGAATCTGTTAAAGGACCACGTAAAAAAGCCAGTGCTTTTCCTGGATGAATACCAATAAGTCCATGTTTCTTACCATGTCTTGCCAGAGCTTTAGAAATTTGCTCTGCAGTTTGCTTTACAGGTTGATTTGGGATTGAAGTGTGTGAGAGGGAACTGACTAAGGCAGTTCAGTAGCTGGGAAACTGTTTGTTTAAATGCTTTTGAATTGTAGATAAAAATAAATTCACATTGGCATCATTAGTATCTGAGCATTTCTCAGTGTCTTAAGGCTGGCTCTCCATGAGTGCTGGCTGATTGACTCTCATCTATATCGGTAAGGTTCTTTTTGCCCCAAATTGTGCTCTTTAACACTTCGGCATTTAAATCACTTTCTATTTGTTTTAATTGTACAAAGAGAAATACATCATTATTTAAAAGCATCATCTTTTTTTTTTATATTGTAAGATAAATACCATTCTGATGTATTTCTCTTGGAAAGGGATGCTGGTATCCTGGGAGGTTTATGATTTTTGATGTTTTTACTCAGGTGATTGGCTTGTATAGCTGAAATGCTGATGAAAAGGAGTTTTCCCTTCTCCCTTTTTCTTTTCTTTTCTTTTTTTTTTTTTTTTTGAGATGGAGTCTCGCACTGTTGCAGGGGCTGGTGTGCAGTGGCACAGTCTCGGCTCACTGCAACCTCCGCCTCTCGGGTTCAAGTGATGCTCCTGCCTCAGCCTCCTGAATAGCTAGGATTACAGGTGCCCACCACCACGCCCAGCTAATTTTTTGTATTTTTAGTAGAGATGGGGTTTCACTATGTTGGGCAGTCTGGTCTTGAACTCCTGACCTGGTGATCCTCCTGCCTCAGCCTCCCAAAGTGCTGGGATTATAGGCATGAGCCACTGCGCCCAGCCTGTCCCTTTTTCTTAAATGACCTTTTTGGTGAGGACCATTATAGGTTTGTACCAGGATAAGGTTGTAGAGTTAATCATAATATTCTCTTATATAAATTCTAAAAATTGATGTTCTAAGAAGAGAGGTAGAATTTGAATGACTGGGTTACTTCCTAGACTCTTCCTCCTTCTCTTAAGTACAGTATAGTTCTTTCTCTGAAAATCTTCAGTCTCTTAGTTCCAGATGGGTTCTCTATGGTAAGAATACAGGACATGTAGAAGGCCCTAGGGGAATGCTTTCTTCCCCAGATCTTTGCCCTGTAGTAGGTTTCAGCTGAGCAAGGACGAGTAGTTTTTCTGGTGTTTGGCCTCCTCTGTTGGGTGGAAAAAGACTTTCTTCTCTATTTTCCTAGTTATATATGCTATCATATGTCTGTTTTTCTCCTCTTGAAGTTTCCCTGAAACCTGGGCTCTTGAAGACGCATCACTGGAGCAGATGGATAATGGAGACTGGGGCTATATGGTGAGTGCTTCTTGGAGATGCATTTTGAAGGCTGGGGAATTATTTTTGTGTGTCTTTTTATCCTTATGTATTTTTAGGTATATCTTATAAGAAAAGAAAATTGTGAATTTGTGTAACCTCTCTTCCCCCTTTTACTTAGTTTAGATGTATTTTGGAGGCGTTTTTGTCTTGTGTGGTGTTTTTTAAATTTTTATTTAATTTTTTTTATGTGGAGTCTCGCCTTCTTGCCCAGGCTGGAGTGCAGTGGCGCGATCTTGGCTCACTGCAACCTCCACCTCCTAGGTTCAAGAGATTCTCCTGCCTCAGCCTCCTGAGTAGCTGGGATTATCAGCGTGCACCACCACATCTGGCTAATTTTTGTATTTTTAGTAGACACGGGGTTTCACCATGTTGGCCAGGCTGATCTCGAACTCCTGACCTCAAACGATCCTCTGCCTTTGTTTGGTGTTTTAATGGAATCAAACTCAAAATGGATTTTCCAAATACTTTTTATAATCACTGGAGAGGTAACGTGATTTTTTATTTTTTCAAGTGTGTTGCTCTGAAGACTCTTTCTTCATGAATAGTGACTACAAAGGGATCTAGTGAGTTTGGAGGATATTTTGTTGTGGTTTGGGAGATTAATGGTTGAGAAAGTGCCTCTTCTCCCCACTTGCATTTTTTGTGTGTGCATATGTCTCCCTATTTTTCTATTCCTTTGGTGTAAGGTATATTTTACTTGCCTATACCTGAAGTCTCTGTCTGCCTTTCTTTTTTCTTTCTTCCTTTTTTTTTTTTTTTTTCGAGACAGGGTCTTGCTCTTTTCCCTAGGCTGGAGTGCAATGGCGTGATCTCGGCTCATGACTTTCCAAGCTCAGGTGATTGTCCCACCTCAGCCTCCTGAGTAGCTGAGACGATAGGTGGGCACCAACATGTGTGGCTAATATTTTGTATTTTTTGTAGAGATGGAGTTTTGTCATGTTGCCCAGGCTGGTCAGCAACTCCTGGGCTCAAGTGATCCACCCTCCTTGGCCTCCCAAAGTGCTGGGATTACAGGTGTGAGCCACCACACCTGGCCTATTTTTTTCGTAAATAGTATTTCTAAAACTGAAGGTATGTTTTTTAAGAGAAGCTTGCTTCTCAGAATTAAAGGCCAGATTGCAGCATTAATGTTACAAAAGTGAATACACTATCAGATTATGAAATTTTATGGCTGCTGTAAGCTTTTGGGTATGTGATGCTTTTCTGGCTTGGTTGTATTGACTAAACTGTATATTTTAACTTAGTATTTGAAAGTATCACTTCCATGAAAAAGTTACCAAGATTAGGTCTGCACAGTTTTTAATTTAATTTAAATAATTTTTTTTTTTTGGAGACAAAATCTCTCTGTGTCGCCCAGGCTGAAGTGAAGTGGCATGATCTTGGCTCACTGCAGCCTGTGCCTCCTGGGTTCAAGTGATTCTCATACCTCAGCCTCCCAAGTAGCTAGGACTACTCAGGCCACCACACCCAGTGAATTTTTTTTTTTTTTTTTTTGTATTTTTAATAGAGATGGGGTCTTGCCATGTTGCCCAGGCTGGTCTTGAACTCCTGAGCTCAGGCAATCTGCCTGCCCCGGCCTCCCAAAGTGCTAGGATTACAGGTATGAGCCACTGTACCTGGCCCAAATTTTTATTTTAAAAACAAATTTCATAGTTTGTTCCTTTTGTTTGAGGGGGAGAAACCAAAGAAATATTGAAAGTAAATGTCTATATTATCAGATCATTTTAATTCTATCTAATGTTAAATTAAATTCAGAAAAATGCAAGCCTTAAAAAAAAATCAGAAAAAAATAAGTGTATTTTAGCGTGGCTTTTCCCTTCCCACATATATTCTGGCCTGAAAACTCTATAGATAATGGGCCTGAAATGATTTGGCTCTGGAAGTCAATGCCCTGTATTCTTAGCATAAGTCTTTAAAGAGAAATTGGATTTCTCCTTTTTTTTTCTATTGAAAGCAAATGTTAGATCACTTCATCTGGGTGGGTTTATTGCTGGTAGTAAAGTCATTTTGCATTAGAGGATTACTAAATACATTATAGCCTGAAAGAATCTTGGGCTTTGCTCAGTATCACTTACTTTCTTAATTTGTCAAAGTTAGTATTTAAAAATTTCAGATGACTGATCATTTCTTTACAAATTTCAGATGACTGACCCAGTCACATTAAATGTAGGTGGACACTTGTATACAACGTCTCTCACCACATTGACGCGTTACCCGGATTCCATGCTTGGAGCTATGTTTGGGGGGGACTTCCCCACAGCTCGAGACCCTCAAGGCAATTACTTTATTGATCGAGATGGACCTCTTTTCCGATATGTCCTCAACTTCTTAAGAACTTCAGAATTGACCTTACCGTTGGATTTTAAGGAATTTGATCTGCTTCGGAAAGAAGCAGATTTTTACCAGATTGAGCCCTTGATTCAGTGTCTCAATGATCCTAAGCCTTTGTATCCCATGGATACTTTTGAAGAAGTTGTGGAGCTGTCTAGTACTCGGAAGCTTTCTAAGTACTCCAACCCAGTGGCTGTCATCATAACGCAACTAACCATCACCACTAAGGTCCATTCCTTACTAGAAGGCATCTCAAATTATTTTACCAAGTGGAATAAGCACATGATGGACACCAGAGACTGCCAGGTTTCCTTTACTTTTGGACCCTGTGATTATCACCAGGAAGTTTCTCTTAGGGTCCACCTGATGGAATACATTACAAAACAAGGTTTCACGATCCGCAACACCCGGGTGCATCACATGAGTGAGCGGGCCAATGAAAACACAGTGGAGCACAACTGGACTTTCTGTAGGCTAGCCCGGAAGACAGACGACTGATCTCCGACCCTGCCACAGGTTCCTGGAAAGACTCTCCAGGAAATGGAAGATACTGATTTTTTTTTTTAAATCACAGTGTGAGATATTTTTTTTCTTTTAAATAGTTGTATTTATTTGAAGGCAGTGAGGACCAGAAGGAAGTTTTGTGCTTTGGCAGACTCCTCCATGTTTTGTTCCCTTCCCCCTGAGTATGCATGTGCCTGTTCAGAGTCTCCAGATACCTTTTTTATAAAAAGAAGTCTGAAAATCATTATGGTATATAATCTACCCTTAACAGAGCTTTTCTTATTACAGTGCTAAAATGATTTCTGATAAAATGGTCCCTAACTCAACTAGAAGGCTAAAAATACAAGAATGAAAGAATAAGCAGAGTACTCATGATGCCTTTGAGAAAAATCAAAACATCATGTAGGGTGACCTAGTTTCCAAACCAATAAATAAGTAGTATTGTAATATTAAAGGAAAACTGTTCCAATCATTTAAAAGTACTTATTAAGTACTGCTTTTTACAGTTATGACAACTGTTTCTTTCTATGCATATAAATCAAGGAACCAAATATCTGTAGCCATGGAAATGTCTGACTAGAAATATTTATATTGAATTCTGAATACAAAATGTCCCTGTGGTAGAAAACTTACTCTTTATGCCTGGTGCAGTATAATTCCCAAGTGTACTGTCTACCAGAAAAAAAAAACAAAACTAATAAAAAATGAAATATGAAAATTAAGTTTGTATTTATTGATTATTATTACTTAAGGGGAGAAAATCATATTTCTTGTCTAAAATATGCATTGTTTATGTCCCAGTGTTTACTGCCCATAGCACATTTGTATTTGATTTGAGAGGACACAGTGGGATCTTAGGTTGCAGTTTATAAGAACTGTTGCGTCACTGAAACAAGGATGGATGGAATTATTAATTTTGACTAAAAGGGTGCATATTTGAACAGTGAACATACAGTTTTTCATATTTTTTCAAAAGAATTTATGTTGAAGGTTACAGATTTTACTTTAATTGCCCACAGTTCTATGACCATTATTTCAGTTTTGTGCTAAGCACAGGAACAAAATGACTTTAGCCCTTTATGCTCATGTTTTGTGGTAATCGACAAATGTATTTTGTTAACAAAGTTAAGTTTATTTCTGAAGAGAAGAAACAAACTGCAGTGAATGAATGACCTAGAACGGTTGGAGAAATGCACGTACTTGGAGAAATACACGTACTTTTATTTATTTCACTGTAGTCTTATTTTGCATAGTTCATGTGCTTCTATTTCTTGAAAGTAACTCATAGGAAGGATTATTTTAATTGTACTGAGACTTCCTACTTTGTTAGACCACAGTATAAAAGGAAGTCATGTAATTTATTCCCTATTTTCTAAGGGAAGAGTGGAGCTCTGAGGCTGTGTGCCCTGGGGCAAGCAGGCCACTCCTTTTCTCCTTCTCTCTGTGAGAATATTCTGAGGTTCTCTCTCTGCAAGGAAGATGACAACACTTCCTTATGTCTATTTTTGCCCACGTCTCTGAAAATTTATTTTAAAATGTGACAAATGACCCACATCCAGAAACCTGTAATTACCCTATTTTCACCATCTTCAAACTAAGATCCTTTGATGTTATTGACAGGTTGCTGTGGTTTCAGTAAATCAATATACGAGTACAAGGTTATCATTTTGGAAAATTATCTTGTATTTAAAATTGATTTGATAGTTACCTTAAAAAAAAAAAAGGCCCAACCAGTTACGTGTTGTTGAGCTAGCTGAGGTCAATATGAAATAAAATGATTTGGGTTGAAAACAAGTGGGGAAATAGGAATAATACTAGTTTCCAGTTTTTATTTTTATTTTATTTTTAAATGATTTTTATTTATTTATTTTTGAGACAGAGTCTCACTCTTGTCACCCAGGCTGGAGTGTAGTGGCGCGATCTTGGCTCACTGCAACCCGTGCCTCCCAGGTTCAGGTGATTCTCCTGCTTCAGCCTCCTGAGTAGCTGGGATTACAGGTGTGCGCCACCATGCCCGGCTAATTTTTGTATTTTTAGTACAGATAGGGTTTCACCATGTTGACCATGCTGGTTTTGAACTCCTGACCTCAGGTGATCCACCTGCCCTGGCCTCCCGAAGTGCTGGGTTTACAGGTATGAGCCACTGCGCCCATCCCAAGTTTTTAAAAGTTAAAAACTTATGAGGCCTCTTCCTTGTCCTGTTTACTGGAGATAAGTTTGCTTTTGGTAAATTTTCTCAAATTTACTGATTATTAACAATGAAATGATTGTTTATATGAGTAAATTAGGAAAAGTAGCCAGCTGAATTTTTTTTTTTTTTTTTTTTTTTTTTGCCATTTTACTTGTCTAGTGACATTTAGAGTGTTTTGTCTAATTGGGCAATTGAAAATGATATGAAAAATGTAGCTTCATTTTATTTGGGTAACTTGAGACAGTTATGTCTTTTAATGAAATTTTAAATCATCACTGTGGAAGAGTTGATTTTTAAAAAATGATAGTTGCATTCTTAGAGCTGTATTTTATTTAGATTACAGCAAGTATACGCACTTAGGAGGATTGTGTGTGTGCATGTATGTGTGTCCTTTTAAACCCAAGGATAAATGTGTGCGAAAAACACACTAACTAATGAGCCTATTGGCTTTTGCTAGATCTACAGCAAAATCCTTGTATTTAACCAAATAGATGCTATAAATGGACAGTGGTACGGTTTTTTTACTGTGGGAAATTTCTTTCTTTTTCTTTTTCGAGATAGGTTCTTACTCTGTTGCTCAGGCTGGAATGCAGTGATGTGATCACGGCTCACTGCAGCCTCAACCTCCTGGGCTCAGGCAATCAGCCTCCCTATAGCTGGGACCACAGGCATGTACCCCCATGCCTGGCCAGTTTTTTTTTTTTTTTTTTTTTTGAGGCGGACTCTCGCTCTGTCACCCAGGTTGGAGTGCAGTGGCGCGATCTCGGCTCACTGCATCCTCCGCCTCCCGGGTTCACACCATTCTCCTTCTTCAGCCTCCCAAGTAGCTGGGACTACAGGCGCCCACCACTACGCCTGGCTACTTTTTTTGTATTTTTAGTAGAGACGGGGTTTCACCGTGTTAGCGAGGATGGTCTCGATCTCCTGACCTCGTGATCCACCTGCCTCGGCCTCCCAAAGTGCTGGTATTACAGGCGTGAGATAGTTATTTTTGTAGAGATGGCATCTCTCTATGTTGCTCAGGCTGGTCTCGAACTTCTAGGCTCAAGTGATCCTCTCATCTTGACCTCCTAATGTGTTGGGATTACAGGCATGATCCACCACGCCCCACTGGAAATTGCAAACACATTCAGAAGTAGAGAGGATAGTGTAATGAACACTCATGTACCTGCCCATTGACCAGCTTCAACAACTGTTCACTTTGGCTTTTTTCTCCTATGGATTATTTTGAAGTAAATCACAGATATTATTTCACATATATCACTTCAGACTGTATCTAAAAGATAATGACTCTAAAACATAAATATCTAATTTAAAATTTTAATGTTGCATATATGCCATAGTACCATTATCACATGATGGTGCTGGTTGCTTCTTGAATACTGTTGGTTATTTCATAGCTTGGATCTCCAACTTTGTAAAAGTGGTCTTATATATTCCTCATAGGCAGGGTTCTCCTGTTTGTAGAAAGAAACGCATTATTAACACAGTACATTTCTGCCAGGATTAATGACTTTCACTTTCAAATTAAGTCTCTAGCTTCAAAAAGTAACATTACGTAAGATTCTTAATTTTAAAAATTATTTCTAAGACTCATTTTGTGTGAACATATGGAGAAACATTTTTTCCAAAGGGCATCCTTCCTTTTCTCATGCAGATTTTAAATTGTGGATGCAGGTGGCCAATTAAAAACACAGCTTATCACTTGCTTTTGGAATTTCATACAAATAAAAGGCTTGACTCTTTGAGGCTCTCTGAAACTGAACATTAATCACAAAGCAAGGAACCAGATAGGGATCATATAAGCAGTATTCTAGGTCCGACTAGGTTATCCTCATTATGCTGTAATTCAGTGTCTTGATTCTTTGTTTCTTAGTTCTAGTCTCATCTTTTATAATATTTACTTTGTGTGTGTGTGTGTGCCTGTCTACACTAAAACTGTAAGCTCCTCGAACACTGGGCTTTTGACTGTTTTTTTTTGGAGACAGTATTGCTCTGTTGCCCAGGCTGGAGTGCAGTGGTGCGATTTTGGCTCACTGCAACTTCCGCCTCCTGGGTTCAAGCGATTCTTGTGCCTCAGCCTCCCGAGTACCTTGGATTACAGGGGTGCACCACCACACCTGGCTAATTTTTGTATTTTTAATAGAGACGGAGTTTTGCCATGTTGGCCAGGTTGGTCTCAAACTCCTAACCTCAAGTGATCCACCCGCCTCAGCCTCCCAAAGTGCTGGGATTACAGGCTTGAGCCACTGCACTCAGTCTGGGTTTATGACTCTTGTTCTCCAGTGTATCTTCAGTATCTAGAATAGTTTTTGGCACAAAGTATGTACTTAGTAAATATTTGTTGAATTGTTGAATGAATGAATCAGTAGATGTATTTAATGCATCTAACTCCTACTTGGACACATTTTTACAATAGAATAATTGGGGAAAAACAGGATTTTTGTTTTGAAATTATCCCCAATGATTCTTCCCTTAAACCAAGAAAGCACATCATCCTGTCCAGGAATAAAGCTCAACGCTGCCCCAGACAGAAGAGAGCTTCTCCTATGATTCTAAGATGTTTACCTTAGCATAGCACTTTTCTTTTGGTAGAAAAATGTCAGTGAAATATATTCCTGTCTGTACTTTTATGTCTACAGGGTGTGTTTCAACATAGCTGCTGTTTTATTTAAAATATCTGCCAGGCATGGTGGCTCACACCTATAATCCCAGCACTTTGGGAGGCTGAGGCAGACGGATCATTTGAGGTTAGGAGTTTGAGACCAGCCTGGCCAACATGGTGAAACCCCATCTCTACTAATACAAAATACAAAAATTAGCTGGGTTTGGTGGCTTGTGCCTGTAATGCCAGCTACTTGGGAGGCAGGAGAATTGCTTGAACCTGGGAGGCAGAGGGTTGCAGTGAGCCGCGGTTGTGCCACTGCATTTCAGCCTGGATGACAGAGCGAGACTCTGTCTCAAAAATAATAATAAATAAAAATACATAAAATATCTGTAGTGTGCCTTTTTCTATTAGTGCAAATGAGGAAAATGTCTCTTATTGCAGCTTCAAAATTATAGCATTATATCTTAAGAGTAGGGTTAAAAAATTATCCACAGCACATTAAAAAATACACTTTAAAAGTGCTATTTTGGTGATCTCTAAAAGGAGCCAGAAATGTAAGATCATGTACATTAGCAGGCAGCCTCATGTCATTTTAACTGACTGGAAACAGTTCACTAAGGTCATTTGTAACTTCACATTCCCAAATTATCATGCGTGAAAGATCCACAATGCTATACCTGTCACCTTTTTAGGAAGGTAATATAAGCTAGGATGACAAGAGTGTGTGGCACTGTGTATGCAGCAGATTCCTTTGTCTCACTATGCAGGTTGTAAAACCATGTTCATTTATTCCATAGACGTGGAGTGTCTACTCTGTGATAGATCTTGGAGTTGGGAAGGTGAAGACTCCTTCGTTGTTCACAGTCAAGTGGAAGGAGATAGAAGTGAATGGGATGAAGTGCATCAATGTTTTCCCAAATGTGTTGACCCTCTGGGTCAGTCATTCCTCTCGTTTAGATAAACATGTTCTCATGTAGTATCCAGATTAAAGTCTTTTAAAATAAATATTAAAACCAACTAAAACACAAGAAAGCCCCCTCCATTCTCTCTAGAGAAACCAGAATGTTTCCTGTGTTGCCAGTATAACAGGTTTGGGCTATATATGTCAGCATTTCTGACAGGTGTTATAGCAGGGCGGGTTTTTCTGTGGAGCACCAAAGGGCACACATTTATCTTTAGACCATGGAAGCTAGTCTGGAGTGGGAGGACTGCTGTATTTTTATGCCAAGATTGAAATGTTAGATCTAATCATTAGAAAAAGTAACACACTGGAAGTAGGTTAACTGTACTAAAGCAGTGAACATATATTGTTTATATTTCCTTGAGTTAAAAGGATGTCTTTCTGGGGACAGGGAGTGACCAAGATGGGTTAGTTGTGTTGTAACTTTAGATAATCATGTTAAATTAAGCCATGTGGTATGACAGGCTGCAAATTGTTAAGAGCAAGTCTAACACCATGCTGGGTGTGAATGAAAGCCTGAGAGTTGCCAATTTGATGTGGTGTTAAGACACCTTTTCTGAAATTGGACCAAAGAGGTAAAAAAGAAAGCTTCACCACCTGAATCATGTATTTGCACTATAAAATTTAAAATAATCTGTTTTGTACCTATAGACTTTTTGTTTTGATCATCTATGTAAAATCTGCTATTAAATATTGGTTCCTCATATTCTAACTACAGGGTTTATTACCTCACTCCTGTTAACATATTCATTGACATTTACAACTTTTCCCAAAGAGGCTCATAAGCATAGAGCTGCGAGCATACCCTGGCCCTTGAGTGTTGGGACCTTATGAGTCCTCCCCGTCTTCTCGCTGTTAATGATGTAGAGTTCTGGTGTGCTCTCCTAGGATGGCTGGGGATTTTTTTGGCATGACCCTTTTAATTGTCACTCATATGGCTTTCCTGGGCTACTAATGGCAGTGCAGCAGCTTTCTTTGCTCCTTGGATTGTATTCCTTAGAGTGAAGAGGAGAGGGTATCATCTCTAGCAGGCAATCAGGTCTAAGAGAGACATCCCTCAAGCTTCCTACCACTTCTGAATACCTACTTTTATCTACACAAAACTGAAAGTTAAAAGGCTGAAAATAAGGTGGTTCAATTACCGCAGTGATTTATCTCCTTCTTTTTGTTACTTAAAAGCCGGTTTACCACTCTGTGTGTATGCACTTGGGTCTGTCAAGCCATGATTTAGAGCTTGGGCCTTCCTCTTAATTCCCTTTACTAAGTTCCGAGCAGTGCATTTTGCTGATTACAATCCAGGCTCAGAGTTCCTGCCAGGCCATACTGCCACTCCTTGTTTCTTTTATGTGTTCTCTAAGAATATTTTAAACAGACGTGCTACGCCAAGTGATTGCCAACCTAACGGGAATCAATTAAAATGGGAGAACATGAAGGTGTATTCACTGCCTGTTCTCTGCTTTCTTACATAATTTATAATGTGTTCCACTCAACTACCTGAGTATTGGTTGGTGACTTCTGAGCCCACTGGAACAGGCGTTCGTAGACGTTTCCATCATAACAGCCAAGTGCTGAATTTAAACACTGATCGGTGAAGTCAAAAGCATCAGTTAACAGGATGGCATCCTTCCTGGGATAGGAAACAAGAGTTTGTAAGTATTTTAGATTGCTCTTATGAATCAAACTAGTCTTGGATGGTGAATAACAATACCTAATTAGAGGTTGCATGATTATTCGCTTTTCAAACAATTCAGCATTTTTTTTTAGTTTTTATTTTTTAATCAGTTATATGTGCATAGTATAATGAGTCAAAGGGTTCCGTAAGGCTTGTTTAAAAAAACAGCATATCCGGCCATGCGTGGTGGCTCACGCCTGTAATCCCGGCACTTTGGGAGGCCGAAGTAGGTGGATCATGAGGTCAGGAGATCAAGACCATCCTGGGTAACATGGTGAAACCCCGTCTCTACTAAAAATACAAAAAATTAGCCAGGTATGGTGGCACATGCCTGTAGTCCCAACTACTTGGGAGGCTGAGGCAGGAGAATCACTTGAACCTAGGAGGCGGAGGTTGCAGTGAGTGGAGATTATGCCACTGCACTCCAGCCTGGGCGACAGAGTGAGACTCCTGTCCCAAAATAAATAAATAAATAAATAAATAACGAGCATATACCTGTCTGATTTCCACTTCTTTTTCCTCAGAAGCAATTTCAATCTGTTTTTTTTTTTTTTTTTGATACAGAGTCTCAGTTGCCCAGGCTGGAGTGCAGTGGCACAATCTCAGCTCACTGCAACCTCTACCTCCCGGGCTCAAGCCATTCTCCTGCCTCAACCTCCCGAGTAGTTGGGATTACAGGCGCCTGCCACCATGCCTGGCTGATTTTTGTATTTTTAGTAGAGATGGGGTTTCACCATGTTGGCCAGGTTGGTCTCGAATTCCTGACCTCAGGTGATCTGCCCACCTCGGCCTCCCAAAGTGCTGAGATTACAAGCATGAGCCACCATGCCCGGCTGGCAATTTCAATCTTTTAGTTGATATTTCAGTATTTATCTGAATGTCAAAATATCTTGTTTATATTGCTGCTTGTTGATGGTTCAGTTTGAGATATTATCTGTTGAATCTTCATTCAAAAGGTAAAGATTTATATTTATCACCCCCTCTCTTCACTCCTACCTCCCCTTGTTCCCATTCTTCTTCCTCCTGGCCTTCGGGCCTCCCAATATAGTTATAATTTTGGCCAGACCAATATTTAGTATTGACATTATGATGATTGTGTGTCATTAAAGCATTGGTGGTAACTGGGATACTGTATCCAATGTAATCGTTTCTTGATGATCCCCAACATCATATGAGCCCTACCGCCAATTTAATGTCCCCCTGCCCCCTTGTGGTCTCACTTCATTCCTTATCCAGCTGAAATTCCATGTTCTATTACTCTCTCAAAAATACATTCAACAGGCCGGGCGCGATGGCTCACACCTGTAATCCCAGCAATTTGGGAGACCGAGGCAGATGGATCAGCTGAGGTCAGGAGTTCGAGACCAGCCTGGCCAACATGGCGGAACCCTGTCTCTACTAAAAATACAAAAATTAGCCAGGTGTGGTGGTGTGTGCCTGTAGTCTCAGCTACTGGGAAGGCTGAGGTGGGAGAATCGCTTGAACCTGGGAGTCAGAGGTTGCAGTGAGCTGAGATCGTGCCGCTGCACTCCAGCTTGGGCAACAGAGCAAGACTCCCGCTCAAAAAAAAAAAAAAAAAAAAAAAAAAAAAAAATATATATATATATATATATATATATATATATATATATATATATATACACACACACACACACACACACACACACACACTCAACGATTTTTCTTGCTTTGTCATACCTGTTTAGCAAAACGCATACCTCTTTGTCTTTAGTTTTCCACCCACTTTGTGCCACCACCTTTGTAACTATACATGGCTGGAAAAAACAATCATAACTGGTGTAATAAGGGCTCAAGTGGGCCCTGATTGCAGCTCAGCAATCGTATTACATTGCTATATTTACTCATTGTTCATTTACTGTTTCTTTTTCTTAGGCAGTTATTTCTTACCATCTCTTTGATCCTCAGATTGACACTATCCACCTTTCCCATCTCTTTTGCCTGGATGGCTTTACATCGTATTTCACTAATGAAGTGGAAGCAGTAAGAGAATCTGTGTAAGTTCCCACCCTTGCATTTATACATACAATGCTTTCTCTCTTCAGGCTCTCAGCTCAGGCCTCAGTCCCTCCTTGTCTACTAGATGTCTTTTCCTCTTGCATACTGGAGAACAACATTCTCCTGCCTTTCTCCAACAACATCAAAATTCCCCTCAGGGGTAAAAAGTTAGTGGAAATGCCCTTCTTTCTTTTTACTGTAGGCCTGGCTGGTTGCTGTCAAAATGGGCAAGTTCATGAAAAAGTGGGAAAGTGGTGCTGGTCCTGGCTGGATGCTACTCTGGACGCAAAGCCATTATCATGAAGGACATTGATGATGGCACCTCAGTCCATTCTTACAGTCATGCTTTGGTAGCTGGAATTGACTGCTATCCTCACAAAGTGACAGCTGCCATAGGCAAGAAGATCTCCAAGAGGTCAAGGATCAAGTCTTTTGCAAAAGCTTATAACTGCAATCACCTCATGCCCACAAGGTACTCTGTAGATATCCTCTTGGACAAACTGTCATCAACAAGGATCTCCTCAAAGACCTTGCTCTTAAACACAAGGCGTGATGGGAGGCCAAGATCAAGTTCAAAGAAAGGTACAAGAAAAAAAAATCCCCTCTCTACTGGATCATTTCCATCAGTATACAAACAGACAATCATTTCTCCCATCTTAAACACAAGCTTTTGACTCTATTTCCTTCTCCATCACCTTGGCTCCCGTTTAGGACAAAACTCCCTGAAAGTGTTATGTGTGTTTATGCTTATGATTTCCAATTTTCACATTCTCTCCTGAACTGGATCTGTTCATGTTTTTACTCCCACCACTCCACAGAAATAGCTCTTGCCACGGTTACTTCCTTATTATCTTGCGAGGGTCTCAAGACTGAGTACTTGGACCTCTTCTCTTCATGCACTCCTTGTGATGTTCTTCTCAAGGCTTTAAATATCAACCATACGCCAATGACTTCCAAACTTATCCCTCCAGTGTCCCCTGCTTACCAACATCTGTACTTGGATTTCTGATAGGCTCTTCAAAAGTAATGTATCTGAACCCAAACTCCTTCCCGTCCACCCTGCCCAAACCTGGGCCTCCTGTAGTCTTCCGCATTTATAGTAAATGGCAGCTCTGCCCTTCTGACCAAAAACCTTGATTCTTCTCTTCTTTCTCACCATACATCTAATCTGTCAGCAAATCCTGTTCTGCCTTCAAGATATATTCAAACTTCAACCATTCCCACCACCTCCAGCACTGTCACTGCTCCAATCCACTATCATCACTCACTTGGATGATTGCATTAGCGATCCAGCTGATCTCCCTGCTTTTCACTCTTAGTTCTTAATATGGCAGCTGGAGCAAGCCTTTAAAAATACACATCAGATTCTTTTAGGTTGTGTCTATCCAATGCTCAAAACCCTCCCATTCTATCCCATGCTCAAAACCCTCGCATTCTCTTAAGTCTTTGCAATGATCTACCTTACCGTCTCTTCCCACCCCCTACTGTACTCCCTTAACTCTCTGCCCTCTGCCGTCATTTTCCACCGCAGTCATGCCATTCCTGCCCCTGTGGCCTCTTCTGTGTTCTCTGGATGGATATGCCAAGCACACTCTGGTCTCCAACATTTGTACTGTCATGCACTGCATAATGATGTTTTGGTCAATGATGGACCATGTATATGATGGCGGTCCCATGACATTATGATAGAGCTGAAAAATTCCTATTGCTTAGTGATTGATGTTAGAATTGGCTGCAGTATTCAGAACAGCAACATGCTTTGCAGGTGTGACTGTACGAGCAATAGGCTATACCATTTAGGCTTGTGTAAGTACACTCTGTGATGTTCACATGATGACAGACTCACCTGAAGACACATTTCTCAGAACGGATCCTCCAGTCATTAAGTGATGCATGACTGTACTTATGTTCTGCCTGTAATGCTCTTTCCCTAGCAGCCACAACAGCTTCTCCCTACCTTCTCCTCAGGTCTTTCCTTAAATGTCACCCTCCCAGGGAGGCCTTCTCTGGCCTACTTAAAATTGTAGCTCCCCCTCCTCCCTACTGACCCCCAGCATTCTTTCCTCCACTTCCTGCTATCCTTTCTTTCATGGTAGGTATTACCATTTCACATGGTATACAGTGTGACTTATTTTGTGCATGTGTGTGCCTGTCTCCTCTCCTCTAGTCTGTAGGCATCTGTGACCCTTTTTCATCTGAAACTCGTATCCTTCATTTGAGGAATGTTTTCTTGAATTATTTTATTAATGATTCGCTTCCTTCTGTTTTCTCTGTCTTCTTTCTAGACCTGTTCTTCAGATGATGAACAGCTAAGATTGGTCCTCTTACTTTTTAAAAGTCCTCCTTTTTTTTGTCTTTTTGCTTTCTTGCTGTGAGATTTCTGCAACTTTATCTTCCAGTCCTTACATTGAGTTTTTCATTTCCATTATCATTTTTTAACTTCAAGGAGCTCTTTTTTTAGGTTCTCTGAATATTAGTTTTAAATAATGGCATTCAGGTTTTTATTTTGTGGTTGCAATACCGTCTCTTAACTCTGAGATATCACTGTTTTTTTTTTTTAAGTTTTCTTCTCCCTGTGGATTCTCTTATGTCCTCTGAATTGCCTTGTTCTTGCTTGTTTTGGTCTCCATCTTTTATGTTAGGGGCATTCTTCAGGTGTTTGGTGATCCCTGAGTGTCTGATCATAGCTAAAAGCAAAGCCTTAACTAGCTGATTACAAACTTGTGGCTATGCTTGCTAGTATGGGGTTCACTATGGAGTGAATTGGGTGGACCATTGGGGGACTCTGATGTCAGTGTCTTTAGCTCCTTCTCCTTGGGCTGGTCAGATTCTCCAGAGAAGGATCATCTTACCATCTTCTTGCAGGGTACTAGTCTGGCTGCCAGTTTTTTAGGAACCAGTGGGAAAAAAGGTCTGGGGGAGGGAGGTGTCAGTATTTGGCCTATAAAGAACCCTGTGTTTTCTGAAGGGTAGCCTTATTATCAACTATACCTGATGCTCCCTAGTCCACAGATCCTCTATTTACCCTTCTGCCAGGGCAGAGTCAAGGAAAGTCTTAAAATTACTCACAGAGGCTAGGTGTGTTAGCTCATGCATGTAATCCCAGCACTTTGGGAGGCTAAGGTAGGAGGATCCCTTGAGCCCAGGAGTTCAAGAGCAGCCTGGACAACACAGAGACAACATCTCTTTCTCTTTGTGGGTTTATGCCTTTTAAAAAATTTCAGTCCATTCACTGATGTTTTAGTAGGGTTTCGGGAAAGAACAGAAGTAAATGCATAGTTTAATCTGTCATCTTTACCTGGAAGTCCCCCCAGCTGAGGTTTTATGACCGCTTAAACAACTAAAAACTGTTTGGGTCAGTTAACATTGCAGAGAGCTTGTTCTTGGCATCCATAGCATACTATGCCGCCCTTCAGTTTTCATCTCAGAAATCTTAGGGAGATAGTGACTAATCAAGGCAGGGAACTGTGACACCAAACAGTGATATGCATAGAATCTGTTATGTGCCTAATTACCCTGCAGTAGTAAGGCTACTTAGGAACCATCATGGAAGTAAATCAATTTCTGGGTTTGACGCATGAGTAAGTTGGCAGATTGCATCTGGGCTGTCTGTCTTGTCTTGAATTGTAAGTTTCTGGAGCCAAGGCAAGCACTTAGAAATGCTGTTTGCAAATTTAAAAAACATGCTTATAGGGTGTTAAGGTAATCTTTTGTATTTTATCATCACTGACAACCGGGGCTAGAACATTATTTTCAAGTGCTTTTAAATTCTGAGAGTTTCAAAAAGATGGACACCCTTGGGCTTGAACTGTGCAGTACTTAATTATGCTCTTAATAGTTTTCACCACTGGATTCCCTGTATTAGGGAAAGTTTTATACCTGGGACATAATTGTGTCAAACGTATTTTTGACAGTTTTTGATGATTTAACTGAACAAACTTTTTTTTTTTTCTTGAGATGGAGTCTCACTCTTGTCGCCAAGGCTGGAGTGCAGTGGTACGATCTTGGCTCACGGCAGCCTCTGCCTCCCGGGTTCAAGCGATTCTGCCTCAGCCTCCCAAGTAACTGGGATTACAGGCATGTGCCATCACACCCAGCTAATTTTTGTATTTTTAGTAGAGACCGGGTTTCACCATGTTGGCCAGGCTGGCCTCGAACTCCTGACCTCAGGTGATCCACCCACCTTGGCCTCCCAAAGTGCTGGGATTGCAGGTATTAGCCACCGCGCCTGGCCTGAACAAACATTTTTTTGACCACCAGCTATCTGTTACATGCTATGAGTAGTCATAAAGGGCATGTAACATATTGCATATTGTGAGAAATAAAAGGAATTTGGTCTAGTTTTTTAAAAACCTGTCTTAAAATCTTATTTTTAAAAAATTACAAATCTTTTAGAGACAGGGTCTCACTATGTTGCCCAAGCTAGTCTTAAACTCTTTGCCTCAAGTGATCCTCCCACCTTGGCCTCCCAAAGTGCTGGGATTACAGGTGTGAGCCACTGCTCCCAGCCTCTTTTTTTCTTTTTATTAGTCTTGTTGATATAAGAATTGTTGGAGATTCTAGGAGTCGCCTCTAACCCCATGCAATAGGTATCATATTTTCTGCCCAGTGAGGTCTCAAAAAGATTATATTCTCAAATTAGTCCATTTTTTTTAATCTTATGGACAATGGTAAATAATTTGCAATGTTTTCTTTTCTTTCCTTTTTTTGAGACAAGGTCTCACTTTGTTGCCCAGGCTGGAGTGCAGTGGTGTGATCATAGCTTACTGCAACCTCAACCTCCTGGGATCAATCAATCCTCCTACCTCAGCCTCCCGAGTAGCTGAGACTACAGGTGTGTGCCTGATTCATTTTTTGTAGAGGTGGGGTTTTGCCATGTTGCCCAGGCTTTTTTTTTTCTTTATTGTTTTTATTTCTATTTTTTTCTAGGACTCTGATCAGGTTGGGCTTTGGTTTTGATATGTTTTTAAAGCAATCGTTTAGATTATAGAATAATAGTGTGAAAGCACTGCATTAGTATTTCATTCACCATACATGGCACTGCATTAATGCTGCATTAAAAAACTTTGTGTTATTATTTTATAAATCAATATATGAATTACAGAGTTAAAAAAAATTTTTCATCTTGAAGCTGAGGGAAGATTAAGGTAAGTTTACTAAACTTGGTAAGAATTTGCTTAAGCACATTCAACAAAGACTAGGATGTGTTCAAAGTATATAATACCTCAACCTTAACCTTAACATACAGGTTAAGAGCTCATGCCCAGGGGCCAGACCTGAGATTGTACCCAGCCCCTCCTCTGGCTGATTGTGTGATACTGGGCAACTCCCATCAGCCTGAATTTCCTTTCCAATAAAATGAGGAGATTAATAGTACCCATTTCAAAGGGCTGTAAGGATTAAATGAGATGTATGTAAAAGCTTTTGGCACAGGGCCTGTCACATAAGTGCTCTTTAAAGGTTGGCTATGCCTGGGCACGTTGGTTCACACCTGTAATCCCAGCACTTTGGGAGGCCAAGGCAGGTGGATCACTTGAGGTCAGGAGTTGGAGACCAGCCTGGTCAACATGGCGAAACCCCATCTCTACTAAAAATACAAAAATTAGCTGGGCATGGGGGTGGGCACCTGTAATCCCAGCTACTTGGGAGGCTGAAGCAGGAGAATCACTTGAACCCAGAGGCAGAGGTTGCAATGAGACAAGATTGTACTACTGCACTTTAGCCTGGGTGACAGAGCCAGTCCCTGTCTAAAAAAAAAGAAAAGAAAAAAAAAGTTAGCTATGGTTGAGACTATTATTAGCACATTAGCACATATCATTCATATGTAGCATGCTTCATTTTATTGATTTTCCTTAGATACTATTCCTATTTCCTTGACAATGTAAAGAGTTCAACTGAGGTAGCTCATTTATTCTTCAGTATTTTTCCCATTTTTTCCCATTTTTTTCTTTCATTAATTCATAATGCTTTATGCTGGTGTAATGATAATAGGGTGTAGACCTCTCCAGGGCTGTTGCTGCTCTGCCCATTAGCAAGGTTTTGGAGTTGGAAGTGACCTGTGAACAAGGGGTAGGGTTATTCTCTGAAGACTAACATGGTTTGAAGTCTCTGCCACTCACCGGATCAGGCGGAGCAGGTCCAGGTAGGCTGTTCTTGCCATGTCCACTTGGGCACCAGACAGGAAGGCGTCATGGAGAAAGTCACCCGAGTTAGTCAAGATTCCATGTATGGCATGGAGGTCACAGAGGCGCTTGAGCACCTGCTGAATCGCTGGTTCATTTTCTAGTTTCTCCAGAGCTTCTGTAAAACCCTTCACAGTGACATAGTAGCAGTGCACCTACAAAGACACAAAGATATGTTCTCCTGATTTCTGGTTTTCTACTCCAGAAGTCACCCTGGAAGCATGGCAAGATGGCTGGAATAAACTTGAGGCATGATGTGCTTCCCAGCAGGCTGATGAGCAGCTGCCTTTTCTCCTAGCTCTGGGTCTGATCAAGGCGTTTTGATGTTGTGTATATGTGTGTGTTGGGGGGGGGAGCGGGGACGGGGGGGACTGGTGGGCTTTGAAACATGGCCCTTGTTTTCTTTTGCTTGGAGCGGTTTCAAGTAGGTTGGAAAGTAGAAGGAAAGAATACAGGCATATTGGAGGCTGGCCTGGGGAAGGTGGAGGACAGCACCACTGTTCTTAAGAAATTAGCTATTTTAAGGCTGGGCGCGGTGGCTCACGCCTGTAATCCCAGCACTTTGGGAGGCCAAGGTGGGTGGATCACCTGAGGTCAGGAGTTTGAGACCAGTATGACCAACATGGTGAAACCCTGTCTCTACTAAAAATGCAAAAATTAGCCAGGCATGGTGGTGCATGCCTGTAATCCCAGCTACTTGGGAGGCTGAGGCAGGAGAATCATTTGAACCCAGGAGGCGGAGGTTGCAGTGAGCCAAAATCATGCCATTGCACTCCAGCCTGGGCAATAAGAGCAAAACTCCATCTCAAAAAAAAAAAAAAAAAAAAAAAAAGAAAAGAAAAGAAAATAGCTATTTGTTGTCTGCTGTGTTCAAGTCAGTGGTGTGTGTGTGTGCGTGCACATGTGTGCACCATGGGGTGAGAAAGTTTCAAGATATATATGAAATTTATTCCAGCTAGAGTATAAACTCCTTAAGGTAAGCAGTGCTGTTATTTAGCCCATATGTTATGGTCTGGCTGTGGCAGTTGTAAAAATAATACTTTAATACCAGCTGGCAACTGTCCACTGCCATCAACCCTGTGAGAGCCCCTTCTGCCAGATGGACTCCTTCCCGAAGACCCCCTCCTTCTCTCCACAGCCCAGCAACTAAAGGATTAATGTTTGACTCAGCAGGAGGCCTTCAGGACCTTGCTTCCCCTAGGGCTAAAGTCCATTTTGATTGGTTGGTGCCTTGTCCTACTGGTTGTAACATATTTTGAACAGTCCGCATCTCGTCAAGACAAGCACACACAATTATTTTGTCAGGTAGGATATATGAGTTCTATAAGGGAGAGCAAGGAAGAGAGAAAGTATAAAGCAGTGCTTCTTAATTGTTTTTTCTGAGATAGAATCTCACTCTGTCACCCAGGCTGAAGAGCAGTGTTGCAATCTTGCCTTGCTGCAACCTCTGTCCCACTGGGCTCAAGTGATTCTCCCACCTCAGCCTCCTGAGTAGTTGGGACCACAGGCACACACCACCATGCCCGGCTTTTTTTTTTTTTTGTATTTTTAGTAGAGACGAGGGTCTTGCTATGTTGCCTACACTGGTCTCGAACTCCTGAGCTCAAGTGATCCTCCTTCCTTGGCTTCCCAAAGTGCTGGGATTACAGGCGTGAGCCTCTGGACCCCGCCCTGCCTCTCAGTTTTTTATGTGCATATAGATCACCTGGGGATCTTGTCAAAATGCAGATTCCAGGGCAGGGCCTGAGACTGTGCATTTCTAACAAGGTCCCCTGTGATGCCCATGCTGCTGTAGTGATTTTCAGTAGCAAGACTTAGAGTGTCTTGGGGGTTCGGCTGGGCGCGGTGGCTCACACCTATATCCCAGCACTTTGGGAAGTTGAGGTGGGCGGACCACTTGAGGTCAGGAGTTCGAGACCAGCCTGGCCAACATGGCAAAACCCTGTCTCTACAAAAAATACAAAAATTAGCCAGGTGTGGTGGTGCACACCTGTAATTCTGGCTACTCGGAAGGCTGAGGCACAAGAATTGCTTGAACCTGGGAGGTGGAGGTTGCAGTGAGCTGAGACCGTGCCACTGCACTCCAGCCTGGGTGGTGGAGTGAGACTCTATCATAGAAAAAAAAAGAGTGCCTTGGGGGTTCAAAGGAGTTCACCCAGGCGGACATGAGTTGGGGGAAAGGTCATTCCAGGCAGGGGGAGCTTTATGTGCAAAAGGCTGTACTTTCAGGAAGCTGCAGGCAATTTAATGAGGCTGAAGTGTGGTGGTATAATGAGGTGATGATGGGGAACCATGGAGGTTAGGGTGGACTCATACCTGGGGCCCAGGTCAGTGAAGGGCTGTGAATAACATGGTCAGAATTTGCTCTGTGGGACTGGGAGTCTTCAGCTGGGCAGTGACCCGATCCGCTTTCTCACTTGGAAAGAACTTGTGTTTCCTAGGGGGCCCTCACACAGGTGCTGACAACTCCACTTTGCCATTCAGACATGGTGTGCTCACAGCCATGCTGGGCTTGCAGCATTTGGCTGTGGAAGGTGAGCAGATGTGCTGTGTTGCCTCTGCTGGCTCCAGTAGCCTTTGTTGCTCAGACTGGGTCCAGCTTGGCAGAACTGCGGACCCGCACTCCTTTTCCTGTCCTAATCTGAGAGCCACATCCTCAAATGCTCAAGGCTCTGAGTTGAGGAGTGGAGTGATGGAGAGCTGCCCAGGGGCCTGGGCCTTAAAAAGCAGGATGAGGATCAGAGACAGAGGTGACCTCTACACTTTGGGGAAGGGCTGAGCTGAACCTTGGCCCCACGCTCTGAGCACAGTGAACATTATTTACATTGTGTGTGTTGGTTTAAATCTTGCCTCCTGTCTAATTTGGGGGTGGGGGTGCTAGCTGCCTCTCTAAGTTTTACTTATTTAATCTTTATTAGAATCCTACAAAGTAGGTACTGTTATTAGCTCTATCTTGCAGACGAAGAGACTGAGGCTCTGAAAGATTAAGTTTTTTGCCCAAGGTCATGGCTAGGAAGTGGTAGCAGTGAGATCCACACCAGGGCTGTATTCCTAACCCTGTGTGGCCAAAGCCACAGGAGACTGAGGCTGGATTATAATGAGGCCAGCATTTGTTCCCATGGTCCTGGAGACTGACATCTCTTCTGGTCAGAGTCTGAATTATAGGACCACGGCCTGACAGAGCCTAAAGGGCTCTTCCATGCCCCTTTGTCTACAGACAGGGAAGTTAAAGCCCAGAGAGGGAAGGGGCTGCTTGAGGTCACACAGAGCTGGGACCAGAATTTAGCCCGTGGCTCCCCCTTGTCTACTCTTCTGGCAGTATCATCCCCTCTTCCCTCAAGTTGCAGTTATCTCTACCTGCACATTTATGGTTTCTAGATGGGGCCCAGTTGGGTGCTGAAGCTTTCTGTAGACTAAATAACCCCACAAAGCACAGAGAGTACAGAAAGCCCTATCCATTATGACCTTGGAGACTCAGCTGGGGCACCACCTCCCCAGGAAGCTGTCAGGGACGTGTTCTTCCCCCGCAGGCTGGCTGGCTGTCACCCTCCATCCCCCCAGAATTTGTTGCTCACCTCAGTCACTCATCACACCCTCAGTGGTGTGGGAAGGGAAAGCATCTGGACTCAGCTATTTCCTACCTCTGGGACCTAAGTCCTGAGTTCTCTTTCCTCACCCTTGAAGTGGAAATAATGTCAGTCTCCCTCCCAGGGCTGTGTGGATTAAATGAAGTAACCCTGGCAAGCAGCATCTGGTCCATTTGAAGGCAGGCCATAGGTTTGGAAAATGAATGAGTGGATAATGGGTGGCTGTGGTTTCTGTTTTGGTGATCCAGTGAAAGCAGGAAGCCTTGGCTCACCCTCTGTGTTGACAGGACAGTTAGCACAGCAGGGGGTGCCCCTGCTGTAGGCTGAGCAGAACTGAGGGCTGCAGAGGTAATCCCATCACGTGTGGTGTGGTGGAGGTGGTGGGTCACGTGGTGGTGCTCAACGTCCAGCCTGCCTGACCAGCCCTGTCCCACGAGGGCCTCTGCAGCCCTTCAGGGCTCTCCTGTTCCAAGGCTGCCATTTTCTGGGTCTGAGGCCTGAGGATTGGCGTGATCACTTTAGTTTTCCAGTTATTGGCGGTGCCAGAGTCCCAGCTGCCTAAGCTAGAACTCAGGAGTTGTTCTTACCTCTTTCCCACCCCAGCACTCTGAGGCCTGTCCCTGCCTTCTTCCCCCTTAGCATCTCTGATCTACCCACTTGTCTCCAGGCCTTCTGCCATGCTCATGGTCAGGACCACCCTCAGTCCCGGTTCAGACTTGCTCCTTTCTAACTTGCTCCCTTTCATTCCATCCTGGGCAACCTGCATGATTCTTCTAGAATGAAACTGATCACTTTACCCCACCTCCAAACAAACTCAGCAAAGGCATTGCAATGAAAACAAAACCCCAACTTTTCACAGTGGTGCAAAAGGTCAGAGGCCTTGCCTGTCTCTCCTTCTCCCCTAGTCTCAGTCCTTCTCCTTAGGTCCTCCTTGGGAGATTTGCACTTCCTCCCAAGCACACCAGGATCCTTCTTGCTGCTTCCTTTTGCACGCGCAGCTCCCTTTGCCTGGAAACTTTTCTCTCCAAAGCTGCCACCCCACCCTTTAGCTGGCTAATTTCAGCTTATCCTTGAAGTCTTAGCTGATATGCCACTTCTTTTGGGAAGCCTTTCTGACTCCTCCAGGTGGGCAGAAGTGTACCTGCTCTGGGATTCCATAGCAGCCTGTATTTCCCTGTCATGGTGCTTCCTTGATTGTAGCCGTGCATGGGCAGTGGCTTCACTGTTGAGCACCCAGGTCAGTGCCCAGGGCAGAGTGGGTGCTCAAATATTTGCCGACCGACTGTGAATTATGCAGAAACACAAAACGAGTGGAAATGGAATCAGACATCCAAGGATTGCCTGTGGGGCTAAGGGGAGACTTGACCTGCTTTTCTATCTGGGAGGAAATATTTGAACAACCTGAAGCAAATCCAATAACACTGCCTCATTACCTTTTCCCCTAAGAGCTGCCAGCAAGATTGCTTTGGAGTTAAGTCCTTTAATTAAAATACCCTGGACTAAAGCCTTGGAAGTGAAATGAGGGCAGCCGCCACTGAAGCAGAGTTGGGGAATAATGGCAGAGCCCGGATTTTCCCAGCAGGGTAGCCTGCCTGGGAAGCAAAATGGATCCCTTTCAGCTTCAGCTGGCAGGCGCTCACCTTAGCAGCCTGGAGGTGTATGACAGTGGTCTGGTTCCAAGCCTCGTGCTGGTCAGCTCCGGATTGCGTCAGGGTCTGTAAATGCTGCACTGAGTCCTTTATGAGCCTGAAAGCCAAAGCAAAAAAGGTTCAGCTTCCTGACTGAGTGGAAAAGACAACTGATGGGCTTCCTGTGGTCCCTCAGAAGTAGAAATAATGCCTGTTTATTGACCACTTATGTGCCATAAAGCTAAATGATTGATATTTATTATCTTTTTAACTCTTTTAAGGGCAGGCACCCCCCAGTTTGCAATGGGGAAAACTGAGTCCCAGAGAGGTTAACCAATTTGTCCAGGGTCACACAGCTAGTAAGGAGTGGAGCCAGGATTTTGACTTGTTGTTAATCGCCATGTTATAAAGCCTCAGGGCCACAGGCCAGGAGCTGTCCCCTATTTCTAATGCAGATTCCAGCCTCACACCAGTATGTTCAGGCCTTTTTGTTGACTGACGTCCTGTGGCCTGAGCAAGGAGAATGGTTTTTCTGTAAAGGCTAGAGAGGCCCGTCGGTCACCTAGCCTGCTGCAGGTTCTACCCAAGGGACCTAAAAACAAAAAGAGAAAACCAACCTTTGTCCTGCAAACCACTAAATTAGTCATTAAATAACCTTTAATCCCCTCTTATTTTCTATTCCCTGCCCATCCATCCATGACCCTTAGAATTTGTGTGTAAAGCAAACTGTTTATTAAGCAATATGTTTTTTGCTTTGTCAGGGAATAGATAAGCAGATGTCACACTGAGTTTCAAGCAAGGAGAAATACCATGACACTTTAATCACCTCGAGCAGCCTTATCTTCCCCTCCTCAAATCTCCCAATTGAAATGTTAGCTCTATGAGTTTGGGGTGTTTATCAGGCCTATTTACTGATAGGTCCCTAATGCCTAGAACAGTGCCTGCCATATTATAGGCAGTTAATAAATATTTTTGGAATAAATAAATGAATGTTCCAAGTTGCTTGTGATCTTGAAATAACTATTAACCATCCCTGGGACCACAGGTTGGGATATAAGACCTCTTATTATATACTGAAAATATGTTTTTCCAGTTTGTTTTTGGTGTTTCCTTTTTATTTTTTTATTAAAATTTTTTGTATTTTTGGTAGAGGTGGGGTTTCACCATGTTGCCGAAGCTGGTCTCAAACTCCTGAGCTCAAGCAATCCGCCCACCTCGACCTCCCAAAGTGCTGGAATTACTGGTGTCAGCCACCATGCCCAGCCTGTTTTCGGTGTTTTAATTTGGGGGCAGCATTCAGAACGTTTTCTTTTTAGGTAGTTAAACCTCCATCTTTTCCATGGTGGTATGTGTGTTTGGTCAGGACCTCTCTATTCCCAGCCCCTGGCACATTTGTTCATTCCTAACACATAGTAGGTACTGAACAATATTTGTTGAATGACAGAATGGATGAGTCCTTGGTTTTGTCCATGTTCCCTGGAGCCTACTAGACCCTGGAAATAAATGAATTCTATCCCGTGGTGTAGTCATATTTTCAAAAATTATTTTTAGATTATGGGATATTTCAAACGTACGAGTGAGTATTGCTTTATTTATTGGTATTTGCATATCAATACATTTGGAGTATTTACATATGGGTACATTCGTTGTATTGCAAATCACCATAGGACCCTAGAGATTTTAAAAATATCTCACTGGCCAGAGGTGTGATGTCCTTCTACTACTGTGACCAGGATGGGGAAGTGACGGGGGTCCATGGCTGATGGGGGGGACATCCCCTCTCTCTGCCCATGGTGGCAGGAACTGAGAGGACCGGGGAGGCTAGGCATGGGGTGGTTTTTAGAACTGAATCCACGAATGTCCACCCAACCAATCCAAAGGCCCTAGTGTGGCATGGAGCCTGTGCCCAGGTGGGATGGCTGATTTCTCAGCACTGGCTTACCTTACTGCCACATGTGCCCAGGCCGTGGTGTAGAGCTCCGGGCAGAGGAAGTCGGCTGCCCTCTGGGCTGGACACCTGGCCAGGTCAGGTGCGGTGAGATATGCGACAGATGGAGAGAGAGATCTCTGTGGCGTGGAGCCAGGGGACATCTGAGTCTGCAGGTAGCTCTTCACCAGGAACCTGGGGGTTGGAAGAGGAGGCAGGTGAGAGGGCAGAGACTCTGTGAGACAGCCCAGCACCCCTCACTCCCAGAGACAGGCAAGCTCATGCTAGGTTCCAGCCTTCCCGTGGGAGAGCCAGGTCACCAGGCCTCTGCCTGGCCTCCCTCCTGAGGGTTCCCCCTCGGGCCGTCCTGCCTCGAGGCCCTCAGTCAGGCATATCCCAGGACCTGTGGAGCTGGGCCAGACACTCTCTGATCCTGAACATAAACCCTTCTGTGATCTGAGCAAACAGAATTTTCCATCAGAACACTGTGATTTTGGGATTTATAATGACTTGTACAGTGACTGGGTGGAAATTAAATTTTCTTAGCTGAAAAAAGAAGGATAGAGGCAAGAATGCTAACAGGAGTAGGAGGATTATAGGTGACTCTCAACTGCTGCTTTAGGATAATCCAGTGGTTACAGGTTCTGGGCTTAGACAGCCCTGGATTCCCATACAGCCTCGCCGAGACCTGTGTGATGAAAGAAGCTTCACCTCCCAAGTCTCTGTTTCTCTAGCTCTAGGTGGGGAGGACAGTTCTCATCTGATTGAGGGTTTGTGAAATGGAATGAGATGATATTTGTAGAGTGCTTGGCACAGTGCAGAGTACATAATATGTGCTATTGTACTCCTTTTCTAATTTGGAAAAAAACCAAGGGATGTTATATATTTTTAAAAATATAATAAATGTTGTTTTTCATATTTGCCAGTGAACTTCTTTCTCCTTGCATAGGGAAGCATTTGCCCTGTTTGTTCACCTGAGAATAGGTGAGGATGAGGCTCTGTCGGCCTCCAGGGCCCACAGACCTAAGAGGGATGAAAAGAAATCGCCTGTGTGGAGGAAGCTGACTTGGCCATTGCTTGGAGCCTCTGTGTGCAGGCTCTGCACCAAGCTTAGGCGATGCTAAAGCGAGCAAGGTAGGGGTAGTCCCTGCCCTCAGGGAGCTCCTAATCTAGTTGGAGAGTAGAGCTAAAAAGGTGAACAAAAAAATGAGACAATGATAGATTGTGAAACTGCTCCAAAGGAAACAAGGCCATGTTGGGTGGGAGGGGATCAAATGCAAAGGCCTCCTGGACAGAAAGAAGTGTGTGGCCGGCAGAAGTGAGCAGAGGTGGCTGGGTGCGGTGGCTTGTGCCTGTAATCCCAGCACTTTGGGAGGCTAAGGCAGGTGGATCACCTGAGGTCAGGAGTTGGAGAGCAGCCTGGCCAACATGGTGAAACCCCATCTCTACTAAAAATACAAAAATTAGATGGGCATGGTGGTGTGTAATCCCAGCTACTGCGGAGGCTAAGGCAGGAGAATTGCTTGAACCCGGCGGGCAGAGGTTGCAGTGAGCCGAGATTGCACCACTGCACTCCAGCCTGGGTGACAGTGAGACTCCATCTCAAAAAAAAAAAGAAGAAGAAGAAGTGAGCAGAGGCAGGAGGTGGTGAGAGCAGGATGGACGGGGAGGCAGGGGTCAGGTCACATGGACCTTGCAGGCCACAGCATAGAATATGTCATTTTCCTATGAGCACTGGGAAGCCGTTGAAGAATTTCAAACCAGAGAAAGATGTGATCCTCCCTAGGCTCTGAACAGATCCCTCCGGCTGCCTGTGGAGAAGCAGGACAGGATAGAAGCAAGAGACCAGGGAGGGGTCTGAGGCTGTGGTGGAGGTGAGAGAGGATGGTGGCCTAGAAGTGGATAGGTTAGTCATACTGGGGAATTGGACAGCTCCCAAATAGCACTTCGCAAAGCCTGCTCTTTTTATGGGCCTCAGACGGAACCCTCCACCCAACAGAAGCTTGGTGGGTCCCCAAGGGCTTGGGCAAAGGCCTGGGTCAGCCTGGACCTTACCTGGCCACCTGCAGGTAGAGCACTGTGTTCTCACCCTCGTAGGTACAGGAGGCCGACAATTTGGTGACCAGTGATGGCAGGCCACTCAGCTTTGAGTAGCCATGTCCGCCACAGGCCCTGCGGCACATCTCAGCTCCCTGGGTGCAGAATTCTGACATCATGGCCTTCATGCCCGTGCTCAGTGCGTGGAGCTGTGAGAACATGGAGGGGGGTTGGGCGGTGTTAGGGGGCCTCCACCATAGGGACCAACCCTGTGCACCACTTACTGAGCATCTACTCATGCCCAGCTCAGCTCTGAGGTAAGAAGTGTTTCCTCTGCTCACAACTTTATGAATGAGAAGGCGGGTACTCAGCTTATGTGACTCACCCAGAGGCACACAATTAGGCAATGTAGCTGTAGGGGCATAAGAGTGAAGGAAAACCTGGCCTGGCCAGTGTCTCCAGGATTGGGAAGAGGGTGCTGCCTGGATTGGGCCCACAAACCTCCAGGAGTTACGGATTTTGCTGGCCTGGGTTTTAGAAAGCTAGCTTATGAGGATGGGTGTCCACTGTAAGCCCACTTACTGGGTTGTAGGAGGGTGACAGGGTCTGAATGTGTCCACCTAAAATTCTTATGTAGAAATCCTAACCCTCAAGGGTTAGGGCTAGGATTAGGAGGTATTGATGATTAGGACTAGGATTAGGAGGTATTATGATGGTAGTAGGAGTTGGGGCCTTCAGGAGGTAATTAAGTCATGAGGGTGGAGGCCTCATGAATGGGATCAGTGCCCTCATGAAAGAGGCTGCTTCTGGCTGGGTGTGGTGGCTCACACCTGCAATCCCAGCACTTTGGGAGGCCAAGGCAGGTGGATCACGAGGTCAGGAGATCGAGGCCATCCTGGCCAACATAGTGAAACCCCGTCTCTACTAAAAATACAAAAATTAGCTGGGCGTGGTGGCGTGCACTTGTAGTCCCAGCTACACAGGAGGCTGAGGCAGGAGAATCTCTTGAACCTGGGAGGCGGAGGTTGCAGTGAGCCAAGATTGTACCACTGCACTCCAGCCTGGGTGACAGAGTGAGACTGTCTCAGGAAAAAAAAAAAAAAGAAAGAAAGAGGCTGCTTCTACCATTTGAGGACACAGCAAAAAGCCGTTCAGGAAGCAGGCCCTCACCTGACACCAAATGCACTAGTGCCTTGACCTTGGACTTCCCAGCCTCCAGAACTGTGAGCAATAAATTTGTTTGTTTTTCTTTTTTGAGACAGCGTCTCACTCTGCTGCTCAGGCTGGACTGGAGTGCAGTGGCACAATCACAGCTCACTGCATCCTTGCACTCCTGGGCTCAAGGAATCCTCCCACCTCAGCCTCCAAAGTAGTAGTTGGGACTACAGGTGTGTGCTACCACACCTGACTAATTTTTCATTTTTTTTTTTTTTTGTGGAGACGGGGGTCTCACCATCTTGCTCAGGCTGGTCTTGTCTTGAACTCCTGGGCTCAAGCAATCCTCCTGCCCTGGCCTCCCAAAGTGCTGAGATTACAGGTGTAAGTCACCATGCCAGGCCAATTTCTGTTGTTTATAAACCACTGCTTTATGGTATTTTGTTACAGTGGCCCCAACAGGACAGAGGCTGCTGGGCAGCAGGACTGCTTTCAGATTTTGGTTCTTGAAGACCCTGCCTATCTTTGGAGCTTTCAAGTCCTTGGGAGGAAAGTTATGTCCCTTGATCTCTCTGTGCCTCATTGCAGTTGGAAGGGTTAATGAGCAGTGCTTATAAAGCATGGTAGCCTGGACAGACTGAATTTTACTATATATGTAAGTCCACAATGCTTTACCTGAGACCTGTGAGCCAGATGTGTTTAGGAATCAGAGTAACTTTTGGATTATAGAGAGGCCAAGTGGCATTTAAAGTGCATTTTATATAATAGCCCCAGTGGGGTTTGGGGCAGCTTTAGTGATTAAACACATTAATAATTTTACTGCAAAATGTATTCACACTCAGAGGGATAAATCAGGTCAGTTCAGGTCAAACTATGCCACCAAATGAGTTCCAAACAACTGTTTTTCGGAGCTTTTCAGGTTTCAAATACACATCAGGGGTTGTGGACCTGTGTTCTCTACGCTAGGTGTGATTGTTTTCTCTTAGTATGTTTGTAGCTCTCTGGGGGCTGGTTGTGGGTAAATTTATATACCAGGGTGCCGTTCACCCAGACGCCCTGGGATGCTGAAAGCTGGGAGAGGTGGGGGTGGGGAGTGCCCATGGGGATGGGGCTGTGGCTGCTCCCCAGTGAGTGGAACAATCTTAGCTCCCAGCGCCTGCCAGCGCCTGCCCCTCCGCAGACAGCAGGTACCTCAGGCAGGAAGCTGAAGTCTTGGTTCAGAATGGCAGTGTAGGAGTGCTGGAAGAACTCCAAGAGGCTGACTGCCAGGAAATGGAAGGCATAACTGATGGCCAGCTGAGGAAAGAGTTTCTGCTGTTGTGTCTGGTAGTCCAGGACCTTTGCCTCTGGGTCACTGAAGGGAAAAGAACCAGAAGATTTAGATCACTACCTGTTGTGTCCACCTTCCCCTATCCCCGACACCATAAAAACCTTAAAAACAGACAGTTCCTTAGAACTCATTGCAAAACTTGAACTGACATGAGGCCATTGATAATCCTTTAAAAATCCCATCTAACATGAACATCCACACATTTCACTGCAGGAATACTGACACATTTGTTGGTGGGTACTGCCCCTTGTTAAGGGAGGCTTATAGAATTCCAGCATATACACAGTATTATCCTAAAACCTGAAAAGTTCTGAGACTCCAACACGTCTGGTCCCAAGATTTCAGGTGAAGAGTTGTGGCCCTGCACCTGTGATGATTTGAACCTGTGACCTTCCACTGCCCGTGTGCACTTGCCGCGCGCTGAGGAATATGTCAAGCCTAAACAATAACTCTTAGGATGTAAACTCAGGTCTGATGGAACCCCAAGGAAGGGACTGTGTCTGCCTTATCCGCTGCTATGTCCTCAGTGCCCAAGGCTATGTCCGGCATTTAGGAGCTCGCAGTAACTGGATTGAAAGAGGATGTGATTACAAGAAGCCTCCTCTACAGACAGCAGCTGCTTACCTGGCGCATCTTTCTTATAACCACCCTGGGGACACTTCTGCAGCCCAGATAAATGGGCCTCGGGCAGGACAGCAGCAGAAGCCCCTTCTTCCCAGTGGCCCTGTCCTCCAGAGAACTCTTGCAGCCCAGATTCTGAAGCCCAGGCCAGGCGAGGGCGCTGTGAGCTTGCCAGAGGAAAGGACCCTGGGCTGAGGACTTAATGTGCCTTACTGCATTTCACCCTCCACACCACACTGAAAGGCCACTTCTGCCACACCCATTTTGTAGCTGAGGAAGCTGAGGGATGAAGTGAAATGGCCGAGCTGAGTGTTCACAGAGGGTTCAGGCAGCCCTTGCTATTCTGTGCTGTGGGGTGGAGGGAGTGGTAGCAACACAACCAATTACAACAAAAGGGATCCAGACTAGACATACCAGTGGGATGCTGACAGCACAGCTGGACAGAACGAGCTCAGCCACACACAGTCGATATGATATTGGATTTTGCTAGGCTCGGCCTGACAGAATCAACTCAGCCAGCCATAGTCTGATGCAGCTGGCAACTGGCTGACCCAGACCCGTCCAACCCGTCACAGCCGCACAGAACACGGCTGGACTCGGACAGACACAGAGTCAGACAGACCTGGTGCTACAGGGCCAAAGACACTATCACATAGAGCCCGATGGGGGCCAGGCACTGAGGATGCAGGTTAGGCCGGCTGGTCAGCCCTGTTAGAGGCAGCCAGAGAGACTCCTCTGACATGCCCAGATGGGGCCAGGCTGGGTAGATTTTGTGTTTGTGTGTGTGTATGTGGTGGGGGGCATTGCCTGCTCCCAGCACTCTGGCTCTGGCAGAAGGGTGGTGTCAGGGGGAGGCACTGTGGGACCAAGAGGCAGCATATCTGCGGTAGTCAGTCACTGGGCACCCCTTGCCTGGGCCGGAGCCGGGATTGGCGGCGGATGACCGAGTAGCGCATGGCGATGACACAGGCCTTCTGCAGTATAGGGAGGATCTCCCCTGACAGCAGCTCCACCCGCACCACCACCATGGGAAGGTAGTTGCTCTGTGCTGTACCGAGTTTGACGTAGGTGCCATCTGGCAAGACCTGTGTGGAACAAGGACGGGCACAAGTTCTGGGCCAAGGCTTCCCAGGATGCCCTCGCTTCTCCAGAGCTGTGGGGCTCCACACATGGAGGGCACCTCGCCCCTCAACCGGCGCATCTGGAGTTGGAGTGTTAAAATACCAGGCCATTTCCCCAAGTGCCCTGCTTCACAGTGCCTCTCCTGGGACACCCCGGACCTCCCCACGACCCATAACTAAAGGGGTGATGCCTGGCAGAATTGGGACCTTCAGAACTCCTGCTGGCATTCTGGCTGGTATCTGTTGGGCGATTGGCTGTGTCAGGCCTCACTGTGGGTAAATATTATGCAGGTCACCTCAGCCCTATCCTCTCCTGGGGCTGCCACCCCACCCCACGATTGCTCTGTCAGCCTATGTGACGAGCATTTCTGCATGAGAGGTCTGAGGCTCTGTGCCCAAGATCATACTGCTCCTAAGCAGGGGTTTCACCCCAATCTGTGGGATATCAGAGCCTCTCTTGGGGGAGGAGGTTATGTGGCCCAAACTAAGCTCTATGGAGGACCCAGGCCCAGCCTGCACAAAGCGCAGGTCCCCTCTCCAGGAAGTACAAGTCCCCGGCCTCCCCAGATCTGTAACCTGTGCAAAGCGACTCAGCATGTTCTCCCTGGGGACCCGCACATGGTTCAGCTGCAGGAAGCCATTGTCTGTTTGATCAAAGTCCATCTTGGGTCCGATGTCCCCAATGATGATTCCTTGAAGGAGATGGAGATGAGGACACCTATCAGTTGAGAGAGTGCTTGCTATGTGGCAGGTATCATACACACATTCCAGGTCACAGCAGCCTGTGACACTGGGATTATTGTACCTATTTTGCAGGTGAACAAGCTGAGGTCAGAAAGATGCTAAATCTTGCTCAAGTTCACCTAGCCAGTTAGCACCAAGTCTGTCCAACTGGACCGCTCCCTGCCCAAGGGAGACATGTCTTAGCTACTCCTGTGGCCCTCTGGGGCCCCAGGTCAGGGAGGCCACCTGGGCTCTCCTCCTGGCAGGGTTCCTTGAGGGAGCATTATGGGCTTACCTGGCAGTGGGGTGTGGTCCTGAAGACTCCGGATTGGCACAATAAAAGCGTGCATGCCCCGCCTGGCTCCTGAGCAGATCAGCTGGGCCTGGACCAGGGCATGGGTGGCTGACCGTCCCACTGAGGGCAGAGAGAGTAGCGGCCCGTCACAGGAAGACCTGTGCATTGCTTTTCCCAACCAACCCAGCCTCCTGGGGCTGGGGTTTTGGATGGGTACCTCTGGGGCCCTGAAAAGTCACTGATCAAAGAGAGAGGGGATTGCCCCCAAAGAACCAAGCAAACCTAGCAGCGTTGGCAAAGGCACTGTGAAATGATCCAGCTTTTTTTTTGCCCCCCCCAACTATTAATGAATTACTCTGTCATCAACCTTATAATAATGAATACAGATAATTATCATTTATCAAAATCTAGGTGGCGCTAGACCCTGTGATAGATGCTTTCCAGTTCTTGCAGGGGAGAGAGGATGATGAGTCCCATTTTCCAGTTAAGGAAACAGGCTCAGAGAGTAGAGTGACACACTGAAGGTCATTGGCCTGGAGGGGCAGAGCTAGGATTCATCTGTACCCTGGTCTGTCTGATCTAAAAGGCTGGTTTCTTTTGTCTTCATTTTTGACAGTGGTCATTTATTTTCTCTCTCTCTTTCTGTCATCACTCTCTCATCTCTCTCTCTCTTTTTTTTTCTTTTTCTTCTTTCTTTCTTTCTTTTGTTTTTGAGACAGAGTCTCACTCTTTCGCCAGGCTGGAGTGCAATGGCCTGAGCTCGGCTCATTGCAGCCTCTGCCTCCCAGGTTCAAGCAATTCTCCTGTCTCAGCCTCCCGAGTAGGTGGGACTACAGATGCCCGCCACCACACACGACTAATTTTTGTATTTTTAGTAGAGATGAGGTTTAATGATATTGGTCAGGCTGGTTCAAACTCCTGACCTCAGGTGATCCACTCACCTCGGCATCCCAAAGTGCTGGGATTATAGGCATGAGCCACCGCACCCGGCTCATGTCTCTCTCTTATGTCTCTGGTCTCTGCCTGTGTCTCCCTCTCTCTATGTGTCTCTCATCTCTGTCACTCTCCTGCTTTAGTTGGGCTCAGCATATTTGTTTTAATTTTTTCCACACAAGGTGTGGGTCCCCAAGTGCCACAGATGTGTCCTTGGAGGTGAAATTCTCAAGTTTGAGGAAGGGGAAATCCCTCGTTGGGGCTTGGTAAATCACCAAGCCTCAGGGACGCTTGATGTGGCCGCCACCTGGTGGCCACAGCAGGAGGTACGGCGTTGGTGGCCTGATGGGGGCTGGTGATGGGCGTGAGCCTTCCTGGGTGTCTGCAGCAGGGGCAGGCAGGCGTATTCTTTCCACTGTGTCATCACAGGGCCTGTGCTCTGGCTGGTGGCAAGCTCTGCCACTAACTCGGGAGATGAGAGGAACCGGGGTTGTGAGGAGTGCCTAGGACTAGACCAAGTGTGTGTGTTTGTGCGTGTGTGTGTGAGTGAGGCCTTGTCTCTCATGGATCGATTGTCTCCTCTACTTCAAAGTTCCTTTGGGGACTTTCCAGCCACTCACTAATGAAATGTTTAATATCCCACCTATTTTACAGAGTAAGAACCTGAGGCTCAGGTTGGTGAACTGACTTGCCCAAGGTCAGCAGCCTAGAACAGAAAATCAATCTGAGGTCTGTTGGACCTCAAAGCCAGTGCTACTCTGCCCTCCAACATTCTTCTACTTGGGGAGAGTTAAGGAAGGGGGGTGGATGTATACTCACAGTCTCCAGGCCACCATTTGGTGGCAGTCAGCGTGGGGCTGTGTATCACAAACTCCTGGGTGGCTGCGTCATAGGTGGCTTCAGTCTCCAGGCCCTGAAGATATGTCCCTTAGGATCAAGGAGAGGTGTTAGACATTGGCCTGAGGTGGGGTTCTTACCTGTGAAGCTGCTTCTAGGTGGGTCTGAACTCTTAGGCATCAGCGCAGTATGGAGTGGGGCCCAGCTCCCAGCTGTACTTGCAGGCAGTTCTCCCCTTTCATCTGTGGGCTGTGTGTGGGACACACAGTCCCCTATAGCCAGTCCATGAGAAGGGGTGGCTGCTGATGTTTCCAGAAGGAATGACTTGCCCCACTGGGAGCTCATACAATACGTGCAAATTAGAAGGTGGCACCCCTTCCTCAGGACCCTTGACTGCCAGCTGCTGGAATGTTTTCTTATTAAACATATGTCCCTCGGAGCATATGAACCTATGACTACCTAGATGTAAATGGGCCCTCTGGAGTTTTGCAGTGCACAACCTAAACACCACACGCAGCAGTCCTAGCTCACCATGTCCCAACTCTGTCTGTGCATACGTTGCGATGATCTGGATGTTTTTGCAGAGTGGGTCCCATTTGGCAATCTGCTCCTCTGAGCCCAGGCTCCTGAGGGCTCTCACGAAGACTCTGTGTATATTTAAGGCCACGTCTCCAGAAAGGGCTCTGTTGGGGAGAGATGCTGTAGTTGAGTAGCTTATTGGAGACAGGGGCCCAGGTACCCCCTGCCTGAGCAGAGTACAGGAGATAAAGGGCACCTAGCATCCTGGTTTCCCAACAAGTCTTCCCTTTGTTGGGGGAAATGGCTCATGGGGCTAGGGGGTTTCCAGGTGATCCCAGGTAGATCCCTCTCTAGTGGGGCTGCTCGAGGAGTGAGCACCTGTAAGCGTAGCCTAATTCACGACCATCTTCTAACCAACCCAGGCGCCGAGCTATCAACCGGATGTGGAATGCCCTCCGCATGGCAGCCTTATAACGCTCATTCTGGGTCATGAAATAATTGTCCTTACAGCTAAACTCCGGGTAACTGTGGATGATGCTCTCTGCAGAGGACAGAGAACAGAGGGCTTAGGGACCTGGGTGAGGTTTCTGGCACCTTGAAATCTTCTCACCCACTTGCTTCATGGATCTGGAAAGGAAGTCAGACATTATTGTTATTTTACAGATGACAAAACTGAGGACCAAGGTGGGAAAGTGAATTGCCCAAGGTTACAAAGCTATGCAGTGGCAGAATTTTAGGACCAGAATCCAGGTCTTCTGCTGCCTAGGACTCTTCTATCCCCTAGGTGGGCTCAGGCAATATTGACATGTGAAGATTGTCTTTACAGTTCGAAGGAATGAATCTCTAACAGTGGAATTTCAAGGGCAAAGTTTGTTATTTGGAAGCAGAACTGCTAATGAAGGACTCTTCTTACAAGAGAAGCATGGGGCATAAAACAGATGTCCCATTCCCCAGCTTCCCCTTACCAACTTTCCTGCGGAGTGCAGTGTTCTGGGCACCTCCATCAAGGATGTTGGTGAGCCGTTCCACGTCAAAGGACTGCATATACCTCTCGCTCTCTATGTCGGGGTGCATTTGCCTGCTCCAGGTATCCCCCAATGACACTCGGTGCACTGGGCTGCCCATCCTATCCTGGATCTGTCTGGTGACTATGGAGAGACACTTCCAACCCGGCTGCTCCGAGGGTCTGCTCTCAGCATTGGTCAGTGCAAAGAACCTGTGTGCAAGAGGAACTGCCTAGGGCTGGGTGTCAGCCAGGGCTGGTTGGTAGAAGAAAGACATCCCTAAGTACCTGAATGCCACTCCACCTCCCCACTCCCCCTGTGGACACTGGCTGTGGACCAGGCACTGTGTGCATGGTAGGCATGGTATGCAGCCATTGCTTGGTACATGTTTGTTCAATACTTGTTAGCCAAAATTGGACAGGGCCTGACCCCAAAGATTGGGCTCTATCCACTGCAGTTTGAGTTACATGAATTGCCTAGGGAAATCTTCACAAAAAAGTCAGTGAAGCTTACACCTGAAGAAAATAATCCTGGAGAGGTTGAGTGGCCCCTAGCCACACAGCTGGAGATGGCCAGGAGTTGGATGGGGTCTGACCACAAAGCACATGACTTGTCCATACTACAGCTCCACTGTGGAGGATTGCTGGGGGCACCTTGGTCTCATTAAACTGCTCATAAGTTCTAGGATCACTCAGCTCCATTTCTATGAGCCCTGCAGGTATATTGTGGAACTGAAGGGAGGAAGCCTTCTTCCTGCCTGTGAAGTGTTCCCCTGGAGCCCCTGAGTGTCTTTCATACCCAGGTTGGACCCTGTCTCCTTCATGGCAAGTGCTTGGCCTCTGAGAAGCCCCTATTCCTCCACAGTGAGGCAACCATGAGGTGCAGTCCATCCTATTTCACAAGTCTCTTGAGTCCATCTGCTCCTTGCTATCTCTTTGGCTAGCATCCAGGCCACTGTTATCTCTTACTTGGCCTCAGTGTTCCTCTTATTTGTTCTCCCAGCTGCCAGGTGAACTCTTGAACTGCAAATCACATTGTTTTCCTCTCCTGCTTGGAATCTGCTCCTTGGGGCCCACTGTTTGTGGAATGGAGTCCTTGCTGTGTCTACCCAACCCTACTCCACTCACCTCTCTCCTATGTCAACTTACTGCCCTCATCCCTGGCCTCCACTCATTCTCTTCCTACCCTTTGCCCCTGCTGTTCTCTCTGAACAAAGTTCAGCTCCCTCGTTCCCTGGGTGCTCTAGGGTTAGGGACAAGTTCTTATTTGCTTACATGTTCCTCCCACAAGGCCTGGGAGGCCAGCTCTGCATTTCCTAGCTTGCAGCAGGTATGTTGTAAATCTCTCCGGCAGGCTGCCATGCTTTTGATCCCCTTCCTTCCTGACCTCAACCTGACAGATGCACTGCTGTTATTACCATTTTATGGAGAGGATGTGGGCCTTGGAAAGGGAGGAGACTTTATAAGGGTCATGCAACCACATGTAGCAAATGATTCATATGAGGCTTTCAAACCAATACCCCCAGCAGGGCTGTGGGGGTGCTGGCAAGGGGCCCCATCCTCTGCCCCCCGGAGTCCTGCAAGTGCCCCTAGTGCGGCTCCTCTCGTCCTGCCTTACCTCTTTTCCTTGCTCTGCTGCCACTGCCTCCTTGCTGTTCTGAATGCTCCAGGCCTCCCTGCCACTGCCAGCATTTGCTAGGGCATCTCCATCTGCCCAGAACACCCTTTCTTCAAATGTCACTAGGGCTTTTTGCATTGAACCTCATTTAACCTTAAAGAGGCCACCCTCTTTAAAACCCCAAGCCCCCTCCCCCGGCATTCCCTGTCCTCCTCACTCTGCTCTCCTTTTTCTCTTTTCACTTATCCCCTTCTGACATTTGAGATCATTTACTCATTTCATATGTTTTTGTTTACTTCCATCTCCCTGCTACTAACACAGAAACTGCAAGAGGGCCGGGATCTTTGTCACTGTCATGCCGTGACCCTAACACTTAGTGCAGGGCCTGATTTGCAGGAGGTGCCCAGTGAAGAAAGCCTTGCTCAGGGTCTCTCGGAGCTGCGGACAGGGTCATCATGGGGGCAGCCCTCTCCTCTGGGGTCTCCCAGTCCCTCCCTGCCCAAAAACCTGGCTCACCTGGCTCCCCTCTGTCCTGTGTCCGCACTGTAGGCCGGGCTGGCCTCTCCCCGGCTGTAGGCCGCAGCCTCTGGCAGGCTTGTGGTCCTGCCCTTCTCTCCTCCCACATAGGGGCTGGAACACAGAAGCTGAGAGAAACTGCTTGGCCAGCTCTCAAGCCCTTGTCTGCTCTCAAGCCCTTGTCTGCTCTCAAGCCCTTGTCTGCTCTCAAGCCCTTGTCTGGGCTTATGGAGCTCCTCTCCTTCCTCCCTCTCTTCCTGCATGGGTGTGACCTTTGTGCCTGTCGCTGGGGCTGCCCTGGGAGGACTTCTGGGAGGTTGGAGCCCTTACATCTCAAAGCCAGGGATTCCTTTGACACTACTTGTACCAAAAAGCTGTGTACCCCAGCAGTGTTTCCAAAGTGATATCCTGGTCTTCCCTGATCTTTCACTGTGTGCCCTTCAGGCACTCAAGCTGTTAATATCACACGAGCTTAATAGGCTCCCCTGAGATGGTCCTCATGTGAAAGGATTGCTCTGTAAGGTGTACGTTTTTCCTCTCTCCCCATGTTTCTGCTCTAAAATATGGCTTGTCTTATGCTTAGCATCCCCTGACATTCCCTGGAAAAATATTTGTGAAGCATCCATCTGTAGTGTGTGGGATCCAGATGAGAGCTGGGTCTTAGTGAGAGGAATGAGAGGCTTAGAGGTTCCCTCCCTGCATAACCACCTTGGAAAGTCAGATGCGGCTCCCCATTTTGCAGGTAAGGAAACAGGCTCAGGGAGGGATGTCACTTTGTTTGGGTTTGCACAATAAGTAGATTACGTAACACATTTGTGTAAGACTGGGAAAGAAATCAAGGGGCCAGTAGGAGATCAAGGCTCCTGTTCTGGCAGGACTTCTGAGCTATGTTGACTCTGAGCAGGTGTACTCCTTTCTGGGCCTTGGCCTCCCCTGTAATGCAAGGTATTTGCTCAGTAAGGAGCCTCACAGCACCCCATCATATCCCCAAGGTAGTGTCTAGCTTGTGTCTGTAGGAAGAGGCAGGACCTGTGGCCCAAGCTTTGCAACTTATCACCTAGTAGGTCCTTCTGGAGCTGTGGGGCTCAGACTCCTGGCAGTCCTCATTGCTGTGGGCAGTGGTTTCAGGGAAGGTGGTCTTGGCCCCACTGTTTGGAGGTGAAAGTTCTTACTTACACCTGGACTCATCTCCGCCAAGGATTTATGCTATCACTGACCATGGGCAATGACTTAGTTCCTCTCTGCCATAGAGAAAGGCTTGGATTGCAGGAAGTGCCCAGTGAAGAAAGCCTTGCTCAGGGGCCCTTGGAGCAAGGCTTTTTAATAAACTCTCCATGTTTAAATTGTTTTCTCATCCGCTTTGAAGCTGACCCTGTTCTGTATGTTTTGGATGTGATCATTTTGATTTGTTGCACTGAAATCTTGAATTCTCTAGCTTAAAAAGGCTTTTTAAATTACAAAATATTTCAAACTTGTACAAAAGTGGAGAGAAAAATATAATGAACCTGCATGTACCTAACACCCAGCACTAACAATGATCACACTTGTCTCCTTGTTCTTTGTGTTTAACTTTTTATTTTGAAATAACTTTAGAATTTCAGAAAGCTGCAAAAAGTTCTTGTATATCCTTCACTCAGCTTCTTCTAAGGTACAATTATGAAACCAAGCCATTAACACTGCTGCAATATTGTCAGCTAATCTTCAGAACTTATTTGAGTGTGTCAGAGGTTCTCCAAGATCAACCTCAGGTCCAGTGATTTGCTAGGAAGACTCATAGAACTTAGAAACTGTTATACTGAGCCAGGCGTGATGGCTCACGCCTATAATTCCATTGCTTTGGGAGGTTGAGGCTTGAGGATCACTTGAGGCCAGGAGTTTGAGACCAGCCTGGACAACATAGCAAGACCCTGTCTCTACCAAAAAAGATGTAAAAATTAGCCCAGTGTGGTGGTGTGTGCCTGTAGTGCTAGCTCTTTGGGAGGATGCAGTGGAAGGATTGCTTGGGCCCAGAAGTTCGAAGCTGCAGTGAGCTATAATGGAACCACTATACTCTAGCCTGGGTGACAGAGTGAGACTTTGCCTCTAGAACAAACAAGAAGAAACTGTAATACTCATGGTTACAGTTTATTACAGCAAAAGATTACAGATTAAAATCAGTAGAAGGAAAAGGTACATAGCACGAAGTCTAGGAGAGAATAGACTGAGCTTCTAGGTGTCCTCTCCCAGTGGTGTTGTATGGACAGCATTTAATTCTCCCAACAACGATGTTTACAATATGCACGAAGTATTGACAACCAGGGAAGCACACTTTTGAGGCAGGAGAACAGCAGAAGGAATTGGAGGTTGGATAAAGGGTGGAATGAGCGAAAGCAGAAGCAAGGTGAAGGGGTGAGTGAGCAAGAAGCAAGAGAAGAAGCAGAAGTTAAGCAGCCAAAACAAAAGTAAGATAAAAAACTGAGTAAAGAGACCCCATGGCTGGCAAGATCCTGACCAAACCAGTAAGGGGCAGCTCCTCCGAGATAGGCATGCTCATTAGAGCGAAAAAGCATCTTTAACATGACCCCGTATGATAATCAGCTCATTAAAGCTCATGCATATGGACTGCATATCATGCATGTACTTGAGATTATGGAACGGAGGCGACGTGCAAGCGCACAAGGGCCAAACAAAGTAAGCAACATGCCTATCAATCAAAAGGCAGACACTAGCTAGAGACTCGGCAGCCTTGGGAAAAGAAAGGGAAAAAAGAACACATAAGAAGACCACAAGCCCAGGAAACTGATGCTGATCTCATCTCGCAGAGGTCAGCCCACTCTGCCCTCTTTGAGAGTATAATGCTGTGCTTAATAAACTATTGCTGCTGGCTTTGCTACTTGTGTGTATCACGTCCAGTTTTTTGGTTTTTTTGTTTTTTTGTTTTTGAGACAGAGCCTTGCTCTATTGCCCAGGCTGGAATGCAGTGGCTCACTGCAACCTCTGCCTCCTGGGTTCAAGCAATTCTCTTCCCCCAGCCTCCTGAGTAGCTGGGATTACAGGCATGTGCCACCATGCCCGGCTAATTTTTGTATTTTTAGTAGAGACAGGGTTTCACCATGTTGGTCAGGCTGGTCTTGAACTTCTGACCTCAAATGATCCGCACGCCTCAGCCTCCCAAAGTGCTGGGATTATAGGCATGAGCCACAGCACCCGGCCCAGTCCAGCTTTTCGTTTGGGACACCAAGAGCCTGGAACTGCATGGCACCATCTGGCAACACCTTGGTGTCCAGAGTTATTGCAGTCATCACAGAGCCATGGGATGCTTGTGTGGCTGACCTTAGCTACTCAGTCTCCATCGACTCCAGATGTGAAACTCATAGAGTGTGGCCTAAGGACCCACTCGGAATCACATTATTAGTATAAACTGCCTGGCATGGCCCAAGGCCCCAAGTATACAAAGATACTGTTTTCAGGCAGGATATTCCAAGGGCATAGAGGTTACCTCCCAGGAGCTGTCAGGTGCCAGTCCTTTCTTTGGACTATGCAGGGTTTGAAATATTGCTGAGTTAACATTTTTCTGCATATTGAGTTTTGCTAGTTTTCCCACTAATGTTCTTTTCCTGGTTTAGGATTGAATTCAGGATCTCACGTTGCATGTAGTTAGTTGTCCTGTCTACATGAAACAGTATAGTTCCTCGGTCTTTCTTTGTCTTTTATGACCATGATACTTTGAAGAGTACTGGTCAGGTGTTTTGTAAATGTCTTTCAATTTGAATTTGTCTGCTGTTTTCTTGTGATTGGATTGAAATTAAGTTCTTGGTTTTTTTTAAATATTTAGTTTACCATACCCTATGTATATAAAGTTTTTTTGGTTTATTAAAATGCATCCACTTGTCAGTGATATTGTTTTGCTGATAATCAGAAATTTGATTCCTCATAGGTAGTATTAAAATGCTATTTTGTATTCTTCCTATTTTTATACTTTAAAAATATTTAACTTATTTATCATTGAAAAATAAAGATAGTATATCTTTATCATGGACAATCAGGTGTTTTGAAATATGTATATGCATTGTGGAATTGCTAAATCAAGCTAATTTACACATTCATTACCTCACATACTAATTTTTTGTGGTAAGAACACTTAAAATCTACTCTCTTAGCAATTTTCAAGTATATAATACATTGCTGTTAATTACAGTCACCATGTTGTACATATTGTATTATGTTATTGAAACCACCTTTGCAAACATTGTAACTGAGAAAATGATGACAATCAAAGAAATCTGACCTAACTGACTCCATCTTGCTTCTAACCTCCAAACTGTCCTTGTTCATTCCTGGGCATAGGCCAAACTGATTTTGGGAGGAACTGAATTTATAGTTTAACTTTGAACAAAGAAAGTAACAGCCCTTTCCCAAAATAAACTCCTTTCTTGCATGAGGACTAGACTGCCTTTGCAGGACTAACAAATTAGCTACAAGATTAGAAATTATGGTTTAGGAGTCATGCAGCTGGACTCCTAAGCCTGTGTGTGTGTGTGTGTGTGTGTGTGTGTGTGTGTGTATTCTGATGTTGGGTGCATATATGATTGTTATATCCTCTTGATGAATTGACTTCTCTATCATTTTATAATGACCTTCTTTGTCTCTTTTTACAGTTTTTGACTTAAAGTCTATTTTATCTGATACAAGTATTACTTTTCCTGCACTCTTTTGGTTGCCATTAGCATGGAATGTCTTTTTCCACCCCTTTACTCTCAGTCTGTGTGTATCTTTGTGTGCATGTGTGCGTGTGTGTGTGACAGGGTCTCACTCTGCTGCCTAGGTTGGAGTGCAGTGGTGAGATCTCGGCTTGCTGAAAATTCTGCCTCCCAGGCTCAAGTGATTTTTGTGCCTCAGCCTCCTGAGTAGCTGGGATTACAGGTACCCGCCACCATGCCCAGTTATCTTTTGTATTTTTAGTAAAGATGGGGTTTTGATATGTTGGCCAGGCTGGTCTTGAACTCCTGGCCTCAAGTGATTTGTCCACCTCAGACTCCCAAAGAGCTGGGATAGAGGTGTGAGCCACTACACCTGGCCCTCTAGTGACCTTCCTTGTCTCTTTTTACATTCTTTGATTTGAAATCCATTTTATCTGCTGCAAGTATAGCGACTCCTGCTCTTTTTTGTTTTTCCTTTGTGTGGCATATCTTTTTCCATTCCTTCACTTTCAGGCTACATGTGTCTTTAATGGTGAAGTGAATTTCTTGTAGGCAGTATATAGTAGTTGGGTCTTGTTTTCTTAATCCATTTAGCCACTCTATGTCTTTTTATATTTATTTATTTATTTGAGATGGAGTTTTATTCTTGTTGCCCAGGCTGGAGTGCAGTGGCACGATCTTGGCTCACTGCAACCTCCACCTCCCGGGTTCAAGTGATTCTCCTGCCTCAGCCTCCCAAGTGTCTGGGATTACAGGCATGTGCCACCATGCCCGGCTAATTTTTGTGTTTTTAGTAGAGACAGGGTTTCACCATGTTGGCCAGGTTAGTCTTGAACTCCTGACCTCAGATGATCCACCTGCCTCGGCCATCCAAAGTGCTGGGATTACAGGTGTGAGCCACTGTGCCTGGCCCCTCTCTATGTCTTTTTAAATTTAAATTTAAAAAATTGTTTTAGAGGCAGGGTCTCACTGTGTTGCCCAGGCTGGTCTTGAACTCCTGGGCTCAAGCAATCTTCCTACCTCAGCCTTCTAAGTAGCTGGGGTTACAGGTACATATCACAGCATCTGGCTTCCATGTCTTTTAATTGGAGAATTCAGTTAATTTACATTGAATTTTATTATTAATAGGTAAGAACGTAATACTGCCATTTTGTTACTTATTTTCTGTTTTGTGACTCCTCTCTTTCTTTCCTACTGTCGTACTTTGGGGTTAAATCATTTTCTCTGGAAGTATGTTTTAATTTGTTGCCTTTTATTTTTAGTGTACCTATTATAGATTTTTGCTTGTGGTTACTATGAGGCTTACAAAACACATCCTGTAGATATAACAAGTTATTTCAAACAGATGACAATCTAACTATGATCACAAAGAAAAGAAACAAAGGGCAACTAAAACACTCCATCTTTAACACTTTAACTCCATCTTCCCACATTTTCGTTTTTGTTTTCTCAATTTACATCTTTTTGTTTTGCCTACCTTTTGACAGGTTGCTGTAGTTTTTATTTTTGATAGATTTTTCTTTTAGTATTGACACGAGAGATATGAGTGGATTATATACCACAATTATAATAGTAGAGTATTCTGAATTACTTTGTGTACTAACTTTTGCCAGTGAGTTTTATACCTTCAAATGTTTATGTTTTGCACATTAGCATTCTTTTCTTTCAGACTGAAGAACTCCCTTTAGCATTTCTAGTAAGATGGGTCTAGTGGTGATGCTTTTGTTTGTCTGGGAAATACTTTTTTCTTTTTATAGATTAAGGGGTCCAAGTGGAATTTAGTTACATGGATGTATCATGGAGTGGGAAAGTCTGGGCTTTTAGTGTACTCATCGCCCTAACAGTGTACATTGTACTCAATAGGTAATTTTTCATCCCTCGCCCCATCCCGCCCTCCCACCTTTTGGAGCCGCAAATGTTCATTATTCCACTGTGTATGTCCATGTGTACCCATTGTTTAGCTCCCACTTACAAGTAAGAACACTCAGTATTTGCCTTTCTGTTTCTGAGTTATTTCATTAGGATAACGGACTCCAGTTCCATCTGTGTTGCTGTAAAAAATATTTCATTCTTTTTTTTTTTTTGAGATGGAGTCTCACTCTGTTGCCAGGCTGGAGTGCAGTGGTGAGATCTTGACTCACTGCAACCCCCGCCTCCCAGGTTCAAGCGATTCTCCTGCCTCAGCCTCCCAAGTAGCTGGGACTCCAGACACGTGCTTCCATGCTCAGCTAATTTTTGTATTTTTCGTGGAGACGGGGTTTCACCATTTTGGCCAGGATGGTCTTGATCTCTTGACCTTGTGATCCTCCCGCCTCGGCCTCCCAAAGTGCTGGGATTACAGGCGTGAGCCACTGCACCAGCAACATTTCATTCTCTTTTATGGATAAGTAGTGTTCTGTTTTTTATATATACATATAGTAAATATATATGCAAAGAATTTATGATTAAGTCCTCAAAAACAAACTCAACAAAAACATATATGTGTTTAAATATATGTTTTTGTGATAACTAAACTATATATATTTTTTGTGATAAGTATATCACATTTTCTTTATTTCATAATCTGTAGATGGATGCTTAGTTTGAGTCTATGACTTAGCCATTGAGAATAATGCTGCAATAAACATAAAAGTGCATGTATGTTTTTGGTATAATGACTTCTTTTCCTTTGGTTAGATACCTAGTAGTGGGATTGCTGGATTGAATGGTAGTTTTATTGTTAGTTCTTTGAGAAATCTCCGTACTGTTTTCTGTAGAGCTTGTATTAATTTACAGTCTGACCAATAGTGTGCAAGTGTTCCCTTTTCTCTGCATCCTTGCCAACATCTGTGGATTTTTGACTTTTAAATAATAGCCTTTCTGACTGGTGTAAGATGGTGTCTCATTGTGGCTTTAATTTGTCTTACTCTGATGATTAGTGATGTTGAGCATTTTTTTCATGTTTCTTGGCCGCTTACGTGTCTTCTTTTGAAAAATGTCTGTTCGTGTCCTTTGCCCACTTTTTAATGGGGTTATTTGTTTTTTTTTCTTGTTGAGTTGATTGAGTTCCTTGTAGATTCTGGCTATTTTCCCTTTGTTGGATGCATCACTTACAAATATTTTTTCCCATTCTGTAGGTTGTCTGTTTAGTCTGTTGTTATTTCTTTTTTGTGCAGAACTTTTAATTTAATTAAGTCCCGTTTGTCTATTTTTGTTTTCGTTGAGTTTGTTTTTGAGGACTTAGTCATAAATTCTTTGCCTAGGACAATGTCCAGAAGAGTTTTTCTCAAATTTTCTTCCAGGATTTTTATAGTTTCAGGTCTTACATTTAAATCTTTAATGTATTTTATGTTAATTTTTGTATATGGTAAGAGATATGGGCCTAGCTTCTTTCTTCTGCATATGGCTGTTCAATTTTCCCAGCACCATTTATTGACTAGAGTGTTCTTTCTCTACTGTATATTTTTGTTGACTTTGCTGAAGATCAGTTGTCTGTAGGTATGTGGTCTTATTTCTGGCATGTCTTCTCTATTTTATTGACCCATGTGTCTGTTTTTATACCAATACCATGCTGTTTTGATTACTGTAGCCTTGCAGTATAATTTGAAGTCAGGTGAGGTGATGCCTCCAGCTCTGTCTGTTTGCTTAGGATTGCCTTAGCTATCAGGCTCTTTTTTTGGTTCCATATAAATTTTAAGATTTTTAAAAATTCTATGAAAAATGACATTGGCAACTTGATAGGAATAGTGTGAATCTGTAGATTGCTTTGGGCAGTATGGTCATTTTAATGATATTGATTCTTCCATTCTGTGAGTATGGGCTGTTTTTCCATTTGTGTCATCTACAATTCCTTTTATCAATATTTTGTAGTTCTCTTTGTAGAGATCTTTTATTTCCTTGGTTGATTTTATTTCCTTGCTATATATATATACATATATATATACACACACATATATATACACACACACACATATATATATATACACATATATATACACACACACATATATATGCACACACATATATATATACACACACATATATATATATATATATTTTTTTTTTTTTTTTAGACGGAGTCTCATCTGTGTTGCCCAGGCTGAAGAGCAATGGCATGATCTTGGCTCACTGCAAGCTCCGCCTCCCAGGTTCATGCCATTCTCCTGCCTCAGCCTCCTGAGTAGCTGGGACTACAGGTGCCCGCCACCACATCCGGCTAATTTTTCTGTATTTTTAATAGAGACGGGTTTTCACCATGTTAGCCAGGATGGTGTCGATCTCCTGACCTCGTGATCCGCCTGCCTCGGCCTCCCAAAGTGCTGGGGTTACAGGTGTGAGCCACCGTGCCCAGCCGATATATATTTTTTGTAGCTATTGTAAATGTGATTGAATTCTTAATTTGGTTCTCAGCTTGATTGTTATTGATGTATTTAGAAATGCTAGTGATTTTTGTACATTGTTTTGTATCCTGAAACTTTATGACATCTAGGAGTCTTTTGGAGGAGTCTTTAGGGTTTTCTAGGGATAAGATCGTGTCAGCAAACAGAGATAATCTGACTTCCTATTTTCCAGTTTGGATGCCTCTTATTTCTTTCTCTTGCCTTATTGCTCTGGCTAGGACTTCCAGTACTATGTTAGATAGGATTGGTGCAAGTGGGCATCTTTGCCTTGTTCCAGTTCTTAGCGGGAATGATTTCAACTTTTTCCCATTCAGTATGAGGTTGGCTATGGATTTGTTGTATATGGCTTTTATTATTTTGAAGTATGTTCTTTTGATGCCTAGTTTGTTGAGGTTTTTTTTTCTTCCTATCTTAAAGGGATGCTGGCTTTTATGGAATGCTTTTTCTGCATCTACTGGGATGATCACATAGTTTTAAATTCTCTTTATGTGGTGAATAACATTTATGTATTTGTGTATGTTGAATGGTCTTCACATCCTTAGAATAAAACTCACTTGATTGTGGTGTATTATCTTTTCGATGTGCTCTTGGATTCAGTTTGCTAGTATTTTGGGAAGGATTTCTGCATCTATGTTAATCAGGGGTATTGGCCTGTAGTTTTCTTTTTATGTTGTGTCCTTACCTGGCTTTGGTATCAGTGTAATATTAGCATCATACAATGAGTTAGGGAGGATTCCCTCCTCCTTGATTTTTTAGAATAGTTTCAGTAGGATTGGTAGCAGTTCTTTGTACATAGGTAAAATTTGGCTGTGAAGCCATCTAGTCCTGGGTTTTTGTTTTTGTTTGGAGATTTTTAAAATTATTGACTTAACTTCACTACTCATTATTGGTCAGTTCAAGATTTCTACTTCTTCCTGGTTCAGTCTTAGGAAGTTGCATATTTCCAGAAATTTACCCATTTCTTCTAGATTTTCTAGTTTGTGCATGTAGAGATGCTCAGTAGTCTCTGATGAACTTTTGTATTTCTGTGATATCGGTTGTGACACCACCTTTATCATTTCGGATTGTGTTTATTTGAATATTCTTTTTTTCCCCTTGGTTAATCTAGCTAGTGGCCTATCAATTTTGTTTATCTTTTCAAAGAATCAGCTTTTTGTTTCATTGATCCTTTGTATTGTTTTTTAGTCTCAATACCATTTAGTTCTGCTCTAATCTTTATTTATTTTCTTCTGCTACCTTTGGGTTTGGTTTATTCTTGCTTTTCTAGTTGCTAGAGGTGAGATGTTAGGTTGTTAATTTGAGATCTATGTTTTTGAGGCAGGTATTTAATGCTTTATATTTTCCTCTTAGTACTGCTTTTGTTGTATCTCAGAGGCTTTGGTATGCCACATCTCTGTTTTACCTCTGTCTCTCTGTCTCTCTCTCTGTCTCTCTCTTTCCCTCTCAACAGGGTCTCACTCTGGTTTCCCAGGCTGGAGTGCTAGTGGTGCGATCTTGGCTCACTGCAGCCTCAACCTCCTGAGCTCAGGTAATTCTCCCTCCTCAGCCTCCAGAGTAGCCGAGACTACAGGCATGTGCCACCATGTCCGGCTGATTTTTTGTATTTTTAATAGAGATGGGGTTTTGCTATGCTGCCCAGGCCGGTCTCACTCCTGGGCACAAGAAATCTGCCCACGTCAGTCTCCAGAATGCTGGGATTAGAGGTGTGAGCCACTGCACATGGCCTCTATTTTCATTCATTAAAACATTTTTAGGCTGGGTGCGTTGGCTCACGCCTGTAATCCCAGAACTTTGGGAGGCCGAGGTGGGTGGATCACCTGAGGTCGGGAGTTAGAGACCAGCCTGGCCAACATGGTGAAACGCCATCTCTACTAAACATACAAAAAATTAGCTGGGCGTGGTGGCAGGCACCTGTAATCCCAGCTACTAGGGAGGCTGAGGCAGGAGAATCGCTTGAACCCATGAGGCAGAGGTTGCAGTGAGCCAAGATTGTGCCATTGCACTCTAGCCTGGGCAACAAGAGCAAAAATCCATCTCAAACAAACAAACAAACAAACAAAAATTTAAATTTTTGTCTTAATTTCATTATTTACCCCAAAATCATTCAGGAGTGGACTGTTTGATTTTTATGTATTTGTATAGTTTTGAGAGTTCCTTGGTATTGATTTCTAGTTTTATTCCATTGTGGTCCAAGAAGATATTTGATATGATTTTTATTTTTAGTTTTTGTATTTGAGACCTGCTTTATGGCCAAGCTTATGATCTCTTTTGGAGAATCCTCCATGTGCCAATGAGAAAAATGTATATTCTGCACTTTTAGGGTAGAATGTTCTATAAATGTCTGTTAGGTCCATTTGGTCTAGAGCTAGTTTAAGTGCAGAGTTTCTTTATTGATTTTCTGCCTCAGTGATCTGTCTATGTGCCATCAATGGGGTGTGAAGTCCCCTGCTATTATTGTGTTGCTGCCTATCTTATTTTCTAGGTCATAGTATTTGTTTTATGAATCTGGATACTCCAGTGTTGGGTGCATATATATTTAGGATTGTTACATCTTCTTGTTGAATTGATTTCTTTATTATTATATAATAACTTTCTTCACCTTTTTTTACTTTTGGTGATCTAAAGTCTGTTTTACTTGATGTAAGTATAGCCACATTGCTTGCCTTTGGCTTCTATTTGTGTGGAGTATCTCTTTCCACCCCTTTATTTTGAGTCTGTAAATGTCTTTACTTGTTAAGTGGGCTTCTTTTAAGCAGCATATGGTTAGATCTTGTGTTTTTTTTAAAAATACATTCTGCCAGTCTATATATTTTAAGTGGAGCATTTAGATCATTATGTGCAAGGTTAATATTGATATGTGAGGATTTGTTTCTATGATAATGTTTTTTTTTTTTTTTTTTAATTTATTTTTTTATTGATAATTCTTGGGTGTTTCTCACAGAGGGGGATTTGGCAGGGTCATGGGACAATAGTGGAGGGAAGGTCAGCAGATAAACAAGTGAACAAAGGTCTCTGGTTTTCCTAGGCAGAGGACCCTGCGGCCTTCCGCAGTGTTTGTGTCCCTGATTACTTGAGATTAGGGATTGGTGATGACTCTTAACGAGCATGCTGCCTTCAAGCATCTGTTTAACAAAGCACATCTTGCACCGCCCTTAATCCATTTAACCCTGAGTGGACACAGCACATGTTTCAGAGAGCACAGGGTTGGGGGTAAGGTCACAGATCAACAGGATCCCAAGGCAGAGGAATTTTTCTTAGTGCAGAACAAAATGAAAAGTCTCCCATTTCTACTTCTTTCTACACAGACACGGCAACCATCCGATTTCTCAATCTTTTCCCCACCTTTCCCGCCTTTCTATTCCACAAAGCCGCCATTGTCATCCTGGCCCGTTCTCAATGAGCTGTTGGGCACACCTCCCAGACGGGGTGGTGGCCGGGCAGAGGGGCTCCTCACTTCCCAGTAGGGGCGGCCGGGCAGAGGCGCCCCTCACCTCCCGGACGGGGCGGCTGGCCGGGCGGGGGGGCTGACCCCCCCCACCTCCCTCCCGGACGGGGCGGCTGGCCGGGCGGGGGGCTGACCCCTCCACCTCCCTCCCGGATGGGGCGGCTGGCCGGGCGGGGGGCCGACCCCCCCACCTCCCTCCCGGACGGGGCGGCTGGCCGGGCAGAGGGGCTCCTCACTTCCCAGTAGGGGCGGCCGGGCAGAGGCGCCCCTCACCTCCCAGACGGGGCGGCTGGCCGGGCGGAGGGCTGACCCCCCTACCTCCCTCCCGGACGGGGCGGCTGGCCGGGCAGAGGGGCTCCTCACTTCCCAGTAGGGGCGGCCGGGCAGAGGCGCCCCTCACCTCCCAGACGGGGCGGCTGGCCGGGCGGAGGGCTGACCCCCCCACCTCCCTCCCGGACGGGGTGGCTGGCCGGGCTGAGGGGCTCCTCACTTCCCAGTAGGGGCGGCCGGGCAGAGGCGCCCCTCACCTCCCGGACGGGGCGGCTGGCCGGGCGGGGGGCTGACCCCCACACCTCCCTCCCAGACGTCATGGCTGGCCGGGCGGGGGGGCTGACCCCCCACCTCCCTCCCGGACGGGGTGGCTGCCGGGCGGAGACGCTCCTCACTTCCCAGATGGGGTGGCTGCCGGGCGGAGAGGCTCCTCACTTCTCAGACGGGGCAGCTGCCGGGCAGAGGGGCTCCTCACTTCTCAGACGGGGTGGTTGCCAGGCAGAGGGTCTCCTCACTTCTCAGACGGGGCGGCCGGGCAGAGACGCTCCTCACCTCCCAGACGGGGTCTCGGCCGGGCAGAGGCGCTCCTCACATCCCAGATGGGGCAGCGGGGCAGAGGCGCTCCCCACATCTCAGACGATGGGCGGCAGGGCAGAGACGCTCCTCACTTCCTAGATGTGATGGCGGCTGGGAAGAGGCGCTCCTCACTTCCTAGATGGGATGGCGGCCGGGCGGAGACGCTCCTCACTTTCCAGACTGGGCAGCCAGGCAGAGGGGCTCCTCACATCCCAGACGATGGGCGGCCAGGCAGAGACACTCCTCACTTCCCAGACGGGGTGGCGGCCGGGCAGAGGCTGCAATCTCGGCACTTTGGGAGGCCAAGGCAGGCGGCTGGGAGGTGGAGGTTGTAGCGAGCCGAGATCACGCCACTGCACTCCAGCCTGGGCACCATTGAGCACTGAGTGAACGAGACTCCGTCTGCAATCCCGGCACCTCGGGAGGCCGAGGTTGGCGGATCACTCGCGGTTAGGGGCTGGAGACCGGCCCGGCCAACACAGCGAAACCCCATCTCCACCAAAACCAGTCAGGCGTGGCGGCGCGTGCCTGCAATCGCAGGCATTCGGCAGACTGAGGCAGGAGAATCAGGCAGGGAGGTTGCAGTGAGCCGAGATGGCAGCAGTACAGTCCAGCTTCGGCTCCGCATGAGAGGGAGACCGTGGGGAGAGAGAGAGGGAGAGGGAGAGGGAGAGGGAGAGAGCGTTTTCTTTTTCTCTACTTTTTTTTTTTTTAGACAGAGTCTTGCTTTGTCACCCAGGCTGAAGTGCAATGGCACAATCTCGGCTCACTGCAACCTCCACCTCCCGGGCTCAAGCAATTCTCCTGCCTCAGCCTCCCAAGTAGATGGGACTACAGGCACAGGCCACCGCACCCAGCTAATTTTTATATTTTTAGTAGAGATGGGGTTTCACCTTGCTGCCCAGGCCGGTCTTGAACTCCTGACCTCAGGTGATCCACCCATCTCGGCCTTCCAAAGTGCTGGGATTACAGGTGTAAGCCACCACACCCAGCCTATATTGCATTTTCTTTATCCACTCATCTCTCCACGGACATTTAGATTGTTTCCATATCTTGGCTACTGTGAAAAATGCTGGGACTAGACGTGTTCAAAATGATGGCTCCATCTTCCCTTCTCTGCCAGCCACGTCGATAATGTTAACTGTTACCTCGTTGCTTTGTATTTTCAATTATGTAATTGTTTTACAGGATCTGTGAGTTTTATACTTTTGTGTGCTTTTATGATGAAGAGTATTACCTTTTCATTTCCATGTTTAGAACTCCTTTGAGCATTTCTTGTAAGGCTGGTCAAGTGGTGGTGAATTTCCTTAGGGTTTGCTTGTCTGGAAAGTATTTTATTTTTCCTTCTTTAAAAAGCTCAGTTTAGCAGATTACAAAATTTTGGCTGAAACTCTCGGAAAGACTCTCCCAGGTTGTAATCCTTAGTAAGACTCTGAATAAAACAAACTCTAACTCTTAAATAAATAAATAAGTCTCTTTGTTAAATTTCTCTAACAAATTTCGTAATAGCTCTTCTGTGTTATCTTGGAGTTTGTTCAGTTTCCTTAGAATCGTTATTTTGAATTTTTGATCTAAGAATGCACACATTGTTGTCTTGTTAGGGTCAGTCACTGGCTTCTTAGTTTGTCCATTTGGGAAGGTTACATTTCCTTTTTTCCTATTGTTTCTTGTAGATATATATCTATGGCTTCGCATTGAAGGAGTAGTCATTTATTCCTGTCTTCTCATTTATTCCAGTCTTCTCTGTCTGGCTTATTTTGGCCTTTCTAGGGTTTGTTTGTTTAAAGGTTCTTTGCAGTTACCATGAGTCCCCAAAATGCTAGATTACTGCCTTTTTTTGTTGTTGTTGCAGTAGATGGTGCCTGAAGCTAAGGTTTGTCTTGACTCTTGCAAATGGTCAGAGCACTACCCATCCTAAACAGGGGGTTCTCAAAAGCAATACCTCAGCTGTGGGGGAAGGCTGGCTAAGGGTTCATGCCCAGAAGACCCATGGTGTGTACCTCCTACAGCATGGTGCTGCTGAACAGCCTTTGGCTGAGATAAAGGGCAGAGTTTCATGGACTGGAGTTTTTAGTCCCACATCCCCTTTTTGTTACTAGCTTCCCTTAGGGGTTTTTCTTCTTATAGGCACTTGGGATGCTGGTTGAAGCAGGAATGGGTTTTCTCCAAGGGAACCCAAGATGGTGGGGAAGCTGGCTGTCTGCCTCAATCTTACTTTTTCCAGTGTAGAAACTGTGAGTCAGGGAGAAAGTGTCATGGATAAAGAAGTTTGTTTCTCTTACTCTCTCCTCAGAGTTTTACACTTTTCTGTGGCCCCAGGGATTGTCCTAGTCTCTGATTTGAGTTCTGGGATGGTGTTGATGACATTTGTCTTGGATTTCTTTTTTGGTTTTCAGTGGAGGAGAGTGAAGTGCTTCTACTTTACCATTTTGTTGAAGTTGCTCCATTTGTTCTTGATGTCATAATTTGCATCTTTTAATATTATGTATCCCTGTATTAGTCCATTTTCACACTGCTATAAAGAACTACTTGAGACTGGGTAATATGGAAAGAAAAGAGGTTTAACTGACTGACAGTTCTGCATGGCTGGGGAGGCAACTTACAATCATGGTGGAAGGTGAAGGGGAGGCAAGTCACATCTTACATGGTGGCAGGAGAGACAGAGAGAGCAAAGGGGGAAGTGCCATACTTTTAAACCATTAGATCTGGTGAGAACTCACTCGCTATCATGAGAACAGCATGAGGAAAATCCACTCCCATGATCCAGTCACCTCCTACCAGGTCCCTCCCCTGACACATGGGGATTACAATTTGACATGAGATTTGGGTGGGGATACAGAGTCAAACCATATCATTCCACCTCTGGCCCCTCCCAAATCTCTTGTCCTTCTCACATTTCAAAACCAATCATGCCTTCCCAACAGTCCCCCAAAGTCTTAACTCATTCCAGCATTAACTCAAAAGTCCAAGTCCAAAGTCTCTTCTGAGATAAGGCAAGTCCCTTCTGCTTATGAGACTGTAAAATAAAAAACAAGTTAGTTATTTCCAAGACACAATGGGAGTACAGGCATTGGGTAAATGCTCCCATTCCAAATGGGAGAAATTGGCTAAAACAAAGAGGCTACAGGCCTTATGCAAATCCAAAACCCAGCAGGGCAGTCATTAAATCTTTTATTTTATTTTATTTTATTTTATTTTATTTTATTTTTTTGAGACGGAGTCTCACTCTGTTGCCCAGGCTGGAGTGCTGGAGTGCAGTGGTGCGATCTTGGCTCACTGCAAGCTCTGCCTCCGGGGTTCATGCCATTCTCCTACCTCAGCCTCCCATGTAGCTGGGACTACAGGCACCTGCCACCACACCCGCCTAATTTTTTGTATTTTTAGTAGAGACGGGGTTTCACCGTGTTAGCCAGGATGGTCTCAATCTCCTGACCTCCTGATCCCCCCGCCTCGGCCTCCCAAAGTGCTGGGATTACAGGCGTGAGCCACCGTGCCCAGCCAAATCTTAAAGCTCCAAAATAATCTCCTTTGACTCCATGTCTCACATCCAGGCCACACTGATACAAAGGGTGGGCTTCCGAGGCATTGGGCAGTCCCGCCCCTGTGGCTCTGCAGGGTACAGCCCCTGCGGGTGCTTTCATGGGCTGGCATTGAGTGTCTGTGGTTTTTCCAAGTGGATGGTGCAGCTGTTGGTGGATCTACCATTCTGGGGTTTGGAGTATGGTGGCCCCCTTTTTACAGCTTCACTAGGCAGTGCTCCAGTGGGGACTCTGTGTAGGGGCTCCAACCCCACATTTTCTCTCTGCCTGCCCTAGTAGAGGTTTTCCATGAGGGCTCTGCCCCTGCAGCAGACTTCTGCGTGGACATCCATTTGTTTCCATACATCCTCTGAAATCTAGGTGGAGGTTCCCAAAGCTCAATTCTCACCTTCTGCACACCTACAGGCCCAACACCATATGGAAGTTGCCAAGGCCTGGGGCTTGCTTCCTCTGAAGTGATGACCCAAGCTGTACCTTGGCCCCCTTTAGCTGTGGCTGGAGCTGGAGCAGCTGGGACACCATATCCTGAGCCTACACAGAGCAGTAGGGCTCTGGGCATGATCCATGAAACCATTTTTCCCTCCTAGGCTTCTGGGCCTGTGATGGGAGGGGCTGCTGTGATGGTCTTGGACATGCCCTGAAGACAGTTTCCCCATTGTCTTGGCTATTAACATTTAGCTTCTCTCTCTTTTTCTTTTTTTTTTTCTGAGACGAGGTCTTTCTCTGTCACCCAGGCTGGAGTGCAGTGGCATGATTTTGGCTCACTGCAACCTCCGCCTCCTGGGTTAAAGTAATTCTCCTGCCTCAGCCTCCCAAGTAGCTGGGATTACAGGTGCTCACCACCACACCCAGCTAATTTTTGTATTTTTAGTAGAGACGGGATTTCACCATGTTGGCCAGGCTGGTCTCTAACTCCCGACCTCAGGTGATCCACCCACCTCGGCCTCCCAAAGTTCTGGGATTACAGGCATGAGCCACCATACCTGGCCTTAAAATCTAATAAAGATTAAAATCTCCCTAGATTAACAGACAGACTTGACAATGTCGGTTCATCTTCCTCACGCAGAAAAGCACATTTGTCTTTCATTCTTTCCCTGTAGTGTCTTTTATTCCTATTCGTGTTTTATTAATTTTCTTGGAATAAATCACATATTTTGAGTTAAATTAGCATTTATTCCATTTATTTACTTGTTTAAAACATCGTATCCAATGTTACCCATTTTTTTTTCTAGCTATGTACTCCAATATAGAAATTCCTTAGGCTTTTGGGACTTTAGCTTGTGTTACTTCGTTAGGCAGAATGAGCTAGACTGTGCTGCAGTAATACAGCACTCCCAAATCTGAGTGGCTAAACACAAGTTTTTTCCTCCCTCATGCCAAGTCCACTGCTGGCATAATAAGCATCAGGACAGCTGTCCTCTGTGTGGTGAGTTAGTGAGCCAGCCTGCTTGACTTTATGCTTCTCCATCTTAATGCTCAGCCTCTGCACTTGCCACCAAGGGGAAGAGGGAGACCTGAGGATCCCTGGGTCTTCTCACTGCCTCAGCCCAGAAGTGACCCTCATCACACTCCTGCTCCTATTTCATTGACCAGAACGAGTCACAGGACTCTGCCTAAGGACAAGGGGGCTTAGAGGCAGAGTCTTCTCTGGAGAGGAGAACCAGATAGGGGAAGCCATGCTACACCCATGCCCTTGGCTTTTTGGGGTTTGGGGTTAGCAGACTCAAGCAGAAGAGAAATTCCCAGGAGTTGTTTTAAAATAACAGTGAAAAGGTTAGATAATATGGGGGCACTCGGAGCTGGTGTCAGAAGGTGTGAGGTGATACCTCCCCCCAAAAAATAAGGGCTGGGAGAAGGGCAGGGGGTCTTGAGGTGGGCCAGCCATTGGGGAGGGATGGATGTCAGACAAGTTTAGGGACTGAGAAAAGTAAGTGAGTGGACACAGGACCTGGAAGGGTCTGGTCAGCAAGAGACATGAGGGAATGGAGCTACCAGGGACAGGAAGAGGATGATAATGAACTTTCCCTGAGTGCTGGCCCTGTGCTTGGTGCTTGCCAAGTACTTTATGCTTGTTAACTAAGTCCTCTAACAATCTTTGAGGCTGGTACTCTTGGAACTACCATTTGACAGATGAGGAACTCAGAGATGTTAAGTCACTTGTCCCGGGTCACCAGCTGTGGGGGTGCCAGAGCTGGATCCCCTACCTTTCCCAAGAATCTAAAGTCTGCGCGAATTTGTAGCCTAAGCTGTTAATAATCGTGCTGTGTCACTTTGTCAAGATATCCATAAAAGAGAGAGCGAGGGAGGGAGAAGGAAGTGCCATCCTTGAAATGTGTCCAGCCCTGCACTAGGCACTGGTGTAAATGTCCCAGAAACTGCTGGACACATAACCATCCTCAACACATATCTCTCTCCTTCCCCCAGTTTCCTGAGCTAAGGGCAGAGATGTGGACTTCTGTGCCCCATTTGGCCACTGTCTTTTCTTTTTTTCTTTTTCTTTCTTCTTCTTTTTTTTTTTTTTTGAGATGGAGTCTTGCTCTGTCACCCAGGCTGGAGTGCAGTGGCACGATCTCAGCTCACTGCAACCTCCGCCTCTTGGGTTCAAGCAATTCTCCTGCTTCAGCCTCCTGAGTAGCTGGGATTTCAGACACCCATCACCATGCCTGGCTAATTTTTGTGTTTTTAGTAGAGATGGCGTTTCACTATGTTAGACAGGCTGGTCTCGAGCTTCTGACCTCAGGCGATCCACCTGCTTGGCCTCCCAAAGTGCTGGGATTATAGGTGTGAGCCACCACGCCTGGCCAGCCACTGTCTTTTCTAAGAGCCGTGAGTGAGATGGGGCTGGGATTCTTGTCCCAGGGGCCTACTCTGCCAGATTGGTAAAGGCGGGGCTGCCTGCCGGCAGGGAAGGAGGAAGGGGGAAGGCTGTTTGGCCTCAGCATGCTTGCAGAATATTTCTGGTGACAGATGGGAAAGCTTGAATGTGGGTGCTTTGCAAAACATCCTCCTGCAGCCTCCACCAGCGAGTGCTGCCAGGATAATAAAGCCAGACAGATGTGGGTTCAGATAAAATGGGGGTAATGACAGTCTTGGGGATTAAATGAGAGAATTCATATAAAGTGCTGAGCACAGTTCCTGGCACAGGCACTAGATGTTCAATGAGTGCGCTCTCATTACCCTTGTCACAGATGTTTAAAATGGAAAATGAGGTTCAGCAAGTTGCCCAGGCTTGTGACAAATAAGTGGCAGAGCTGGGGCTTGAATCCAGGTCTGGGCCATAGAATTAGCTCTTGTCTCCCCACCCCACTGCCCCAGCAGGACCAGAGCTGAGCAGTTCACCTGGGATTTTAGCAATATAGAATCACAGGAAGAATGTTCCTGCCTTTCCCATAAAAATGCTGTTTTGAAAACAGAACATTATGTAATTAATGTCCTTTCTCGGGCAGATTTGAGCTCTGATTCCTCTTGGCATTTTATGTTAAAAAGAAGTTTTTCTTTTCTGGCAAGCCTGCATGATTGCTAATAACAGTGGAGCAAAATAATTTTTGCTACAGCTAGGAAAAGAATTTTTCCTCAATCCTCATGAGTTCTTAGTTGGGACGGACCCCTGTAACAAGACAGATTGACGAGAAAAACAGTTTAGTGACGCGTGCAATGCATATCACGTGGCCGCAACTTCAGTGAAAAGTAACTCAAAGCAGTAGCTTAGAACTCTGGCTTATGTAACCTCTTCAACAAAGAACAATAAATCTGTGGAGAAATGACAGGACAAAGGTAAGCAGTTTTAGGCTTCCAACAGCTGGAAGCTCAGGAAGGTAAATATATGGGAGGAAACCACTGGAGTGAGGTTTCCTTGCAGATTCCTCTGGTGCCATCTCTGAGCTCTTAGGAGTCTAGAGTTGTCTCCAGTAAAGGTGAATTTATATCCTGCCTCTAGGCAGATAAGGGGGAGGGTGGAGGGAGTTTTCCTGTGTTTGCTGCTTCTTAATTGCCTTCAACTCAAAAATAATTTTACGTCAAAGAGGATACTTTGGGGGGACATATCCTTTGACAGCCACTATAGGTTGAGTTCTTACTATATTCCAGGCCTAGGCCTCATTGCTTTACAAACAAACTCTCATTTAATTCGGAAGACCCTGTGGAGTAAGTACTTTGACATCTGTTTTACAGTTTAGGAAACTGAAGTGCAGTTTTTCCTAAAATTGTTGCTAGTGGATGGTCGAGACAGGATTTGAAGCTAGGTTTTGGAATTTTTCTGGTTTTTGTCTTTTTTTTTTTTTTTTTTTTTTTTTTGAGACGGAGTCTCGCTCTGTCACCAGGCTGGGGTGTAGTGGCATGATCTTGGCTCACTGCAAGCTCTGCCTCCCGCGTTCAAGCGATTCCCCTGCCTCAGCCTCCTGAGTAGCTGGGACTACAGGCGCCTGCCACCGCGCCCGCTAGTTTTTCGCATTTTAGTAGAGACAGGGTTTCACCATGTTGGCCAGGATGGTCTTGATCTCCTGACCTCATGATCTGCCTGCCTCGGCCTCCCAAAGTGTTGGGATTACAGGCATGAGCCAGTGTGTCCAGCCTGGTTTTTGTCTTTTTTTGGCCATGGGATCTGTGTTTAAATGGAAATACATGGAAACAAACATTGAGCTGCTCTAATTAAAGTTGAGAAAAGTGGTGATGAGGGCAAGGAGATTATAAATGGCTTGGTGTCACTCCTCACTTCCCCCATGAAGCAAAATTTGAAAATCACTGAATTGTTCTGCTTTCTATGACTCCTTCTATGTTTATAGATAAAGATTGGATTTCCTTTTCTGCCTTGCCTTCTGGGAGGCTCAGGCCTTCTTTGTTTTACTCAGTCATGCTAATTCTCTTCAAATTGGGGTTCTGGACCAGGCACAGTGGCTCGCGCCTGTAATCCCAGCACTTTGGGAGGCCGAGGTGGGCGAATCACTTGAGGTCAGGAGTTCGAGACCAACCTGGCCAACATGGCAAAACCCCATCTCTACTAAAAATACAAAAATTAGCTGGGCATGGTGGCACATGCCTGTAATCCCAACTACTCGGCAGGCTGAGGCACGAGAATTGCTTGAACTTGGGAGGTGGAGGTTGCAGCTGCATTCTAGCCTGGGCAACAGAGTGAGACTTTGTCACAAAAAAACAAAACAAAAACCAAAACAAACTGGAATTCTGAAATAATTTTCTGTTTCCCATCTTCCCATTACAAAGCCCTTCTTTTACTCTGTGATCACCCTTTAATCAGGCTGGCATGGTGGCTCTCGCCTGTAATCCCAGCACTTTGGGGAGGCTAAGGTGGGAGGATCGCTTGTGCCCAGGAGTTTGAGACCAGCCTAGGCAACATCACAAGACTCCTATCTCTAAAAAAAAAGAAAAAAGAAAAAAAGTTAGCTGGATGTGGTGGTGTGCACCTGTAGTTCCAGCTACTTGGGAGGCTGAGGCAGGAGGATTGGTTGAGCCTAGGAGTTGGAGGTTACAGTGAGTCATGATCGTTCCACTGATCTCCAGCCTAGGCAGCAGAGTGAGAACTTGTCTCAAAAAAAAAAAAAAAAAAAAAAAAAAATCAAGAACCCCGAACCAACACTCATAATTTACAGTTGCCCCAGGCTGTGGCTTAATGATTAAGACGAACACAAGTGACTGACTTGGGGGCAGAGGGCTGGCTGGTGTTTGTGTTGAGGGGAGTGTTTTCAGCATCCCTGGATATGCCAGTCTGCCTGTGCCCCCACAGCTCTCTCCCTCTACGGGGCATGCCTGAGGTTGGCTTTGCAGGAGGAGTGAGCGTTTTATCTTGGACAATGGGAAGGTTGAGCTTAGGTGCCCTGATCCCATGGGAAACCCTTCCTTGGAGGAGGGAGCCCTGGCTCACTTAGCTATTGCCAGGCAACCTGGGAACATGACTGGTGTTCCTCATTGGGCAGTCCTGCTCATCTCTCTATAAGGTCCTTTCTAGGAAGTAGACGAGTACATGTAATGAAAGGGCTAGCTTTGGAAAACAAGCCCAGCCCCATGTCCTCCTCTCTGGATGAGTGTCAGCCAAAAATCAACTCAAAACATCTCCTTGCTGTGGACTGAAGATTTGTCTCCCCCTTATTCATATGTCAAACCCTCATCCCCAGTGGCATGGTATTTGGAGATGGGGCCTTTGGAGGTAATCAGGGTTAGTTGAGGTCATGAGGATGGGGCCTTCATGATGAGATTAGTGTCCTTATAAAAAAGACACCAGAGAGCTTGCTTTCTCTTCTCCCTCTCGCCCAGTGTGAGGACACAGTGAGAAGGTGACCATCTGCAAGCCAGAAAGACAGCCCTCACCAGAAAACAACCATGAGGGCACCTTGATCTTAGACTTCTAAGCCTCCAGAACTGTGAGAAAATACATTTCTGGCTGGGCACGGTGACTCACGCCTGTCATTCTAGCACCTGAGGAGGCCAAAGCAGGTGGATCACCTGAAGTCAGGAGTTCGACACCAGCCTGGGCAACATGGTGAAATCCCATCTATACTAAAAATACAAAAATTAGCTGGGCATGGTGGCAGGCACCTGTAATCCCAGCTACTTGGGAGGCTGAGGCAGGAGAATTGCTTGAACCTGGGAGGTGGAGGTTGCAATGAGCTGAGATTGTGCCACTGCACTCCAGCCTGGGCGACAGAGCAAGACTGTCTCAAAAAAAAAAAAAAAAAAAAAAAGAAAAAGAAAAAGAAAATGAAAATAGATTTCTGTTGTTTAAGCCACCCAGTCTATGTTCTGTTACGGCAGCCTGAGCTGACTAGGACATCCAGACAGAAGGAGATTAAGGCAATTAGTTCTGTTCTTCTGAAGTCTGGCAGGTGGGGGCACTGTAAGGCAAGAAACTAGCAGGAGTGAGGTGGTTACTGGTTTAGTGGGTCTTTGGAGGCACTGAAAAATCAAATTGTTTACGTTACTGCTCAGCAATGGGAATGCAAAGAATGCAAGGAATCCCATCACAATGGTAGATTCTGACTTTTTTTTTTTTGGAGAAGGAGTCTCTCTCACACAGTGTGGAATGCAGTGGTATGATCTCTGCAACCTCCACCTCCCGGACTCAAGCGATTCTCTTGCCTCAGCCACCAAGTAGCTGGGACTACAGGCACGTGCCACCACGCCCAGCTAATTTTTGTATTTTTAGTAAAGACAGGGCTTTTTCATGTTGGTCGGGCTGGTCTTGAACTCTTGGCCTCAAGTGATCGCCCACCTCGGCCTCCCAACGTGCTGGGATTACAGGTGTGAGCCACCGTGCCCAGTCGATCCTGATCCTGGTTGAATTTGTGGGTGGAGGCGTCTGGGGCATCTGGGGATGGAGTTTAGCAGCAAGTGGACATTCCTCACCCCAGAACTAAGGTAGGTCTGCATTGACCTGAGTCCTTTTTTTTTTTGAGATGGAGTCTCGCTCTGTTGCCCAGGCTGGAGTGCAGTGGCAAGATCTTGGCTCACTGCAGCCTCTGCCTCCCGGGTTCCAGAGATTCTCCTGCCTCAGCCTCCTGGGTAGCTGAGATTACAGGTGTGTGCCACATGCCTGGCTAATTTTTGTATTTTTAGTAGAGACGAGGTTTCACCACATTGGCCAGGCTGGTCTCGAACTCCTGACCTCAGGTGATCCACCCGCCCCAGCCTCCCAAAGTGCTGGGATTACAGGCGTGAGCCACTGCGCTCGGCCGAGTCTGTTTTTATAGTGCAGAGGTTAAGTATTTCAAGTTCAGACAGACAAATGGCAGATAAAGTAGGTCCCTGAATCCCATGGAGCATGGTCAGGCTGGTGCAGGGGCCTCCTAGGAGCACTTTCCAGGAGCAAGGCCTGGCTGTAGTGGAAAGAATGCAGACTCTGCAGACAGGTCACTCTGGGTGAGAATCACATCTCTCCTGGGGCATTGCCTTATGTCTTCTGGCAAGGCCCTTCACTTACCTGAGCCCAGGTGTCTTCATCTGCAGAGTGGGGAGGAAGACATCTGATTGTCATGGGTGCTGACATTGCTGGCCCCCTATAAATGCAGTGACTGTCAGACCTCTGAGCCCAAGCTAAGCCATCGTATCCCCTGTGACCTGCACGTATACATCCAGATGGCCTCTAAGGAATGACAAAAGAAGTGAAAATGGCCTGTTCCTCCCTTAACTGATGACTTTACCTTGTGAAATTCCTTCTCCTGGCTCATCCTGGCTCAAAAGCTCCTCCGCTGAGTACCTTGTGACCCCCCACCCCTGCCTGCCAGAGAACAACCCTCCTTTGACTGTAATTTTCCTTTACCTACCCAAATCTTATAAAATGGCCTCACCCCATCTCCCTTTGCTGACTCTCTTTTCGGACTCAGCCCGCCTGCACCCAGGTGACATAAATAGCCTTGTTGCTCACACAAAGCCTGTTTGGTGGTCTCTTCACACAGATATGAGTGAAAGTGATCATTACTGACATCCATTCACAACTTTCCGGGGTGCCTAACTATTTTCAGGGCCCTGGATAAAGGTGAGCAGAATCAGACAGGGTCCCACCCTCACAGGGTTTGGAGTCAGTATAATCTCAAGTGTGGTGAGGCTGCCCTGCCAAATCTCCTGTGGTGTGAGGACTCTTGTGACACACACGCTGCAGGACCAGGGTTGGAGGGTCCCTTCACATCCTAAGGTCAGCCCTCTCTCCCAGGTTTTGTGTTTAGTGCTGGTTTGCCATTGACAGGGGCATTCTGCAAACCCAAACCAGGACCCGAGAGAGTGTGGCCCCCGCAAGAACGGGGGTTGCTGTCTTGGCTCCCTGTTTAGGGAGAGGTCTGAAGTCAGAGCTGCTGCAGCAGCCTTTTGCTTCTCCATGGTCTCCAGGCTTGAGTGATGGCCTCATCATCAGCCTTCAGGGATGATCTGACTCTCTAGACACTCCTGTGGTGTGCAGGAGCCATGCGGCTCTGATGCGGGTCCTGCCAGCATGATGCCAGTGAGGCCCAGGTATATTGATGAATGCCCAAGTGGGCAGATGAGGGCTTCCCAGCAAATGGATATCTGTGGGTCAGGGTGGAAACCGTGGAGGAAGGAGGCAGGTAGGGCCTTCTCTGGTTGCTATGGGCTGGACCTGGGAGAAGGCTAGGTGTATTGCAGAGGGAGAAGGGGTTTCTCATTCTTTCATTCGACAAACACTTCCTGAGCATCTTCTCTAGGCCTTGTGCACTAGGGATTCAGAGTAAACAAGATAGACAAGAATCTTTGCCCTCATGGAGCTGACATTATCATTAGGAGGGACACACGAGACAAATCAGTAAAATATAGAATATGTTCAATGGTGATAAACAGTAAGGGGGAAAAAGAAGGCAAGGCAGGCAGAGGAAGACTGCAGAAGTTGAGATTTTAGATGGGGTGGCTAAAGGGGACCTCATTTAGAAGAAGTGTGATAAAAGACCTGAAGAAAGCAAGGGAGTGGGCCGCGAGGCTCTTGGAGGGAAGGATACTCCTGGCTGGGGAAGAGCAGGTGGAAAGGCATGGAGATGGGGCATGCCTGGAGAGGGTAGGAGGCCAGCACAACTGGGACTGTGTGAGCAAGTGGGAGAGTGCAGGAAGGAGGTCGGAGGCTAAGAGGGAGCTGGACTCGCAGGACCACCTGGAATGCAGGAGAGACTCCACTGGGAGCCCAGGGAGGGCTCTGTGCAGAGTCGCAAGTTCTGCCTTAGACTGGAGGAAGATCATTTTGGCTCCTCTGTTGAGAACAGGGTGTAGGGACAAGGCCAGTAGGGGAGACCAGTTGGGAGGAGACCACTGCAGTCATCAGATGAGGGGGAGGCACTGCACCTTTGTTCTCTACTGTGTCCCAGCCTATGGCATGCATCCTGGCATGGAGCAGGAACTCGATAAATATTTGTTGAATGATGTGTGCTTTAGTCATGTCCAAGTACCAGTTTTCAGACTCATGCTAGGTAGGCTATATGGGGAAGGTGCAGAAAAACAGATCCCAGGCATTGCAGCTGGGGATCCTGATCCAATAGGCTTCTGATGGGAAAGTTGAATCTGGATTTTTAGCACAGCCTGCAGGTAATTTTGGACAGGCAGGGACTGGCCTTCTGTGTCAGTTAGGGATGATTTTGGTTGCAAGTAACAGAGACTGACCAACAATGGTTTAAACAAAGAGGGATTTATTTTATTTACAAGAATTCTGGAGAAGGATGGCGGCTGGTATTGGCTTGGTGAAATAATGATAGGGTCAATGACTCTGTGATTCTCTTGGCCTTTTTGTCATGGTAGCAAAGTGGCTGCTGTGGCTCCAGGCATCACACCCTCAATCAAGGTAGGAAGAAGAGGCCCAGGGAGGTGTTAGCCATGCCTGTGTCTTTTATTGGAAAAGCTTTCCCAGAAGCCCAGGTAGACTTCCTCTTCAATTTCATTGGCCACACCTGATCACATAGCCATCCTAAGCTGCAAAGGAGACTGGAACAGTGAAAATCTGGATTTACAGCCTCCACAGTTGGAGTGGCTGGAGATACAGAGTTGGGACGACCCCTGAAAAGTGAACCAAGGTCGTCTGCACGGCTGCCCTGGAGGGCGTGGTGCTTGAGGTCCCTTCTACCTCTGGGGCTTCATGGAATGACTTGTTGCCTCCATGGAGCACCTCTGGGGACCACTGGGTGAATCCCCAGGCATTCCCTTGGAGAGCCCTCGTCCATCTGAGACCCTCTGTCTTGCTTCTCTTCACATGTCTGAACAACACATGGACCCGAGGGCTGCTTCTTTGGGGAAGTGGTGATCTTTATTTTAGGGATTGTGCATCTTCAGTGTAACCCTCACCTGGCAGACATTAAACAGCGTAAACACATTCTCAGCACGCCAGTCACATTCAGGAGCCTCTTGGAGCTTGACTTATACACACGCACACAGGCGCAATATCTGCATTTACAGCCCTGTGCTGGCAGCACACACAGGAAAAGCACGACTTCAGTCACCCTCAAACCACCCAGTTATGAGTAAGACCAGAACAATCCCTTTCCTCCGACAGTCCCACGTTTGCTTCCAGGAATCAAAGAGCATGCCAGTGGCAGCTATCTGTGGCAGTTTTGGGAAAGTGAAAGGAGATGCTATTCCAGCACTGCTCTGTCACCTTAGATGATGGGTTTAGGAAGCCAGAGGCAGGGATTTCAGGGGAAAAGAAACAGGCCTGGTTTATTCTCTAATTCTTTAAAAATGGGATAGGAGCAAAAGGTTAAAATATGTGGGTCTCACACAGGAAAGGCCTTCTGAAGAAGAAAAATGGGTGAATTCACTGGAGTTGGCCCAGCTAGGGGTTGGGTCTCAGGTGACAGAGGCCGGGGATTCAGACTCAAAGGGGCCAGTCCATAAAGGTGGCAGTGGGGTCTTCAAACCACTGTTTCTATTCCAGAAGCCTACTGAAAATCATTGTATATTTGCTTTCCATAAGACTAGGAAAAAGTAAAAAAAAAAAATTTTTTTTTTTTTTTTTTTTTTTTTGGCTAGAATTGCATCGTAACAGTGTGGTCACACTGGTAAGAAATGCAGATTGGCAATCATGTACATCTCTGATTAAAACAACACTCACATAACCAACACAATTTGCTAGGCCAAAGTCTTCACGGGCAATCCCTGGGGTGGGAGTCTGGGATGGGGTGGATAATGAAGGATACCTGGGGTTGCAGAAGTGGGGTGGGAATCCCTGGGGCATCAGTCCACAGGAGGTGGGGGCCAGCGATGGCTTCAGGGGTGATATTTCCAATATATATCAGCCCTGGGCACTCTCGCCCTGCTGCTCACAGCATGGTCCTCACACCAGCAGCCTCCGCCTTACCTGGGAGCTTGTTAGAAATGCAGGATCTCCCAGATCTATTGAGTTAGAAGCTGTATTAACAAGATCCCCAGTGATTTTTATGCACAATCAAGTTTGTGAGGCACCGCTGCAGACTTCTGAGTGCAGGAATGCGGCAGCCCTGGGTAGGTGTGGTTAGAAGGCCTGGACGGGGAGGCTGTGCGGAGGGGATGATGAAAGCATGGGTGAGGGGAGAAGACCCTAAACAGCTGTCTTTGTTAGTCCCCGCCCACCTGGCCGGGATGCCAGCAACAAGGCCATCTGCAGTCTGCCCTGCCCTTCCTCCCCTCAGTGGCTTTGAAGGCAGGTGTCCTTGAAGCTAAGCTCTGCTGGCTGCAGGTAAAACCACAGGTGGGGGAGTTCTCTGAGACCTAGGAGCTGGGGTGTACGGAGAAGCGGGGCCCTGGGGAGCCTCGGAGATTCCTGGTGGGAAGGCCTGGGCAGAACAGAAGGCTTGTCAAGTCAGAGGGCCACCTCTTCCTCCTCAATTCTGCCAGAGAAAGCTCCTGTGCTGGGCTCTGAACCCCTTGCAGGGAGGGGTGCAGGTTATCCCTCTTGGAGCAGGAGGGCTGGGTGCTTGGAAGGAAAACCTAGGAGCTTAGGGGCCCCAGCCTCCCAGGGAGAGCCAGGCCCTCTGGGGTGACACATTTCTACAGAAGCAGGTGGGAACATCACAGACGTCCCAGGGCCTGGGGCCCAGGGCTGCCAGGTACAGAAGGGCTGAAGGAGGCTGTCCAGGCCAGGGTGGGCAGTGGCCTGAGCCCGGCAGCTGGCCCTACAGCTCTCTCTCTTCGCTGGTCAGTGTGGCAATTCTCCGCAGGTTTTCCCTGACTTTAATAAACTCGGGGGCGTGATCCTCTTCCTTCTCTGGTGGTTTTTCCAGCTGAAGGAGGGAGAAGCAGAGAGTGAAGTGGGTGGAGCTAGGGGGATTCCTACTCTGAAAACCTGTGGAGTTTGGACCAAGGGCCCACTCAGTGGGGAAACAGAACCAACCTGGGGATGAGTTTTGCTATCAGCCTGGTAGCTGGGGCACAGAGCATGAGACTGAGTTCTCCTTGTGCAGCCTGGTTCAAATCACTCACCCCCTCTGGGCCTCAGCTTCCCCATCTCTAAAATGGGAATGCCACCTGGCTCACAAGACAGTTATAAGAATGAAATCAGAATCAGCATGCAGTACACTGGGCCAGTGAGGAAGCTGAGGTTCAGGGAAGCCACTCGCCCTAAGGACCTAGCAAAGTGAATGGCAGAGGGAGGACTCAGGCCAGGAGTGGACTCTTAGTCCAGTGCTCTGTCTGCTGATCCTCTTCCCTCTTACTAGCTGTGGCCACAGCAGAGCTCCTCCCTGGAGGACAGCCCTGGAGGATGCGTGGTCCCTGCTGGGTGCCCATCACCCACCTGGTTCAGCCTCTGCTGCCGTCTCAGCAGCTCCTGCTCAAAGGGGCACTGCAGCCGCTTGGCTTCCAGCTCCTCCTTCTTCTTCTTGATGAGCTGGTTCCGCCGGCGGTGCTCTAGGACACGCTGCAGCTCTGGCTTGCTGTCCACACCAAGGCCCCTGGGGTGGGAAGTGGGGAGCTGTCAGGAGACCATCACCTTCCCGCTTCCCCCAGCCTCAGGGCTGCTTCCTGCGGTGACACCAACCCCCATTATTATCTTGTGCAATCCTCCCTGTAGCCTTGGAGGTGGACCCATTACTGTCCCATTTTACAGGGACAGAAACTGAGGCTCCTAGGGCTGAAGATACCAGTCCAAGACATAGCTACAGGTAGGCCACATGAGGATTTGAACCCAGGCCTGTTTGACTGCAGAGACCAAGTTTTATGTTATTTCTGGTTATTTTCTTAGGATACTTTCCTAAAGGTAGAATTGCTGGGTCAGGCTCTTTAAAAAGATTTGAGGTACATATATCTATCTGTGCCTGAGAAAGGTTATCCAGTGTATCCTCCTCTGAACAGTGTACAAGAGCATCTATTTCTCCCCACCATCACCAGCCAATCTTTTCATATTTGAGAATCTGGTAGGCCAGAAAGAATATCTGCTTTTCATTTGTTTCTTTATTAGTCACATGGAACAACATTTGATATGTTTACCAGCCATTTGCATTTCTTCTTTTGTGAATTAACTGTATTATCAATATTATTTTTACAGACAAGGACTTGCTCTGTTGCCCAGGCTGGAGTGCAGTGGTGCAATCATAGCTCACTGCAGCCTTGAACTCCTGGGATCAAGTGATCCTCCTGCCTCGGCCTCCCAAAGTGTTGGGATTACAGGTGTGAGCCACCATGTCTGGCTGTACTGTATTACTTTTTATTCATTTTTTCCTTGTCCATTGTAAGAGATCTGGGCCAGGCACAGTGGCTCACGCCTGTAATCCCAGCACTTTGGGAGGCCGAGGAGGGCGGATCACGAGGTCAGGAGACCGAGACCATCCTGGCTAACACAGTGAAACCCTGTCTCTACTAGAAATACAAAAGAATTAGCCGAGTGTGGTGGCGGGCACCTGTAGTCCCTGCTACTTGGGAGGCTGAGGCAGGAGAATGGCATGAACCTGGGAGGTGGAGCTTGCAGTGAGCTGAGGTCGCGCCACTGCACTCCAGCCTGGGCGACAGAGCGAGACTTCATCTCAAACAAAAAAAAAGAAAAAAAGAAAAAAAACAAGAGATCTGAATTTTTTTTTGTATATGTGAGTTTTAAAAATAAAATTTATTTATATTACAAATACTTTCTCTGATTTGTCTTTAAGCTTTTGTTTTTGATTGTGGTGATGTTTTTTGATATTAAAGGGACGAGTCTAAAAACCATTCAGAGAAAATGCTCATATTATAATACTAATTGAAAACAAAAACAAAAGCGACTCAGTGTACAAAATGATAACTGTTAGGATATTGGTCACACAACTGAAAACAAGAATAGAAATCACAACCGGCTCTAATACCAGAATCGGCCAGCAGAGGGCGCTCTGAAGGCACCGCTGCGTTCACGCTGTTACTGGTTAGCAGGAGTATTTCCCAGTCCTCCAAGGGGAGGCTCAGCCTTCCTCTTCTCCAATTCACATCCCATCAATTGCCCCATCCCACCCCTGCCACCTCCCAGATGCCCCTCTGGCTCGTCTCTGTCATTGCACACCACGGCCTTCCACGGAAAAGCCAGCCACCATCCTGGGCCTCTGTAACATTCCTGCCCACTTTGGTATTGTGAGCTCCCCCATCCCACCTCACCAGACGGGCCCACCACACCTTGTGCCCCTGCTGTAGACCTTTCCTTAGTCCATCCTTCTGCCCTGGCCTGCACCACGCAATCGATGCCCCAGGCACAGTGAGTGACTCCTGTTTCCTGTTCATTTACATATGAGGTTCCCTCTGCCATCCAGCACCCACCTCCGGCCTGGCTAACTCCAGTCCCCCTTCAGGTCATAGCTGAGGCAGCACCGCTCCTGTGAAGTCATTTTAGACCCCTCTCGGGTTCCTCCTCTGGGGTCTCAGGCCTATTTATGCCCTCATCAATGCACCCATCCTACTGCCTGGCTATGCACCCGTCCCTGTCTGTGAGGACAGGAACTGGGTCCCATTCATTCTTGTATCCCCAGGTCTGGGCTCAGTGCCCAGCACATAGTAGGTACTCAGTAAATGTATCTGGAGTGTGGGCATGAAATGGGTGGCTGGGCAAGAGAACAGGGCTTTTTGGTCCCTCTGGTTCCCAGGGACCCACTGGGGACAGGGTCTTTACAGGTTTTGCCGGTGATCATGTGGGGCACCTCAGCCTTCCTCAGTCTCCAGGAGCCCCAGGATGAAAGCCAGCTCTGCTTTCCTCCAGGGTCACCTTCCCCATCCCCCACAGGCCCAGGTGCTTGCGGGGCCCAGGCAGCAGGGCTTCATCCCTACCTTCTGTGGTTCATGAGCAGCTCCCGGTGGAGCTCCTGGTGACTCCGAGAGGCCTTCACGGGGTTCAGCAGCTTCTTGGGCTTGATGAGCTCCGGATTCCACTCTCTGTATTCTGGCCGGGCCATCAGGCCCCCAATGTCTGCCCGCTCCCTCTGGATCTCCGAGTACATGGCGGCTGTAGAGATGGGCAGAGGAGTAGCTCAGAGCTGAGCCTATAATCTCACCCTGCCCCATGGGACACAGTTGAAGGGCAAGGTTTTCATGTCAGATGGACCTTGGCCACCTGCTACTGCGCATACCTGGGCAAGCTACCTGACTTTCTGAGCCTTAGTTTCTTCACTTATAAAATGGAAATCATAACGGAACGCATGCACAGGGCTGTCAGAATTGGAGATGATGTTTGCGATGTGTCTGGAGTATAGAAGTAAAATGATAACGGGTCACAAAATACGGGTTGACACATGCATATTTTTGGCCTGGCTTTGCAACAGTTTTCGCCCACTATAAAAGGAATTATGTTTGAGTTTCTGTTTTTCAATGAGCTTGTAACAGAAAAGGAAAATATATTTAAAAAGAGTAACATGTACTTGTTAAAAACAATTTGGATAAATGCAGTGATAAAAAGAAAGTATTACCCTTATTGTCTAACTCTATCCACAGTTCCACAACTGTTCAGCTTTTCATTTTCTTCACATCAAAGAGGAGAGCATGAAATTCAGAGACTGCTGTGTCCCTAATAGCAAAGGGATAGTTGTCAAATGTTTGGCTACTCAATGGCCCCACTTCTACCACAGCGGTTTGAAATCTGTCAGTTTACTTAAAATTCAGACACAAGGGCTCCCTCTTCTACAAACTGGCTCCTTATCCTTGAAATGCCCAAAAGCAAATACAGCAGAGAGAGAGAGAGAGAGAGAGAGAGAGAGAGAGAGAGAGAGAGAGAGAGAGAAAGAGACTGACTTAAAAAAAAAAAGGCCTCAAAGGTATAGACACTGCCTGGCCATTAGCTGCTTATAGGAATTTCAGTGAAAATTTAGACTTTAGCTCTGCTCTCTTCATGAGTCTAGCTTTGCAGAGGTTGAGCTCCTATTATATGCCAGGCCCTGACAGTTGGCAGTGTCTGGTCTGGTATGCAGTAGGCGATCAATACACATTTGTTGGTAATTGCCAATGCAACTTTTGAAGTTTTCTTTGGTCTTGGGGAACCAGTGCCCGGTGGCATGTGATTTTCATGTGGCAACTGAGGGAGTGTGTCCCCATTTCAAACACCAGGCTTCAGCCCCTGCTTGAGGGCCACCATGTTGCCTGTGGACAGACTCTCATTTCCTCCCCCACACTGGGAAGGGGATGAGAACCATTCTCTGCCCAAATGCAGTTTCATGGATGAACAGGGATGTGTGAAAACCTGAAAGTGGCAAACAGCTTATTGGGGTCAGAAAATACAGAGAGGGGGGTTTGACGGGGTGCACGTTGCAAGGTGATATGTCAGGAATCTGGGCATAAAACAGGAGACTGTACTTTGCAACGGTGGCCACCAGACCCGTGTTTGGCATTTCTATGATGACCCATCACAGGCTGCTGTTAGGAGGAGCAAGTAAGACCACATACGTAAAGGTGCTGTGTAACCTGGAAAAAGTGTTAATTATTATAAGGTATTTTGGATGTAGCCAGGTGAAGTGTCAGAGGATAGACATGTTAATTTTTTTCTCAAATTCATATTCTCAGAACCATTTCTGTAATGAGAATTCTTATTAACTTCCCTTTTTTTCTCATCTTTTTCATAAGGCTGTTTGCTTTCAGGTTATATCCTTCCTAATTTTTTGGTCCTTAAAAAGTGATCATAATAGTACTTAGAGTTACTTTAAAATGGGCACTCGACAAAATACATAGTTGGCTGTATCAGCTCCCACTCCTTAGTGTGGGTATTTTATTGTCTGTGGGATCAAGCTCTCTGGGTGCTTACGTATTAGAACACCTGGATTCAGATTGGAGCTTTGAGATCTTCTCTCTTTTGCTGCCTATTCCTATTGTCAAGTGTCGCCCATCCTTTGACTGAGTAATTCTCAGCTACGCTCTTTCCTTCCCGTGACCTCAGCTCTCTTCCTGTTCAGCTCATGCCACACTTTAATAACTACTTTGGCTCCCCAGCTATTCACCTGTTCTTAGTCCCTCTGTGCCCCCCAAATCTTCCAGAGCTGCTTGCTTTTCATCAGCCACACCATCCTTAAAAGAACTCACTGTATGTTGCCAAAGTGATAAGGTAGGAAATAGAATAAGTTGGATAACTTTAGGAAAGGAGATGGCAGCCTTAATATTTGTATAGATAAAGCCATACACCCAGAATTCCCACATGGATGAACAGAAACGCATTTGAAACTGAGAGAGTTCAAGAATGTGGCCAGATACAAAATAAGTACACAAAATCAAGAGCTCCTGAGTAACGGGAATGACCACTGAGAAAGTGCGTAATAATAAAAATAGTCATGCATTCCACACATGTTCGAGTTCCTGTGATTTTCCTGGCACTGTGGTAGACACTGGACACACAGAGGAGAACTAAACAAGTGAGATCCCGGCGCTCACAGAACCCACACTCTGCTGGGGAGGCCAACAGTCAGCACACACACAAGCCAATGAAAACGAAAGACCACAAAAGGCTCCAGGCTCCCATAGAGACTAAGGAGGGACCCGCTGTCAGCCAGGTGTGGTGAGGGCCTCTCTGAGGAGGCGACATTAAGATCTGACAGTTGAGAATGAGGAAGGAGGCCATTTGGGGCCTAGGGAACAGCATGTGTGACTCATGTACCTTGAACAAGCTGGGTCTGTTCAGGGAACAAAAAGACATAGTGTGCTGGGAGTGGTGTGAGCTGAGAGACTGGGAGAGCGCCTGGAGTGAGGGTGGACGGGTGGGTTCAAGTCGGGGAAAGGCGCACCTGATTCAGTTATAAAAAGGTTATTCTCGCTGCTGTGTGGGGAAACCATCAGAGGCCTTGGGATGTTTTGACTTTGGTTTCCTTCACTTCCAATGGGTGGTCTCTGTCTCTTCTGTTAACTTCCAGGGGAAAAATCTGTGATTGACCTGGCTGAGACCTTCGCCCCATACGTAAGTTGCCGGCCAGCCAGTGGGTTGGCTGCCCCAGGGCCAGACGGTCGGACTCAGTCACACAGGGTTGCCCTTGGAAGAGGGGCCCTGTTTGGTTTGACCTTCTGTTGTTGTTGTCTTGAAATTCCAAATGCATTTTGAACAAGTGGCACTCCTTTTTTATTTTGCACTGGGCCCTGTCAATTATGAAGCCAGTCCTGCACCCCAGCTCCAATCTGTGGTCAGCCCTGGCTCAATGACTTGCTCCAGGCCTTAAAAAAAAAATTAATTAAATCAGCAGTGAGCTGTGGATGATGGTATTTCCCTGAGGCCAGGCTGGTGTGGTGGGTGAGGCAGGAACCCTGAGGGATGTGGCTGGTGCCTTAGCTCAGAGCTGCAGGGGAAAAACCATCGCCTTTGCCACTCAGGGTGCTGAACCCCAGCAAACAACCCCTGTGAGATCCACGTATACACCTATGAGGGGTGGGGTGAGGAGGGTTGCTGGGGACCCCCAGGACTTAGAAAGCTGAGCCAGCCTTTCTGCCTTTTAATTTATTTAACCAAGGTCTCTGGGTGGAAGAACCTCATGCAGGTCCTGTTATAAAAGAGACTACTCAATAAAGCACAGGTGGCAGGCCAAGAAAATCCAGGCTGTCTTGGGCGGTCAGCTGGGCCTCCTGAGGCAGAGGACTGGGGTTGTTCCCAAGGCTTCTGGGCATCCCGAGAGATCCAAGACTCTGGGGTCCATCCGGGGAGTGGCTGTGGAGCAGCTAAGAGGGGAAGTGGGCATTAGACATGTCCTCTCTGGAAAGAAAAAGGTGAACACCCAGGAGAAGAGCTAGCAGGGAGAAGGAGGAGCGGGCCAATCACGAAGGAGAAAGGTAAGTGGCTTGTTTGTATTCTTCATGGCTGTTAAAGAAATGCAGGAGGAAGCAGTAGCATAGGGAGGCTGAAGCCATTCAGACTTGCATTCGAATGTCAGCTCTGTCCATGCCTCCCTACCCTCTGGAGCTGGAGCCTGGAAACTACAGCCTTTGGACCAAATCCCACAGCCCTGGGACACACCACGCCCACTTATTGTCTATGGCTGTTTCCCACTGAACAGCAGAGTTGAGATGGGACAGCTGCTTTTGATCTGGTGTTTCCTCCTCTGCAAAATGAGCGTTACATTAGAATCCTCCTCCATGAACTTGTGATATCATAAACGAGGTGATACTTGCAAGGTGCTTGGCAAATGCCTCGTACAGAGTTGAGCGCTTGGGGCTGGCTACCAGGGCTGCCACATACAACAGGCTGGTTGGGTACCTCACAGCAAGTCCTCAACTCCTATAGATTAAACTGTGAATGGTGCCCCTGGAATGGCAGTGTGACCACCCTGTTAGCTGCTATTAACAATCACTATTAATAAATCCCATTCCTAGTCCTAGATGGAGCCTTCTCATCCTCAGAAACCACACTGGTTAAATCAGTGGATCTTAACTTTGGCTGCATATCGGCATCACCACAGGAAGTTTCAAAAATTCCAGTGCCTGAGTCCCACCACAGGGATTCTGATTTAATGGGTTTGGGGGGCGGCTTGGCTTTGGGGATTTTTAAAAGCTCCCTAGGTGATTCCTAGAGTCAGCCAACTTTGCAAACCATGGAGTTAAAAACCCAAAACACAAACTTATTTGCTTCGGTCCTGAAGGATCTCAGCTGACTGTAGTTGGCCTGGTTATTGTGAGCAAATCTGATTAAGGTCACAGTTCTTAGCAGCTGTGTGATCTTGGGATGGTCTCTAACCTCTGGGATGCTCCTCTGTAGAATTGTGATGCTGTGAAGATTGGATGAGCTAAAGAGCTGGGCATGGGGTGGAGGCCACCAGTAGGCGACAGCTATTGAGTGTCTTGCATGACTATAGGATGGCAAATAATTCTCAATATGCAGTTTATGGGACTGATGTTGTTTTTCCTGGGGTGGGGATAATAAGGGGTCTGAGGAAAGATTTGGAACCCCTTGCTTGGTTCCTCCCTGGTTCTGTTGGTGACCCAAGAGGTCCCAGAGCTCCTTGCCACAGGCTCCACAGGATGTTGGCCCCACACCAGGCAAGGCTCAGCAGAGATCACTGCTGCTCCCACGGAGAGTGCACCGGGCCACTGGGGCATGCATGGCTAATGCAGGGTGGCAGATTTGAAACCAAACACTGGTGCCTGCAGCCACAGGAGAGAGTAAGGAGAGACAGAAGGAGAGCTGCACTGATGGAGTCTCGGGGCCCAGTTCGTCTTGACAATAGCCATGGGACCCCAGGCTGTCTAAGGCCTCAGTGTCCCTTCCACTTGCCTCTCCACTGTTCTGGTAGTCATGTTTCTGTCTTCGATGGCATCAGTTGTAACAAATGACACATAAGCCAGTAAAGCAATGGTTAAAGCAGATGTTTTAGTGGAGACAGAGTGGGTTTGATTCATGGTGGCAATCCTTCCCAGCTGTGTTACCTTGGGCAAGTAGCTTAACCTCTCTGAGCCTCTATACAGCAAGGATAACAGCCTATTCATGGAGCAGTTTGGAGGGTGAAGTGATACAATGGCATGATGTGCTTAGCCCAGCGCCTGGCAGAGTGATGCTCACCGAAGACAAACTATGGTACTTCTGTCCTGAAGAAACCCTGTGGTCACCACTAGAATTTGATCTGGATCTCTAAATCACCCTTGGAGGCAGCCAGTGGTACCCTGTTTTATAGATGAGAAAACTAAGGCTCAGAGAGGCCAAGCTACTTGTCTCGATACACAGAGAGTAAGCAGCAAAGCCAGGACCTTGGACGCCAAATTCAATGCTCTTTCTACCTCTCCACTGTCTTCAAGGTGCAAAATGTCTTTTAGTTGACAAAGCAGGGTTATGTCCCTTTTCTCTCTCTAGATAGTCAAGAAACCCCAATGAAGAGGCTGTGTGAGCCCATTTTATAGATAAGAACATGGAGGCCTGCTAACTTGAGGACTCCTAGCCTACGTGAAATGCAAACTCTCACTGGGGAGCCCCAGCCTGGCCCTAGCAGCTTTGGGCTTAAGCTAGAGTCCACGGGCCTGTCTGGCCTCAGGCTGGTCTCTGTTTAGGAGAGGACCAGCTGGTGGCCTTCCCTCCTGTGCCCCCACTTCCTCATTACTGTTCAAGCTGCTGGGTTCCGAACACATTCAGAACCCTCTTGGTTCAGCATTTAATGGGATGCCAGGGCAGAGGAGAAGAGAGGCTTTCAAAATAACGACTGGCAAAGGAAAAACAGGCATTCAGTAAAAGTGACAAGCACGGTCACTGGATTTCCTGACCCTTCTGGCTTTTTTCCTCTCCATGGGGAAAGTGCCTATTTGTATTTCACTGGCCAGCAGCCAAAGAACAGTGTATCTCGGAGCCACCTCCAGATCTCCCAGCAGCTTCTGGTCGATGCTCGGAAGCCCCCAGCAGAGCTGCTTGTCCATTTGGATGCAATGACTCAAGGCTGACTTCCTGAACATTTTGCCTCAGGTCCGTTGCAACTTCCTACCTCGGAAGGAGAATGTTGGGTGGACATTTAGGATTTTGAACCAATTAAATAGCAGAGTCCAGGGCTAGACATGGAGGATACTTAGCAAGGTTAGTGGACAGCATTGTGCAGTTGATCTGGAACAAGCATCAGCAGACCTGGAATCCCTGCTGGCTCATTAGTGGCATGATGTCAGCCACTTTACCTGGCAGATGCCTCTGCAGGGAAAATTCCAGCAGGTACTCACCACCAACAGAACTAAGAGGGCCACTCAGGATCTAAGCCACCCAGAGATGCAGGCGTGGGGGCTGCCTTGAAGCTCAAAGCTACTTGGGTTTGGTAGCAGTTTCAAAAAGTGACACACCCAATCCTACAGCTCTTGATTTCTGGCCCAATCTCAGACTTGCCTTGTATTGCAAAGTCCTAAAGCCAAATTCACCAGAAAGGCAGGCCCTTCACACGTTAACCTGCGTGCACTATGTGCCATGCACTGTGCTAAGCACCTAGCAGCCATATCTCATGAAATATGAAATTCTTACGACAGACTGAAGAGGTGGGTACTGTTATTATCCTCTTTTTACAGTCAAGGAAACTGAAGTTCAGGGAAGTCATCTGATTTCCCCAAATCACACAGCCGGTGAAGGAAAGAGCTTGAATCTGAGCCAAACTCTGAAGCTGAAATCTGTGTTCTGTCTGTTGTGCTGAGAATTAAACCCCCATACTGTGTGATAATTGACTTAGGTGAGGCTATATCATGCATTAATTCAGATTCACCTGAGGATGCAGCAGAAAAAGATCAACAAGAATGCAGGGCTATGCCAGGGGGCTCGCTTCTTTGTCTCCTACCCTTTTCCGAAACCCAGGGTGCCTGGAGGCATCTCCCGTATCATTTTATGGATGCTGGGACATAGCCCGGGTACCTAAACTCAAAGCACTCAGGTCCACTGACAGCCCACTTCAGTGTACCGGGTCTGCCCTCCTTCCCTTCCACCTCCTCCCGAACGGCACCGCTCTCAACAGCAGATGAAACAGAACAGAGATGGTCTTACTTCTCAGGTCGAGTCCTTGGGAAGGGAAGTCAGGAGCGTGTTGCTGGGTTCCTCACTCCACCGGGAAGTCCCAGACTAGCAAGGAGGGCTGCCTCTAGAGGGCGGTTCTTAAACCCCTGGGAACGGAGGCTGCTGAAATGTGCCAACAAGTGAGACAGCCTTTGCATTCCTGTTTATTCTGGTATCAATAAAAAGGAACTGTTACTATAGTAACAGATATTCCACTTGGTGCACGGCCACTTCCACGATGCGGAACATCATGTCCAAGCCACACGCTTGAGAGGCACAAATAAATACCCATTTTGTCAGATTGATGAGGAATAAGAAACACGCCAAGCTTTGTTCTGAGCAAGGCGGCTCACGTAAAGGAATTTCCCTTGTTTCTTATGGGAGGGTCAGGCAAGAGTGGATTCCAGCACTTCCCCATGGGAGGGGAAGCCAAGCTTCCTGAGGCAGTGGTGTGGATTCTTCAGGAGAAAATGGCTCTGGGGGGAAAAGGGTGGGGTGTAAAGGGAGGGGAAACTGCTCAGCATTGGGTCAGTTCTTAATTATCCACGAATGGGTCAGAAACTCCGTACACAGCGTTTTCCTGATACCTTGAATGTCATTGGAACTTCACAGAGGAGCCAACGGAAGAGCGTGGGAGAGGGGATGCACCGTGTCTGGGTCTCAGCAGGCTCATGTGTTGGCCCTGGCTCCAGCACCAGCCCCTTCAGCAGCCACTCAGTGTCTCTGTGTCTTGGTTTCTGTGTTTGTCAAATGTGGAGCATACCAGGGTGGTTGGGAGATGACATGGATGAGATGACATTAGTGAAGCACATAGTCAAAGCTCAGCATATAGGACTTTTCTCCAAGAGAGACCTGGACTCTACGTGATCTGAGGCCAGAGCCCAGCATGGTGCATTTTGCCTGGCAGAATATGTGTTCCATAAGTAGTGGCTCAATGAATGAACATGTGAATGTAAAATATAAAAGTAGGCCAGGCATGGTAGCTCATGCCTGTAATCCCAGCACTTTGGGAGGCTGAGGTAGGCAGATCATTTGAGGTCAGAAGTTTGAGAACAGCCTGGCCAACATGGTAAAACCCTGTCTCTACTAAAAATACAAAAATTAGCCAGGGGTGGTGGCACACACCTGTAATCCCAGCTACCTGGGAGGCTGAGGCAGGAGAATTGCTTGAACTTGGGAGGCAGAGTTTGCAGTGAGCCAAGATTGGGCCACTGCACTCCAGCCTGGGTGACAGAGCAAGACTGTCTCAAAAAAACCCAAAAAACAAACAAACAAAAAAACCCAAGAAAAGTAAAAAATGTATGTAGATCCTTAAGGCCAGCCTGGATGCTTATAGATAATGGAGGCATTCTCCTAATTTCAGAATCAGCTTTCACTTGAAAAGCTGGAAGTGTTTTCTATCGTTTAGTGTCATCCTAGTTCCCCAGTGAGGAAGCTGGGGTCTACCAGTTAGACCAGGCCTCCACCCCAACTTTACTTTCTCATGGAGTCTTGGTTGGCTAGAAGGTGATGAGGCCTAGGACATGCATCACAGGTGAATGGAGGCTTTAACAAGGCAACCTTGTGTCTTCTTTGGCCTATATTATTTGTTCATTTAACAAACATTTATTTAATTCCTACTGTGTTCCTGGCACTGTTCTAAGTGCTGGGGGTACCATGTGAATGACACAGGTAATATCCCTGCTGTCAGGGAACCTACCTTCAAGGGGGACACACAGTAAAGAAGGGGACATTCAGGATGACGTCAGGCAGTGAGGAATGCCGTGATGAACGCAAGGCTGGGTGAGGTGAGAGCGGGTGGTGTTTTAGGGTAGCAGAATCACAAGGAGTCAGTTGTGTGAAGTCTGTACACATGGGAGAGTCTTCGTAGGGTGGGAAGAGCCAGTGGAAAGGCCCAGACTGGGTGGATCCTGGTGTGATGTAAAGGCAGGCTGGGTGCCATCTTGGGAGTGAGGGAGGTGGGAGACAGGGGTGGAGTGGGAGGGACAGGGCAGGCATGTCCAGGGAGTCTTGGCCACGCTGACCATTCTCGAGCCACTTAAACTAAGAGGGTCCTAAATTCTTGGGTATAAAACAATTTTCTGGAAACAATGTGTGGTCCCTTTTTTTCTTCTTCCCCAATTCTGCATTTCTTGAGGCACTATGAATGGTAGCCCCCTCAGCCTCCCACCCTGCTCTGCCTTAACTTCCCCAAACTCTCCTGGTAGAAGAGGACAGCTAGATTCTTGTCAAACCACTCTTTGCTGACCCTGGTTCCTTGCACACATCCTCCTGCTCTGCAAAGAAGTATTTTGAATATTTCCTAGGGTCTTTGGTGGCTCAGATGAACCAATCCCAGTGCCTTCTAACAGTTGGAGAGTAAGAAGGATCCTGGAGCGGGGGAACTTCTGACAGCTCCTGCTCATCCCCGGAGAAGACAGAAGCCCATCACCTGGTACACTTCAGAGGAACACGCACCTGACAGCCAAGGAGAACTGGGCAGTAGTCCTCGGATGTTGGGCGTCATTTTCCGTGGGCAGTTGGGAGTCACTGTGCTTCTCCCACAAAAACTCTTCTCACAGTCCAACTTGTATACAAACCCATCAGACTGCTAGCCCCAGGGCAGGTACCTACCTATCTTCCTGTCCCAGTACTGAGGGGCTCAATAACTATTGTTAACCTGAAGACACCGAAAACCTTGACAGCGCTGAGCTTGTTACAGCACCATCTTGCTGTGTGTCCATGTGCAGGTGCAACTGTACGTGAGATCAGCGGCCAACCACCACCCTTTCCCAGGCCACACTCCATCAGCAAGAGACTATGCTACACCCCAAGACGAGATGCAGCCAATAAACATGTCTATGTATTGACCTGAAAAAGATGTCTTCTACATATTCAATGAAAAATCATATGTAGTAGGATCTCTTTTTTTTTTCAAGATAAAAAAGTTGGTATATGTATAAAGAACTAGTGTGGAGGCAAATACACTAATCTGTTAGCAGAGGTCAACTCTAGATCAGTGTATCTCAAATACTATTACTAGATGTCATTTGAAATGAGTGCTAAAAATGCTCTTGCTTTTTTTTTTTCCTAGGGAGGAACCTAGGAATCTGGATTTTTTTTTTTTTTTTTTTTTTGAGACAGAGCATTACTCTGTTACCTAGGCTGAATGCAGTGGTGCCATAATGGCTCACTGCAGCCTTGACCTCCTGGGATCAAGCGAGCCTCCCACCTCAGTCTCCCAAGTAGCTGAGACTACAGACACATGCCACCACACCCAGCTAATTTTTTATTTTTTTTAGAAATGAGATCTCACTGTGTTGCCCAGGCTGGTCTTGAACTCTTGGCCTCAAGTGTTCCTCCTGCTTCAGCCTCCCAAAGTGCTAGGATCACAGGAATGAAGCCACCATGGAATCTGGATTTTAAACATACCTCTCTGGGGGCTCATTTATATTAAAGAGTTTGAGGACCATTGTTCTACAGCGTAAAATTACAGGCCCTTCTCCTTTGTCACTGCATTTCTGTGATGTTTGCGGTGTTAAAAGAAAAAAAAAGGCCCTAGCATATATTACTTTTGTTATCAGAAAAAGACTCTAAGAATTAAAAATGTGAGAAAGAGCAACATTTCCCAAACAACTGTAGTTAGTTAGGAATCACATCTGGCTCAGTTATGTCATCAGAATATGGGAAAACAGAGGCCCTCTGAACAAACAAGCCTTTGAGGCGTTTACTCCAGGTAATTGCATAATTCAAGCCACAGTCGCTGTCTCCTGCCTCCTTCTGTGTGGCTTTCCCTGGAGGTCTTCCTATTCTTCCAAAAGGAAGGACTCTGGGAAGCCAGGGGCCTGGGGATCTGCATACTTGCTCGGCCCCCTGGTGAGCTGGGGCATCAAAGGGGGAAGCCCAGGGGCTGGGCACACCCCTCCTGTCTTCCCTCCCATCCCCTTTTAACTCTGATTTCTTGGGAACCAGAGGAACCCAAAGGAAGGGGGACAGGGAAGACCAGGGGAGGCAGTCCTGACAGGGAGGTGGAGAATTTTCCTGCATCTATAGTGGGCTGGGCTGCAGTGTGCAGAAAATAACCTCCCCAAACAGCTTTTGTTTCATTTTTGCCCCCTTTCTCCAAGCCCATGGGCGCCTAGAACAGCTTATCTGGGCCCACGAACATCAAACAAGAAGTTTCCATGGCAACTTAAAACTTCCTCCTCAGCCCTGTATTCAGTCTAAATCTCCAAGGCCCCTTTTCAAGGCCTCAATGGGGTTTCTGAGCAGCCACCCACAAAACAGCCCTAGGATTAAACCGTGCCCCCCGCCTCTCAAACATGCTCTGCAGAAAGGACTCGGGGGTTGGGGGAGAAGAAGCTGTGCTGGCAGAAAGAACCTGTCATGGGATCTGTGGAGAGATTATAAAAGGAATGAGAGTCGCCTTTACAACAAGTTTGAACCGGGAAGAATTTACCCAGTTGAGGGATTTCAAGCGTGAAAATGGGAAAGTGAGAGGGGGTGGGGAAGAACTTAGAGTCTTGTTTCTGAAAGCTGGCTCTCCACCCAGCTGCAATTAGACATGGTTAATTTGGTCTCTTAGCTGCAGAAGGACCCTGGGGTACCCCCATCCCCAGTACATTTTAATTCCCTTGTAATCAGACAAGAAGCACAGTGAGTGAATCTATGGATGGTGAGAGGATGTGAGAGGGAGCATGTGTGTGTGTGCGTGTGTGTGTCTGTTTCTCTGTGTGTGTGTGTATGTGTGCGCGCATGCATGCAGGAGAACCTGGGCAGACCACAGCTGTCAAACTGAGCAAACTTCATGATTCCTGGCAGCATAGTTGCTAGATGTACCAAATAAAAATGTCACACATCGAAGTTAAATTTGAATTTCTAATGAGCACCAAATAACTTTTTAGTATAGTCCATGACATAGCTGGAACATGCTTACACTAAAATATGATTTGTTGTTTCTCTGAAATTCAGATGGAACTGAGTGCCCTGTATTTTATCTGGCAGCCCTACCTGGCAGAGGCAGGGGTGGAGGCTGCGTCTGCCCCTCTGGCTGCGGAGAAGAAGTATAGTTGCTGATGCCCGCAGGCACCTGGGGAGGTGCCTTTTTGTCCATAGTGCAGAGAGATGCTTTCCTCCCTTCCAGGAACATGACCTGAGCTCCAGGTAGGATGCAGGTTAACGCCCCTCAAGTGGACTTGAACTACTGGACTGTATTGCCTCCCAGGCATGGCCAAACAGGAGTTATTCCACAGAGGTGACCCTTCTAGCCCTGTGATTGAGAGCATGGACTCTGGTGCCAACCCGGACCACAATCCTGACTCCATTGCTGGACAACTGGGTGACCTTCAACTCTCTGTTTCCTCCTCCCTAAAATGGGGCAGACGTGTTTTTGAGGAACAAAGGAGATATGTTCTGGAGAGCCCTTCACACCGTGGCTGCCATGGAGTCAGGGCTCTGTAAGTGGCAACTATTATTTTGATAACTCACTTAAGAGCATTCAAGTTTGTTTGTTTGTTTGTTTGAGACAGAGTCTTGCTCTGTTGCCAGGCTGGAGGGCAGTGGCACGATTTCGGCTCACTGCGACCTCTGCCTCCCGGGTTCAAGTGATTCTCCCACCTCAGCCTCCCGAGTAGCTGGCATTACAGGCACCTGCCATCACGCCTAGCTAATTTTTGTATTTTTGGTAGAGATGGGGTTTCACTATGTTGGCCAGGCTGGTCTCGAACACCTGACCTCAAGTGATCCACCTGCCTTGGCCTCGCAGAGCGTTGGGATTACAGGCGTGAGCCACTGTGCCCGGCCGAGCATTCAAGATTTTCATCCAACTGAAAAAAGTGGAATTAAAGACTAGAGTCAGAACAGTCTCAACAGTGTAAAACACACACACACTATGCATAGCAAGGTTTGGAAGGAGGCATTTCCAAATGTTATGTGTGGCCGCCCGTGGTTAGTGGGATTATGTGTTAGGCCTCCTCCTCTTTAGTCTCAATTTCTCGAAATATCTATGGTGAGCATGTCTTACTCTAATATTAAGAAATTATTTTAGCCGGGTGCGGTGGCTCATGCCTGTAATCCCAGCACTTTGGGAGGCCAAGGCGGGTGGATGACCTCAGGTCAGGAGTTCGAGACCAGCCTGACCAACATGGTGAAACCCTGTCTCTATTAAAAATACAAAATTAGCCGGGCGTGGTGGCGGGAGCCTGTAATTCCAGCTACTCAGGAGGCTGAGGCAGGAGAGTTGCTTGAACTCGGGAGCCAGAGGTTGCAGTGAGCTGAGATCCCGCCATTGCACTCCACCCTGGGCAACAAGAGCAAAACTCTGTCAAAAAAAAAAAAAATTATTTTGAAATACCTTGGGATAAACGTTTTTCTTTTTCTTTTTCTTTTCTTTTTTTTTGGGGGGGGACACGGTCTTGCTCTGTTGCTCAGGCTGGAGGGCAGTGGAGCAAACACAGCTCATGGCAGCCTCAACTCTCTGGGCTCAAGTGATCCTCCCACCTCAGCCTCCTGAGTAGCTAGGACCACAGGCATGCACCACCATGCTGGGCTAATTTTTAAACATTTTTCTAGAGACGAGATCTCACTATTTTGCCCAGGCTGGTCTTGAACTCCCGGCCTCAAGGCATGAGTCACCCAGTGTTATATTATCTGCTGCATGACTTGAGGCTACTGTTAATGAAAAGAGCCTCTATTTTGGGTCTGAATCTGTAATGTCCTCCTTGGGGGCTTCTCAACGAAAGGAGTGCTCACCCCTTCAGCACATGGCCAAATTGGCTCCTTACTCCCATTCTCACTTCCTGCCGCTCCCTGTGTGGAGCAGCCAGAGAGCGGGTCCAGAGGCACACGGTCCTGGTTGGAATCTCAGCTTCACTCTCGATGAGTTGTATGACCTTAGACAAGTCATGTTACCATCTGAGCCTCGGTTTCCTCATGTTTCCAATAGGGGTTTCCATTACTCTGCTCCCTGAGAGGAGGGGCAGATCTGTTTTATTTATAAATACATCCCTGCACCTTGGAAAACAGAGGCCAATAAATATTAGCTGGATGAATAAATGAATGAAGGGAGTTGATGAGATGGCAGATGTACAGCAGAGATGGGGTGATCGTTGAGTGCTGACAATCATCAGCCATTATTGTGACTATCCTCAGAAGGTGTGCAGACTTTGGCATGGATGGACCGCAGTTTGAATGTGTTTTCTACCTCTTTGTGGGGTAGAAAATGTTCCTTAGTGGACCATGGGCAAGGTGCTTAAGCTCTCTGAACCTCGGTCTTCTTATCTCTTAAATGGAGATAACAATTGGCAGTGTCCTTCTGAGGCAGGAGAATAGGGTCTGGAGGCAGGGAACATATGGCCGCTTCACGCTGACTTCCCAGAACAGAACGAAATCAAATGGAGACACTTCGGCGATGACAGGAAATATCCTCTCCATTTACATAGGGCATGCACCCAGTAAATGACTATATAACTTCACTCCATCCTCTTCATCTACATAGGACGTACACCAAGTAACCGATGGAAACCTCTAGAGGGTATTTAAACCCCAGAAAATTCCGTAACGGGGCTCTTGAGGCCCCATGCTCGGCCCCCCTCCCGCCCTGTGGAGTGTACTTTCATTTTCAATACATCTTTGCTTTTGTTACTTCATTCTTTCCTTGCTTTGTTTGTGCGTTTTGTCCAATTCTTTGTTCATGACGCCAAGAACCTGGACACCGTCAATGGGTAACACTTGTAGAGTGGTGCAGGGAAGGAGCCAGGGATATTAAGTGCTTGTCAGTGCAGCCTCCGTCCCTTTTCCGAGGCCCCGCTCCCTTCCTGGCTCCTTACCCGCAGGCGTGCAGCCCCTGGAAACACTCCTACGTGTTTGCTATTCTGCGTGGGTTGATAGCTAAGAGGTGAGGGGGAACACAAGGCCTTCAGATTAGGGAGACCCCCTCCGCAGCTTTGAGAGACGATCGAGAACTGGGTGGGGACACTTAGGGTGGCGTGCTTTGTAGGGAAATCGCCGGAGCTGGGATTGGAAATCAGATTCGTCTGATGATAAAGCTACTCCTTCTCTGCCTGTCCCGCCTCAGCAAGATTTCAGACCCTCCTTTAGGAAGGCGCCGCCAGTCCTGAAGTTTGGGCCAGTTCTCGCTTTGGGACTTGGAGAACTGTGGTTCCAGTAACTGGGTGGCGGGATCTCCCCCAGGCGGGGCTTAAGCGGGAAGGGCGAGCAGTTCCAGAGCGGGCCGCGCGGGGCGCGGGGACAGGCACCGCCGCTGCAGACGCGGCAGCTGGTTTGCCTCGCGCTTTTGGCTCCAGCGGTCGGCAGGCAGGCCTACGGGTGGGGCGAGCTCCTTGCCCAAGGCAGAGGGTAGCTGGCCCGTGAGCCCAAGTCCCTTGACGCTTTGTAATCACGGACCTCCACAGTGCAGGACCCCAGCACGAGATAGCGTTTCACCTCCTCCAAACGTCTCTCTCCAAGGAGAGTCGGGAGGAAAATACCCCAAATGCTTACCGGGGCTTTGCTTTCTCTTTTTTTCCCCCCTACATCCCTGTATTCTCCGAATTATTTGGACACTGGTCATATATTAGGTTAACTTCATTTTTCTAAATAAAAAGGCTTATTTCCTGAATAGAAAAGAAACACGTGCTTACTGCAAACAAGCAAACAAAAAGATGGAAGAGAAAAAGCACCTATCATCCAACCCCCAACCTTAAGAAATGAAACCACCCAGTGTTTCCTTCCAAATAGTTGCATGCACACATATAGAAAGGCAGTTGCTCTCCTAGATCTGCCTTCCCTTCCCCTCCCCACCTTGTGTCATGCCTCACTGGACAGCAGACCTCCTTCAACCGCGCTGCCGGGCTCCAGTTTCTTTATGCCTGATTGCCTGCTACTCGAGTCGTGCCCATTTTCCTCTCTCCTGGCCCAAACTTCCTGCGCCTACAGCCGCCTTCAGGCACTTGTGTGAGTCTCTGTTTAAGAGATCAGCCAGGAGGTGGAACCTCACAGGACTTCTGTGGTCAAGAAACTGTGTGAGCGTGTTCTCACACATAGGAAGAAAGCAATGTATGTCATAGATCCCCAAAAGGATGAATGCAGGAAGAGGGAAGGAACAAAGGAAGGAAAGAAAGGCAGAAAGGAGGAAGAAAAAAAAAGTAATTAAAAAGAATGACGTGAGGATTGTTTGAGCCCAGGAGTTGGAGATCAGCCTGGGCAGCACTAGGGAGAACTCGTCCCTACAAAAAATTTAAAAAATTAGCTGGGTGTGGTGGTGCGCACCTGTAGTCCCAGCTACTCGGGAGGCTGAGGCGGGAGGATGGGGAGGATCGCTTGAGCCCAGGAGTTGGAAGCTGCAGTGAGCTATGATTGCACCACTGCACTCCAGTCGGGGAGAAAGAATGAGACCCTGTCACAAACAAACAAAAAAGCAAAAAGAATGACGGAAGGTTAGGAAAGAAGCAGAGCAACGAAGCAGAGGCGCCCAGCGGCGGACTGGCCAGGGACTGAGCGCCGTGCACCACAGAGCCCTCCTCGCCCACTTCCCGCGGCGAGGGTGGCGTTGCTCCCACTTACCCGACCGGAGCAGCACAGCCCGGTAGAGCCCGGTGGCATCGGAGGGCCCCCGGGCCCACTCGCCCAGCCTCTGCGCCATGCCCCCGCGCCTCCTACTGCAGAGCCAGCACTGCTGGCCCCGCGAGCGCACAGCAGGAGCGTAGTCCGGAGCCGAAGCGCCTCCGCGACGGTGACGCGGCCCCAAGTCCCAAACCCCGCTGAGGGTCAAGTTACGGCGGCGGCCGGAGGGGCGGGCGAGGAGACGCCGCCGGGGGAAGGAGGGGGGCAGGGGCCAGGGCAGGTGTCCGCGCCCAGGTAGCAGGCAGGGCGCGGGTGAACGTCTGCAGTGAGGACTCCTAGCCCCGAGGTTCCAGGGCCAAGGCGAGAACACAGTGTCCTGACTTCCAGCCTCGGTCTCCCACCTACTCTTCTGCTTTCTTTGGCCGCTGGCCTTGTTGATGCTACCAGCATGGGGTTCTGAAGCGCCATACCTGGGATCAGGTCCCACCACCACCATTAAAAGCTGTGTGTCCCCACGATTTAGTTACCTAACCTCGCAGAAACTCAGTTTCCTCATCTGTAAAATCGGAATAACCAGAGTACTTTCCTCACATGGTTGTGAGGTTAATCAGCTTAGAGTGTGTGTGTGTGTGTGTGTGTGTGTGTGTGTGTGTGTGTGTGTGGCCCAGAACAGAGGCTGGTGCAGAACAAACACTATACAGTATACACTGGTACTTTAAAACATGTCACAAGTATCGTGGGGTGGGTGGCACTGAGAGGCAGGGTCTTTGCTGGGTGTGAAGGTTGAGGGTGGAGGCCTATGGAACTCCACCAGATTGCTTTCTCTGGCTTTGTGGAGTGTCTGTAACAATCAGAGATGAGTGGGCCAATCAGGTCTAAAGGTGGGAGGTGCCAGGCTCACCAGGGGGCTTCAGGAGATACAAGAAGCTGGCAATTTTGAGGATCTATTCTGTGTCTGGTGCTAAGTTTCTTCTAAAACAAAAACTCATGTTAATTGTGTGCTTCATGTTCTGTTTCATTTAATCTTCATAATCCTATGAAGCAGGGTCTATTAACATTGCAAATAAGAAAAAACAGAGACTCAGAGGGGTGATGCAACTTCTCTGAAGTCACACAGTGTAGGGCTGGGATACATGAACGCAGGTGGTCCGACTACAGACCTTGGCCACCTGCTCTTCTGCCTGTCTGCTATCTCATTCACTCGTCACAACAGCCCTGAAGGGTGGGTATTCCCTCCAGTTTACAGGTGAGGTCGTTGAGACTTAGGCAGGTGAGGTGGCTTGCACAACCAAGACCCAATCCAGTTCTCAGCCCACAAAACTTAAGCCCCTGAAATCTAGAGATTCCTGGAGCTGTCCAGGGTACTGGATGGCCTCTGTTCAAGGCTGTGTCTGAAAGAGCCAGGGAATCTTGAGCTGACTGTTGTGGTCTCAGCCACACAGTACCACCTCCCTTTGCGGCCTGTTACCAGCCTTGGTACCTTCAAGGCCAACTGTTGGCCAAACTCTCTTTGGTTGGCCCATGGCCACTGCCCAGATCCAGCTTCTGCTCTGACTCAGGGGTCCTGTACCTCTCTGCTCCCCAGACACCATCCAGTGTCCTGAAAGCCCATCTGCCACACCTCAGATGCCAATCAGGGGCCCAAGGTGACACTTGATCTTTGGAGGCCTCATTGATTGGCCAGACTGATCATGTCTGTCATCAACAACCAGCCTTCAGGAGTGCCAGGCATGATGGCAGATATTTGGCATTCACTGTATTATATCCTTTCTTCAGAGGATGAAATTATATCCAATTTACAGTTCACCTCATTTAATCCACTCAATAGCTCTTTGATCAAGCTATGGTTCTTTCTTTCTTTATTTTTTTATGGCTCACTGCAACCTCCACCTCCTGGGTTCAAGCAATTCTCCTGCCTCAGCCTCCCGAGTAGCTGGGATTACAGGTGCACGCAACCGCAACTGGCTAATTTTGTATTTTTAGTAGAGAAGGGGTTTTGCCATGTTGGTCTCGAACTCCTGACTTCCAGTGATCCACCTGCCTCAGCCTCTCAAAGTGCTGGGATTACAGGCATGAGTCACCATGCCCGGCCTCAAGTGATGGTTATGCCCCTTTTACAGTTGAGGAAATACGGCACAAGTGACTTGCTCGAGATCACATAATGAGTTGGTAGTGGAGCCAGAATTTGAACCCAGATGGTGCCAGAACTTATGCTGCAAGGGAGAAACCAAACCAGCTGTGGAGCAAAGTGGGACTCAGGGAAATTGTGGCCATGGGATGTACTTTTGTGGAGTATCTGAAGGGATGGACTCTGGCCGCACCCAGGAATTCTAGCGGGTCTGACTTACCTGAGCCATTTCGTCTCTGCTTCTCATTTTCACTATGAAATCTGGCCTGAGGAGAGTATGTTTTCTGTAAACAGAAAGAAAGTAGGTGGAGTTGAGGACCCTTGGTTCTTTGGCTGAGGGAGGGGTGATATATTCACAATGTATCTGAGTCTTTTGGCCACTGAAGGGACTGGTCAGAGTCAAAGTCCTCTCCAGAGAAAGAAATTACCATAGTCTTTGGAATGGATGTGTGTGTGTGTGTGTATGTGTGTGTGCCCACATGCGTATTTATGAGACTCATGCTCTTTTTTAAAAAATAAACTTTATTATTTTTAAAAACAGTTTTAGATTTAGGGAAAAGTTAACAAGATAGTACAGAGAGTTCTCTTATACTCCACACCCAATTTCCCTGTTATTAACACCTTACATATATGCAGCTGTACATGTGAGTTGTATGGTGCATTTGGTACAATTAATAGACCATATTGATGCATTATTACTAACTAAAGTGCATACTTTATTCAGATTTCCTGAGTTTTTACCTAATGTCCCTTTTCTGTTCCAGGATCCCTCCAGACTACTACGTCACATTCAGTCATCATGTCCCCTCTGGCTGCCTTGGCTGTGACAGTTTCTCAGACTTTCTTTGTTTTGGATGACTCGCACAGTTTCTTAGAGTCCTGAGGCCCATATTCTTTTAGGTTGAGCTCACGCCCATGCTGTTCCTTTGGCCTGGACTGCCTTCTTCTTACCTTCCTGGCAAAGTCCTCATTCTTCAAGGGCCAAGTCAGAAGGCTTCAGGGCTTGGTCCTTAGGGCCAGTTCTTGGACATCTTCTCTTCTCTCTTTACACTCTCAGAGCTTTAAAGAGAACTCTAAGCCAACATTCCCCTAATACATTATATATTTTCAATCTTGACTGTGCTTCTGAGCTTTGACCTTGTCCAATCAGCTACCTGACATCTCCACTTGAAAGTCTAATAGGCACCTGAAACTCACCATGGCCCAAACAGAACTCTTGACACCCCAAGCCTCCAACATGTGCCTCCCCTGTCTCCCAGATCTCAGCACATGGCTCTACTCTGACCCTGTTGCTCAGACCAGGAGGCTGGGAGTCTTCCTTGCCCTGTCTTCCTGCAACCCCACAGTTGTCTGATCTTCCAAGCCTGGTGAGTCCACCTTCCAATGAATTTCTGGAGTCCATCCACTTCTCCCAGGCCTCCATGCCACCACCTTAGCCTGAGTACCACTGAATGCCTGGATACCAACAGTAATTTGTTCTCTGTATTAGTCAGTTTTCACACTGCTATAAAGATACTACCTGAGACTGGGTAATTTATAAACAAAAATGTTTAATTGGCTCACAGTTCCAAATGGTTGGAGAGGCTCCAGGAACTTATAATTATGGTGAAAAGTGAAGGGGAAGCAAGGCATATTTTACATGGCAGCAGGAGAGACAGAGAGAGAGTGCACGCAAGGAAGTGCCACACTTTAAAGCCATCAGCTCTTGTGAGAACTCACTCACTGTCACGAGAACAGCATGGGGGAATCTGCCCCCATGATCTAATCACCTCCCACTAGGTCCCTCCCTTGACATGTGGGGATTGCAATTTGAGATGAGATTTGGGTGAGGACACAGAGCCAAACCATATCACTCTCCTTCAAGTCGTTCTCCACAAAGACTCCAGATTGAGCTTTTAAAGCGTAACTCAGACCCTGATTCTGCCCTCCTTGGAACCCTTCTGTGTCATGTTTTCCCTTTGCATTGGGGACTCAAACCCACATGCCTTCACCAGGCCTACAAGGCCTCTGCAGCCTGGCTTCTCCCTGTGAGCCTCTCAAATTCCATCTGTTTGTTCCTTCCACTGTGCAAGGGCTTGGATACCTCAGTGAACACAACAAAGGCCTCTGTTCTTGCAGCGTTCACGTTCACATTCTAGAGTGGGAGATAGACAGTAAGCATGATGAATAAGTAAGGTAGACAGTGTGGAAGGAGAACAGAGAGACGCTGGGAAAAAGGGAGTGTAGAGAAGGGAAAGGGGGTGGCTGGTGGCAAGTGGGGACCACCTGTGGTCATAAATAGATGCTCAGTTCAGACAGGTCTCAATGGGAAGATGAGACATGGACATAGACTTGAAAGAAGCTGGGAGTTAGCCAAGCAGATGTCCTGGGGCAGGGTCAGCGGTTAATGCAAAGGTTCCGAGCTGGGCTGTGCCCGGCATATTCAGGAGCAGCAAGGAGGTCAGGGTGGCCGAAGTGGAGGGAACACTGGGGCAGTCACATGAGAGAAGGTCAGTGAGGAGACAGGGGCCAACTTCCTCCATGCCTCATACTCCAACCACTGAGAACTCTCTGGGTTCCCTGAAAGCCATGGCTTCTCTCAGCTGCCAGCTTCTGCAGGAACTGTTCCCTTCACCTGGGAAGCTCCCGCATTCTGCCTGGCTCACTCCTTCTCATCCTTTAGGTCTTGGCAGAAATGCTACTTCCTCAGGGAGGTGCCCCTCAACCACGTGCTCCCGTAGCATGCAGACTTCCCCTATGTTAATACTTCCCACCTAATTATGACTCTTTCAGCCCTGCTTCCTTCACCATACTGTACTCGCCTTGAAGAGGGATTGGGTTCTATTCACAGCTGTCTCCCCAGGGCCCAGCCTGGAGCTGTGCTTGGAGTGGACATTCAATAAAGACTTATTGAGGGAATGAATGAATCAGTGAATGAGGGAATGCAGCCACATAAAGGCCTCTGTGCTGTATGGGAAAGTGGGTAATTCCCCAGAGAGTGAGTCAGGGCCAGAACCAGGGGAGGCCTCAGCTGTGGCCTGCTCAGGGATGATCAGGGTGAACAGAATTGCCTGGGGTCCTGGTGTTTCCCCTGGGGGTTCCAATTTTGAACTCCACCACCAAGGAGGGGATAGAAGAGGGAGAGTGTTCGTGGTTTGGAAGTATCTTTTGTGTTTTTTAATGAAAGGCTTAAGGGAGCAAGTAACCTTAATCTGTGGAAGAAAATTTCAAGACATAGAAAATGGACCTAGTCTAGAGAATCCAGAAGGGATCTAAGCTGCTGCTCAGCTCTCTTCACACAGACCTGGGAAGTTGGGCTGGGTCCCAAGGGCAACATTAGCATCACAAAGCCAGAATTTCAGAAGAAGCAGCTCCCAGACCTGGAGTTCAAAGAAGTGTTCCTTGCCTCAGGGATTTGACCCTGCCTAGGACTGGCAAATTGACTTTACTCACATGCCCCGAGTCAGGAAACTAAAATACCTCTTGGTCTAGATAGACACTTTCACTGGATAGGTAGAGGCCTTTCCCACAGGGTCTGAGAAGGCCACCGCGGTCATTTCTTCCCTTCTCTCAGACATAATTCCTCGGTTTGGCCTTCCCACCTCTATACAGTCCGATAACGGACCGGCCTTTATTAGTCAAATCACCCAAGCAGTTTCTTAGTCTCTTGGTATTCAGTGGAAACTTCATACCCCTTACCATCCTCAATCTTCAGGAAAGGTAGAACGGACTAATGGTCTTTTAAAGACACACCTCACCAAGCTCAGCCTCCAACTTAAAAAGGACTGGACAGTACTTTTACCTCTTGCCCTTCTCAAAATTAGAGCCTGTCCTCAAGATGTTACAGGGTAAAGTCCATTTGAACTTTTATATGGACGCACTTTCTTGCTGGGCCCCAATCTCATCCCAGACACCAGCCTTCTAGGCAACTATCTTCCAGTCCTCCAGTAGGCTAGACAGGAAATTCATCAGACTGCTAATCTTCTCTTGCATACTCCAGATTCCCAGCCTTATAAAGACACCCTAGCTGGACAATCAGTTCTTAAGAATCTGACCCCTCAAACTCTACAACCTCGGTGGACCGGACCCCACTCAGTCATCTATAGTACTCCAACTGCCTTCTGCCTGCAGGACCCTCCCCATTGGGTTCACCGTTCCAGAATAAAGCTGTGTCCATTGGACAGCCAGCCTGATCTCTCCTCTTCCTCCTGGAAGTCGCAAGTGCTCTCCCCTACTTCCCTTAAACTCACTCGCATTTCTGAAGAGCAGTAATAACGCTTATGAGCCTAATACATCCCTTCATTCTATTAGGTCTATTCGTCCTTACCCTACTTTTTGCAACAGGGCTTTATACAGTCACCCCCACTACTTGGACTGCACCCCAAAAACTTGTCATCCCTACTATCTGCTGTCTAGTCATACTCCTATTCACCATTCTCAACTACTTGTAAATGCCCTGCCCTTGTTTACACTGCCGGTTTACACTTTTCCTCCAAACCATCATAACTGATATCTCCTGGTTTTACCTCAAACAACCACCCTTAAGTCTCTCTTGAAGCGGATAGAAGATCTTCAGTGGCAAGGTACACTCCAATTCTTCTATCCTGACGAAGTCCTTTTTTTTTTTACTTTTCTACTCACTCTTATCCTTGCCCCTGTTCTCCAGTCGCTCCCTACCCTTCCCTAATTACCTCTAACATACTATCAATCTCACTCACTCCCTCCTCACCATTTCTAATTCCTCCTTAGCGAACAATTGCTGGCTTAGCATTTCCGTTTCTTCCTGCTCTTACACAGCCGTCCGCGCCCTACAGGTTGACTGGACTACCTCTCCCTCTCCCTGCACCTCCGAACCTCCTTTAATAGCCCTCATCTTTACCTGCCTGAGGAACTTCTTTACTTTCTGGATGGATTTGTTGAGAACTGCCCAGACATTTCGCACCAACAAGCTGCCACACTTATCCGCATCTACTTACGGCACCTTTCTCCTTATGTCAGTTCCACCCCTCCCCCCCACCATATTTGGACCCCTCACAACACAAACTACTATCCCTGTTTCCTCTCCTTTGTGCATCTCTCGGCAAAGACCCACCAGAATTCCCTTAGGTAACCTTTCACCTTCTCTATGCTCTTTCCCTCTTCATCTCCAAAGCCCAACTATGGACATTACCAAAACCATTAGGGGCTTTTCAGCTCCGCATTACAGATAAGCCCTGTGTCAATACTGACAAACGTAAAAACATTAGCAGTTACTATTGCTTAGGAAGACATTTGCCCTGCATTTCATTCCATCCTTGGCTACCTTCCCCTTGTTCTTTGGACTCTCCTCCCAGCCCCTCTTCTTGTTTACTTGTACCCAACCTCATGAATAGCAGTGAAAGATTGCTTGTAGGCACTTTCTCATACACCATGAAAATCAAACCTCCCCCTCTACCCAGTTGCCCCATCAATCCCCAGTACAACCTCTAACGGCAGCTGCCCTCGCTGGATCCGTAGGACTCTGGGTGCAAGACATCTCTTTTGGTGCTCCCTCTCATCTTTTCACTTTACATTTCCAGTTTTGCCTTACACAAGGTCTCTTCTTCCTCTGTGGCTTCTCCACCTATATGTGTCTACCTTGTTAATTGGACAGGCACATGTACACTAGTTTTCCTTACCTCCCAAAATCAATTTGCAAATAGGTCCGAACAGCTTCCTGGTCCCCTGATGACACCAACACTTCACTGTTGTTTTGTTTTTCTTATTAATATAAGAAGACAGGAATAGGCCTCCACTTACTCACTGCTGAAAAAAGAGGACTGTATATTTTCAAATGAAGAGTGTTGTTTTTACCTAAATCAATCTGGCTTGATATATGACAACACAAAAAAACTCAAGGATAGAGCCCCAAAACTTGCCAACCAAACAGATAATTACACTGAACCCCCTTGGACACTCTTTAATTGGATGTCCTGGGTCCTTCCAATTCTTAGTCCTTTAATACCTGTTTTCCTCCTTCTTTTATTTGGACCTTGTGTCTTCCGTTTAGTTTCTCAATTCATACAAAACAGCATCCAGGCCATCACCAATCATTCTATATGACAAATGCTCCTTCTAACAACCCCACAATATCACCCCTTACCCCCAAATCTTTCTTCAGTTTAATCTCTCCCACTCTAGGTTCCCACACCCCCCCAGTCCCACTCGAAGCAGCCCTGAGAAACATCGCCCATTATCTCTCCATACCACCCCCAAAAATTTTCACCGCCCCAACCCTTCACCACCATTTTGTTTTGTTTTTCTTATTAATATAAGAAGACAGGAATGTCAGGCCTCTGATCCCAAGCTAACCCATCATATCCCCTGTGACCTGCACGTTTACATCCAGATGGCCTGAAGCACCTGAAGATCCACAGAAGAAGTGAAATTAGCCAGGTCCTGCCTTAACTGATGACATTCCACCATTTGATTTGTTCCTGCCCCACCTTAACTGATCAATTGATCTTATGACAATACACCCTCCCTGCCCTTGCGATAATGTATATTCCCTTGCCCTTAAGAAGGTATGTTGTAATAGTCTCCCCGCCCTTGAGAATGTACTTTTTAAGATCCACCCCCTGCCTGTAAAAAATTGCTCCTAACTCCACCGCCTATCCCAAACCTATAAGAACTAATGATAATCCCACCACCCTTTGCTGACTCTCTTTTCGGACTCAGCCCGCCTGCACCCAAGTGAAATAAACAGCCTTGTTGCGTGCACACACACACACACACAAGAAATGTCACTTGCACACCTGCCAACCCCCTTCCATGCAAGACTTGTTGGAAAATAAGGCCAACCTGTATCCAGTGGAACCTCAGTGGCCAAGGCAGAGGGCTCTCTCCCTTCAATGGTTGGCATTTGGTGAGTGAGAGAATCTCCACCTAGATCATTCCTGATGCATTACTGATAACTGATAGTCTTTTCCAAGGACGATGCTGAAAAATATGGCCAACTGTCATTTGTTCTCACCGTTTCCAAATCGGGAGATGCTGGCTTAATTATAATTTTGGTTAGTGAAAGTTAGCAGACATAAATTCCAGAGGAAATACTATTGTGTAATGTACAATATGCCCCAATACAACTGGGCACAACTCAATCTTCCCTGAGGCAAAGACATCTGCATTCCTCCTGTCCTTCCTGTGGCCTCCGCCTGCCTCTTTTTCATGTCCTGATTGTTGAGAAAAACCTCTTGGCATTGGTCACTGGTGGCCTCAATGATCCTATCCCCAAATCCTCCTCTTCCCCAGTTTGTCCTATTGCTTCTCCTAGAGGCTGAGACCTCAATGTGAAAGTGTCAAGGAGACCAACCATGGGCCCAATCCACATCTGCCATAGTCTTCCCCATGCACCGAGGAGCATTTAAGGGACCTTGCTTTATTTGTTTTTAAACATTTAAAAATTGAGGTGTAGGCTGGGTGCGGTGGCTCACGCCTGTAATCCCAGCACTTTGGGAGGCTAAGGTGGGCAGATGGCGTGAGCTCAGGAGTTCGAGACCAGCCTGGTCAACATGAAGAAACCCTGTTTCTACTAAAAATACAAAAAATTAGCCGGACCTGGTGATGGGTGCCTGTAATCCCAGCTACTAGAGAGGCTGAGGCAGGAGAATCGCTTGAACCTGGGAGGTGGAGGTTGCAGTGAGCCCAGATCGTGCCACTGCACTCCAGCCTGGGTGACAGAGCCAGACTCGGTCTCAAAAAAAAAAAAAAATTGAGGTGTAGCATAAAGTCCATTGTGCAGCTCAGTGAGGTTTTATATATGTGTTCACACACATAACCACCTCCAAGATCAAGATATAAAACAAGATTGGCTTGCTTTATATCTTGATATATATGACAAAATATATATCAAGACTGACTGCACCCCAGTCAATACCTACTTTCTCCCAGGGTAAGAGCCATTCTGGCCTCTGTCACTACAGATTCATTTCTCTTGCTCTAGAACTTCACATCAATGGAATAATAAAATGTGCTCATTTTGGCCTGGCTTTTTTACTCAGCCGTGTGTTTGAGATTCATCAGTGTGGCTGCCTGTGTCAGTAGTTCATTCCTCTTGATTTCTGACTTAAGTATTCCATTTGGTGGCTATGTCACAGTTTGCTGATACATTCTCCTGAGAACGAACATTTGGATGGTTTCCAGTTTTTGGCTATCACTCCTAAAGCTGCTATGAACAACTTTCCATGAATTTTTGGGTCAAAATGAGTGCTCATTTCTGTTGGGCAGATATCCAGCAGTGGACTTGGGGGATCATAAGTAGGTGAATGTTTAGCTATAGTGGATACTGCCAACAATGATTGTGTCACTTTGTATTGTACTTTTGACATCTTTACAACATAGATTTTTGGGGACACATTCAGGTCACTCCCATACACAATGCTTTGGATTGGCAGGGAGGAGGGAGGTGTTAGCAAAATTGCATCGCTGATAAACACAGATGGGCCTGAATTCTGAATTTGGAGCTCAGGGTATTTGTCCTTAAAATCTGGAGTGAATCAGTTGGAGGTATGTCTCTAGACGTCTTTATTTACACCTCCATTAGACTGTAAACACTATGAGAATAGGAATTGTAACTTATTCAGGGATGTGTCTGCAATGCCTAGCACAGTTCTTGGCACATAGGTGCTTTGTAAATAAAAATTAATAAATTATTAACTTAATAATTGTAGCAAACAGCTATCGAGCACATTCTAGTGCTAGGCACTGTGACATGACTACCGATATGGTCTCATTTAAACCTCATGAAAGTCCTCTGAGATTAGGGAAGAGTGAAGTTCTTGTTTTACAGATGAGGAAGAAAGCTGAGGCCTTCGGCAGGTTAAGATACACAGCTGGATGGAAATAAAAAAATAAAAAAGATACACAGCTGGCAAGTGGCAGCTTTGTAATTAGACTTGAGGCAGTCTGACTCAGGAGCTTTTGTGTGTGTGTGAGATGGCAAGAGCCTGCACCCATTTTACAGAGGAGGAAACTGAGGCTCAGTGAGGTTAAGGAACCCTTCTCCCTGGAGTCAGCTGTGCCAGCCTCCCTACCTGGCTTATTCTTAAAGGTTGAATATATGTAATGCAGAGCCCTGGCTGCTGCCCTCCTCTACAACCTCCACTCTCTGGAGCCCACAGCCACTGGATGTCGCAACGCTCACCCCGAGCCTCCACCTCAGTGCTTCACTCTCACAAAGCCACCCTGTTGTGAGGTGACGCCTGCCACCTCTCTTTTCCATCCCCAGGGATGGAGAGAATCAGACCCAGCAATCCTTCCTTTAAAGTGCTGGGCTCTGTTTGGAGCAGGCGCCCAGCCCTGGGACTTGTTCCTTTGCAGGGGTCCACTTACATCACATGGGTGTTGAGTTCTCAGCCGAGGTGCAGTAATGAGGGCACTGTTTTCTATCAAAGGAGGCCTCTACAGTTCTGGTCTCCAGGGCCTTCTCACGCCTCCATTCATTCAGCCCCTTAGGTCTCAGAGACCCAGAAAACTGCCTTCCTGGAACTCAAGCTGAGGCCCTGGGTGGGAGCCACCCACCCCCCAGCAGGCAGCAGCAGCAATCTTTTTTTCCATACCTGGACTTGGTGCATGGGTTGTTTCATTCCCCTTAAATGCTTGCAAAATAGTTCACACAAGTAATACATAAATCCACTGCTACTGTAAACATTCGGAACAACTCAGTTGCATACACATTTTAAAAAGTAACATTTCTCCTTACTGTCCCAGCCATGCCCCAATCTCACCCCTTTCCCTGAGTCATCACTCTTTTTGATGCTGCATGTGTGAGTTTTGTCGTTTTTCTGCAGCTTCCTTTTTAAACTCTGTGGTATGTCTTGGAGATATTTCTATGTTGGTATATGTAGATCCACCTCACTCTTCTGATCTACTACAGTGTAAACCACAGTGTGATGCCCCATGGTTTTTTTTTTAAACCATTACGCTTTAGTTGGACATTTAGGTTGCTTCCAATTTTTCTTTTCTTTTTCTTTTTTTTGAGACGGAGTTTTGCTCTTGTCGCCCAGGCTGGAGTGCGATGCTGGGATCTCGGCTCACTGTGACCTCCGCCTCCCAGGTTCAAGCAATTCTCCTGCCTCAGCCTCCCGAGTAGCTGGGATTACAGGCATGTACCACCATGCCTGGCTAATTTTTGTATTTTTAGTAGAGATGGGTTTTCACCATGTTGGCCAGGCTGGTCTCAAACTCCTGACCTCAAATCATCCGCCTGCCTCAGCCTCCCAAAGTGCTGGGATTATAGGCATGAGCCATCGCACCTAGCCTCAATTTTTCACTATTACAAATAATTCTACTCCAAACACCCTTATGCTTGCTGCCTTTCTGTCCACATGGGTGAATATTTCTCTAGGGCAGACACTGGGAAGTGGAAATGCTAGACCAGGAAGTACATGTATTTAAGTTTTAGTAGATGCTGCCAAATTATCTTCCAAAATGGCTGCATTTTCCATACTTGCCATCCGTGCCTGAGATTATGGGATTGTCCACACCTTCAGCAAGGCTTTATGTTATGAATCTAGGTTTGTCTCCTGAAAACTAATCTCTAGTGTTAGAAGTCGGGATAGTGGTTGCCCCTGTGGAGGGCAATAGTGGATGGGAAGGGGCAGGAGGGACTTCCAGGGTGCTGTTGATGTTCTGTTTCTTGATCTGAGTGGTGGTTACACAGGTATTTTCAGTTTCTAAAAATGTGTTAAGTGGTATACTTAAAACAAGTGCACCATTTTTTTTTTTTTTTTTTTTTTTTTTTTTTTTTTTTTTTGAGACGGGATCCCGCTCTGTCACCTAGGCTGGAATGCTGTGGTGTGATCTCGGCTTACTGCAACATTTGCCTCCTGGATTCAAGTGATTCTCCTGCACCCAGCTAATTTTTTGCATTTTTAGTAGAAATGGGGTTTCACCATGTTGGTCAGGCTGGCCTCAAACTAGTGACCTCCAGTGATCCTCCCGCCTCAGCCTCCCAAAGTTCTGGGATTACAGACATGAGCCACCATGCCCAGCCCAGGTGCAGTATTAAATATGCGTGTTATTCTTCGGCAAAAAGTTCAATTTACCCCCCACCCCTGCAATTTAATGGGTGATAGGACAATATCCCATGATTATTTCATTTTGGAGATTGAGCCTTCTTTTGATATTTGGCCTTCTGGATTCCTTCTTCTGGGTCTTTTGATAGTGCTTTGCCTGACAGGGGAAACCCTTTTTTGGAAAGGGGAAAAGGGGCTTGACTGTTTTCTGAGCATCTACTATATAGATGCTCTCGAATCCTCACAGCAACCTTTCAGGGTAGGTACTGTTTACCCCATTTTACAGACAAGGAGGTGAGGCCTCAGAGAAGACCTGCCCGAGGTCATAAAATATCTGACTGCAGAGTCCTATCTTCCTCTCTGTCTTTTAAGTGACAGCTGCTCATGCGACAGGCTTTGGGCTACCCATGCAGCAGGCATGATCTTAACTAACCCCTGCAACAGCCCAGTGTGGCAGCTATATCGTCATCCCATTTTACAGATGAGAATAGTGAGGCTCAAAAAAGTTGAGTGAATTTTGCTCAGCTCCTTCAGTGATGGAGCAGGTTTGAGCCCAGGTCAGCCTGGCTCCAAAGCTGGGACAGGGAATTCGATAGAATGTTCTGAGAGGATGGATATGTTCACTGTCTTTCTGAGAACATGGTAGCCACTAGCCACATGCGACTATTTAAGACTTGAGATGTGGCTAGTGCAACTGAGGAGCTGAAATTTTAGTCTTATTTAATCATAATTAATTAAGTGGACTGCTTTGGATGGTGCAGCTCTAAGGAGACAGATCAGGGGGAGAAATGCCACAGGGGGCAGGCAAAGAGAACAGAGCTGCCACCAGGTGGGAAGCCTCCAGCCCACCACAAGGGACTCACTGAAGGACCCCCACAGGACCCGACAAAACCCTCACAGGTCTCCCTTCGGGCACCAGAGCCATGCCCTGTGGAAAGAGCCAGCGTTTTGTAATCAGATGCAGCCTTACCAAGCCTCTTAACCTAAGACTCAGGTTCCTCGTGTATAAAATAAGCATCAAAATAGCGCTCGTTTTAATATTGAATGAGAGAATACACAGTGCCTGGCACATAATTGGTACTCAATAGGCTATTTAATAATCACATTATTATTACCACAATTCTGTTATTGATCATAGGCTCACTTTTAAGCTTTTAAATAAGCATTTTCATTATATAATGATAAAGCCATTTAAATTATTATTCACAGTTATTAAACAATGCAGATGGGTGTAAAGTGCAACCCCCCAAATCTCCAAATACTTCAACCCCACATCCTCCTCCCAGAAAAAACTGATGTAAGTAATTTCTTATGCATCTCTCCAGGAATTGTCTCTGCTTCTATAAACATCTAGAATGATTCTGATCTATCTTTTAGAAAGTGCAGATGGGCTCACACTGAATGTGCCAGGCTACACCTTGCTTTGTCACTCTATGGCACATCGAGGACATGTTTACACACGTGCACATTCAGACTCACATTATCTACTGTTTGCACAATGTTTCATAGCAGAGGTCATTGGTAACTTATTTTAGTGGTCCTAACTGATGGATATGTAAGTGGTTGCCATATATTTTGCTGTTATGAGGAAGGTTTCAATGAATATCCCACATGTATCTTTCTGTACATGGGCAAGCGCACCCACCCAGAGGGTAAATTCTTACCATTGGGATTTCTAGGTCAATGGCTGGGATATTTTCCACTGTGCTGGATCTTGGTATATGTACAATCGCATGTTAAACTTCTCAAAAGTACTGGATTTTAAAGGAATATTCTGACAAGTTCTTCTGAAAAGATTCTTCAAGTCATGCTAATAATCACCCCGGAATGTATTTGCTGGGTGGGTTTGGAATTTTGGCAAAAACTGATATTTTCGTTAAGCAGATCTGGTTTTCAAAGTCTTTGTGGTGTAAACGTGGATGGGGCCGGGAGAGGGGACTTGGCAAGGGGGCTCCTGGAGGTCAAGGAACTGGATCCCTACTAATCCCATCTCAGGCAGGCTGGAGCAGAGGGAGAAAATTCTGCCTTCCTGGGAGGCCAATCCTGTATGAGGCAGAGCTTTGAGAGCTTGTGAAATAACACACCAGGAAGCTGCTGAGTCTGTGGCTTAGGGCAGGGAAGGGGGAAGAGAGAAGACACCCAACAGGCTTTGCCAATGACTGGACAAGGGCAGTTCTCAGCAGGTGAAATCCAAACGGTCCACAAACGTAAGAAAGATGCTCTGCCTCCCCAGAAATCAAAGAAAATGCACGCTCAAGCAACAATGGGGTATTATCTTTCACCTATCAGATTGGCAAAAATGAAAATATAACGATACTCAGTGTTGGAGAGGGTGTGAGGAAACAGACACTCTGGTGTGCTCCTGGAGGGAGTGTTGATAGTACAGGTGTCCTGCAGGGAAACGTGCGTTGAAAGCCCTACAAACCAGGCAGATATCTGTGCTTTTCCATTTCTAAGAATTTAAGAAAATAATTGAACACATTTCACAAAGATATATGGTCAAGAATGTGCATGAACAAGCATTGTTCAAGATAATAAAAAGATCGGCAATATGGTAAACGTCCAGCGATAGGGGATTGATTAAATTGTACTATTTCTATACAATGTAACAGTCTGTGGCTAAGAAGGATGTTGTAGACCTAGGTTTACTAACATGGAAGATGTCCACTATCTATTTAGAAAAATTAAGTGAAAAAAACAGGTTACAGGATTGGTTATATATTTTGTTACACATGTAGTGTTACTTTATGTATTCAGTCTTACATATCTATATTTATCTCTATGTAGTATTACTTATATCAATTAAAGTAATGGCAAAACTACAATGACTTTTCCACCAACCTAATATATACATGTTTGTGGGTATAGATATGTGTATATACATGTTTGTGGGTGTAGATATGTGTATATGTATGTGTGTCCATACATAGGTATGTTATGTGAATTTATGTGAATAATGTTTGGAAGAATATGAACCAAAATGTCCCCAGTGATTATAAACAAGTGGTGGGGAATTTTATTCATTAATTAATGTATTCATTCATTTTCATAGTTCTCTGCATTTCTTGAGTTTCGTTTTTTCAATGAACCTGTGTTTTATAATTAGAGAAATGCTTTGTTATATTGGTTTAGGAAATAAAGGAAGTTGATAACTCTGCCTCAACTGTATTAAGCAGTCTAAATGCAATTATTTCCCCATACCAACACTGTCCCCTGCGCTTGTGCACATTAGAAGCTCCCTATGATCCCAGGCCTGTCTTTAGTTATGATGAGAATAATGAGAAGGAGGACAATGATGTTCGTATACTGAACACCTACTATGTGCCAGGCATTGGCTGAGTCCTTCATGTGCATTCTATTATTGGATGCTCACCGTGGCCCAAGTGGTAGGTACCATCATGTCTTTAGATTTTCTAGGAGAGCTTGAAATGGGGACTTGCTGCAAGTGACTTCTTGAGGGACAGCTCTCATGGGAAACCTTTAAAAGTGTAAGGGAGGAAAGCAGGATGGAGCAGGAGAAGAAGTTAAGTCAAGATGTGGGCTCAGCTGAAGTCTAGCCTCAGGGGGATGCCGTGGGAAGTCTGGAGAGTAGATGGCACTGCAGCATCATCCCCCCATAGGCAAGGGGGCTGGGCTTTTGTACCTCCATATCTGTTGGTCATTGGCTATAGGACAATGGGAAGAGGGTAACCTGCAAGATGGGCTCAACCCCCAAAGTATCTCTAAGTGAGGTACTTCCCAGCATCCATGGGTGATTGTCTGAGAAGGGTGCAGCTGTGAGCAATCAGCACTCACAGTAACAGGCATGTGGGTGTGCTGGATCAATAAAAGGGATGTAGGTGGAGGAGCACCAACCTCCTGCTTTTTACAGATGGGGCTCACAGAGGTTAAGTAACTTCCTCAAGGCTCCCCAACTAGTAACTGGGTTTTGAGCTCCTGTTGGAAGACCATGCTCAGAGCCCTGAAGCTGGACTACTTCTATTTTCACCAAAAGGAAAGAGGTTGAGGCCGTGGGTGGAAGCCCTCCCAATAGCCCCTGCCCCACCAGATGCCCCTCCGCCTGCTCTCTGAGCTTCACACTAGCATGTCGGCTGATGAGCAGTTTCCACCTGGGCTTTTGAAGGAGGGAGCCACAAAAAGCCTTTGTGTTTCTGTAAAGGTCCCTGAAGATTGTACTCTCGGTGGAGCTGGTTGCTAGGAGACATTTCTCAAGAAAGGTTCCTTTGGAAAATGAGCTCAGTCTCTGCCCACAATTCAACATTATTATACTTGGGAGAGTGACATCCCAACTCGTGCTCCCTCCAGAGCATTAAACGCAGATCCAATTCCTTCTCCAACCGGTTCTTCCAGGCCTCAGCTCAGAGCATGTCCTGGGCTGATAACAGGTCCTGTGCCAGACAGACTCAGAATTCTGGAGAGAAAGGGCCCTTTGAGATGATCTGCCTGCACCCTCCATTATATAAGTGGAGAAACTGAGGCACAGAGCACTGAGGGACTCGCACAGTGAGTTAGTGGCAGGGTCATAACTTGTTTCTCTCATTGTTGCACGTGACAGCCTCACCCACTCCCTGGGCCCCATAAGATCAATCAGCGGGACCTCAGGATGTGTGGACTGAATGCACTTTCCTTTATTAATCCTTGTGTTTCAAAGATTTTGGGGAATAAATTATTACTTTGCTCACACGGAGATAAGCAGCTGGCATTTGTTGGGCATCTACTATGTGCTAAACACTGGACTAGGTGCTTCAGGGTCTTCATCTACTAACTCTGACCTCCAGACCATCTTGGAGTTAGTTTCTATTGGCTGCTTTTTTCTTGACTAAGGATCACATTTTCCTGTCTCTTTGCATGTCTAAACAATTTTGATTGTATACTGGAGGTTGTGTGTGTGTGATGTGTTGTGGAGACTCTGGATTTTGTTATCTTTTTCTGATGAGTGTTAGGTTTTGTTTTAGCAGGCAGTACAATTATTAGGTGATCCCTTTGAAGTTCCATGGGCTTGTTTTTGCACTCCTGCAAAGTCCAGGCTCTTTCCAAGTCCCTTTAACTTGGTAGGACTCACCTCCAAACTTTCTCCCCTGAGGGTCTTGAAGGATTTGGTTTTAGGCTTTGTTATGCAGCTCTGGAGTATCCCTTACACCACAGTATAGTCCTCACACCTAAGGCACAGCTTTCTGGTGTCTCAGCTTGATGTCTAGGATGAAGGTCTCTCCAATGTCTCCCAGCCCCAGCTGACTCTCCCAGCCCCAGTTCACTCTTAACCCTATAACAGCTGCTCTCTGGTAAGTCTCAGATAGTCTGACCCTGTGCCTGCAAATCCCAGTCCTTGGGCAAGAACCTGTGGGTCATGGGGGACCCCCACACAGATTTTGGGGCTCCCTATCTATGCGGCTCCCTCCTCTCCAGTGCCCTGTCTTGCAGATTCCTTTTGCTTTAGTTGCTCCAAACCCTGATCTCTGCCTCCTGAGCTCAGAGGGACTACCATGTTCTGTTTGGGCTCCATCGTCCTGTGCCATAGTTGGGAAATTGTCCCAGGATGAGAGTCCAGGTGATGAGGGGCTCACCTTGTAAGTTTCCTTTCCTTCAGAGATCACAGTACCTATTGTCCACTGCCTGAGAACATTGTCTCTTATTTTGCCAAGTGTCAAGTTGTTTTTAGTGGTAGTGCTAGTGTGGCACCAGGTCCTCTATCATGGCTGGAAGTGGAAGTCCAACTCGTAGTGAGACATCCTTACCCCCTCTCTATAATCTTGGAATGCTCACCAGGACCCTGAGAGAAAATGCTTAAGCCTTCACTGAGCCAAGGTTCAGAGGGGTACAGTGACTTGCCAAAAAGGCACAGTAGTAGACCCAAGAATCAGGTTTGCTGAACTTCACAGTCCATGCTTTCTCTTTGTGTGGCCCCTGCTTTCAGTAGAAAAGCTAAAATCAAAACTAAATGTCACTGTCACTATCACCAAGGCAGCAGCATTTTCTGAGTTAATCTATGTATTTTCCTACATCCCAACTCCACTGTATACCTTAATTCCTGTTTCTGCCACTGACCCTCTGGTCTGGGAGGTCATTGCTCTTTGCATGGATGATTATGCTGTTATCTCTTTTTTGTTTGTTTGTTTGAGATGGAGTCTCACTCTGTCACCCAGGCTAGAGTGCAGTGGTACAATCTCGGCTCACTACAACCTCTGTCTCCCAGGCTTAAGTGATTCTCCTGCCTCAGCCTCCCAAGTAGCTGGGATTACAAGCACCTGCCACCATGCCTGGCTAATTTTTGTATTTTTAGTAGAGGCGGGGTTTCACCATGTTGGCCAGGCTGGTCTTGAACTCCTAACCTCAAGTGATCCACCTGCCTTGGCCTTCCAAAGTGCTGGGATTACAGGTGTGAGCCACCATGCCCGGCCTATGCAGACATCTCTTACAGAGCTTCCATTGTGTTCTTCCTAGAACACTTTCGCTGTCTTACTCTCTTGCTCTGCTGCCTTCAATGGCTCCCTATGACCCACAGTGGCACTTCACAAGGTGTAGAATTGAGAGCTGCCCCTTAGGGAATGCTATAGTCTGTAGCTCTCCTTTTGGAGAATCACATCTGGACGTGTGAATACAAGAGGCCCTGCAGGAGAGAAACCTGTTTAAGTGAGCTTAATCCAGTCTGTTGGACCTGAAACTCTTGGCTCACCTAACACTTATTAAAGTCTTGTGGAACACACTGGAAAATGTTGGACCACAGAGTACAGGCTAAAGTTTCTATCTGAATTCCAGCCCTTCTACATTTCAGTCTACTCTCAATTTCCTTTCTTGTGACTTCTTGTCAACAGACCAACCCCCACCCCCAATACCTATTTCTCCCTCCAGCCTTCACACTCTTGTAGTTTAAGAATGAGATAATCTTGTAGCTGCTGGGAGTTTCCATGAAGGGGGACTGGCCCAGGAATGAGGTCAACCAGAGAAAAGTAGAGCCCTGAGAGAGGGACTAGGTCCTGAAGACTTCATTTAAGACACAGGATCCAGCCTTGCTTGATGTCATTACTCCTAGACTTTCACGTACAAGAGCCAAAAAATTGTCTTTTCTTCCCCCTTAACCCAGGGCTCCTGCAACCAAAAGAACACTTGACTGTGGCATCTTTCCAGCCTCCTGGTAAGTTTTCTGAGATTGGGCACTATGTCCTGTCCATTTCTATTCCCTCTCTGGTTTTTACACAGCATGGTAGCAAGGGTTGGGGGTCAAATGTCTTGAGCCAGTGTTCCATGAGGCTCCATTTCCTTGGTCCAGGATATGCCACGATGTTTGTAACATGGAGCTAACTTTGCAGTTGCCAACCTAGAGTGGAGTTTTCTCCTGGAGGGTGAGGGTGAGGATGTTGTTGAGGAAAGGGGAGCTGGCTGTGGTGGGAAGAGTGTGGGTGTGGGAGACAGACCCCTAGGTGGCCTCCATGACTCTCACCCCTGTGCTGACCCTTTGGTGTGGTCCTCTACCTCTCCAGAGTAGAGGGTGGGTGGGAGCTATTTTAACAATAGAATATGGCAAAGGTGAGGGTGTGTCACTCCCATGATCATGCTAGATGGATTTGTATATGTGCATGTATGTGTGTATACGTGTGCATGTATGTGTGTATACGTGTGCATGTACATGTGACTCTGTCCTGCTAGCATACACTAACAAGAGATTCTCCTTGCTGGCTCAATGAAGTTAGCAGCTAGGTAAGGTGCCCCCATGGCAAGGAGCTGCGGGCAGCCTCAAGAAACTGGGTGGCCTCTTAGGACCTGAGGGCAGCCTCCAACAAGCAAGCAGCAAACCTCTGGGGCCTTCTGTTCTACAACTGCAAGGAAATAAATTCTGCCAACAGCCTGAATGAGCACGGAAGTGAACTCTTTCTCAGTCGAGCCTCTGAATGAGAACACAGTTCAACTCATGCCTTGACTGCAGCTTGTGAGAGTCTGAGAAGAGGACCAGGTAAGCGGTGCCCAGACTCCTGCCAAGGGAAACTGTGATATGTGTGTGGTTTTCAGCCACTGATTTTGTGGTCACTTGTTACGCAGCAATAGAAAACCAAACCAACAGACTTTGAAGAATGAAAGACTTGGGTGTGATTTCTGCTCTACTTACCAGTTGTGTGACCTTGCATGAGTCACATCACCACACTGAGCTCCAGTTTTCTCATCTACAAATGGGTGCAGACTTGGGAGAATTAGAGATAATAAATAGAAAGCACCTAACATGGGGCCTGGCACAGAGTAGGTGCTCAATAAATAGTAGTTAAGAGTTACCCTGATTTTTAATTTTCGTCATTCATTTTTCTAAATTTTCAATAATGATCATGAATTACCTTGATAAACAGAAAGAACAATTTTGCTTAAAATAAGAAGGAAATGGGCTTGTCTAAGGTCACATAGCTAGTCAGCAGTAGAGCCAAATGAGAGATCCTAAGCCTCCTAGGCCAGATCTTTTCCCAGAACAACTCCTTCCTTATCTATGGAATAACAATAACAGCAACAGCAACAATTACCCTAAGAGCCAGGCAGCTCCCCTGGACCAAACCTGCAAGGTGGTATAGTTATCCCCATTTTACAGATAGAGAAGCTGGGGCCAAAGTCCCACAGCTGGCAAGTGGCAGAGCTGGGATTTGCCTTCTGGAGCTGGAAGAAACCACCTAGTCCACAACATCCAAACTTGGCCTGGATTCTCCTTCCCCAGACCCCCTTGGAGGTGGCATGGGGGACACCTGGGCTTTCTGGAATGAGGCAAAGGCAAGGAAATCAGCAGTGAGACCTCGCCCAGATCCCATTACGCCAGGCAAGATCGCGTTTCCCCTGTTCTGGTGCCATAAGCAGGGCAGAGGAGCGGGCAGGCAGCCACTTTCCTGGTTATTCAAGTAGAAAATTACAGGTGCCCAAAATAGCCTGGGCATTCTTTTATTAATGAATAAGCAGTGAGTTGGCAGAGCTGGAATGGGGCTTTGCATGCATCTCTTTCCCCTGGACACCTTCCTGAGATCTGCAGGGACTCTTGGCTCTCAGAGGGGACTTTCTCAGGAGTTGGGGGAGCTGGCAGGATTGGGGTGGGAGCATTTTCAGGGCCTGGTCATGGGAAAGGGGACAAGGAGGCCCCATGATGCAGGAGCTGGAAATGGCCCCAGTGCTGAGGGATGGGGTTCCCAGCAGATGCAGGTGAAGAGATGGCAGGTATAGGTCCATCCCAGCCACTCTCTTCTGGCTGTGTGGTCTTGGGCAAATGGCGTAACGTGTCTGGGCCTTCATTTCTTTTTCTGTAAAATGAGGTAAATCATAAATTTACAGAAATGTTTGTTTTCTACTGACTATAAAATTAATTGTAGACAATGTAGGCAATGCTCACTGTAGACAATGTAGAAAGTGGAAAAAAATACAAAAGTGACCATGATATCTCCCCTCCTCACCCCATTGCCCCTTCCTCAATTAAGATAATTAGCATTAATGTTTGGTATTTATTTTTCTAGTCTTCTTCTTATACACATATGAAAAAATGGCTGGTACAGCTTAGTGCCTGAGCTGCTATGCTCTAAAAATGGAACCATCACTTACAGTCAACAAATATTAGTCAGTCAACAAACACTGTGAGCACTGCCCTAGGCCCTAGGGTGGCATGGAGGAAGGTTTCCCCCAACATCTCCTACAGCCGCTTTTTGTTTTTCAAGACCTCTGGCAATGACTTCGCTGAGTCCTCAGAGCCACCTAGGGGGTCGTGGAGGAGGGAAAGTCATTTTTTGGGTTCCTCACATGGATATGGGACCAAAGTCGGGGCCCAGAATCCCCCCATGAGGCCATCTGTGACCTCTTCCTACAGCAGGTCTTGTACACATGGGTTGGCCTAGGCATGGCTTCTTGACCCCTGTCTCCTCCCTAGAGGGTCGGGGCAGGAGGCAGCTGTTCTCTTCTGGGGTTATTTCTTGGCTGGTTAATATGTAAAGTGCTTAGAATGGCACTTGGCATACAGTGTGCAGGAAGTGCACATTACTGACAAGATGGCCAGCACATCATGATCATTACTAGTTGCAGATAGGCCGTGTGAGGCCATTCCCTTCTGGAGACTGATTTGTAATGGACCTGAGGAGACAGCAGCTGAATTACGTGCAGGATAGAAATGACAACAGCACCAATGACAACCACTTCCATCTACCAGATACAGCACCATAGGCCAGGCATCATGCTGAGTCATCTCATTACCCGCGTACAACCACCAGACTAAATGGGGGTTACTAAATGGGGGTTGCCTTTCATAGATGAGGAAACTGAGGCTCAGAGATGGTAAGTAACTCTCCCAAGGCCACACGGCTGGCAAGTGGCATCCCAGGTTTGTCTCATGCCGGACCCCTTACCCCCATCCATGAGGCTGAGCCTGCAGGGATGACGAAGGCCCTGCCCCTGAGAAGCTCGCTGTCAGTGGTAGAGTCCAAATTTGGAACTTGACCCTGAGTATCCTGGATTTGCTGAGGGATAGAAAGAGAAGGCTGTGGGCTCTGCCTTGGTATAGATCTCTACCCTGACACTTCCTAGCTCTGTCACCCTCTTAACTTCTCCATGCCTAAGTTTCTCATGGGAGAAATGGGGATAACAAAAGTGTTGCTGAGAAGATGAAATGAGATAACTGAAGCTGCTTGCATAGGTGGTGTATAGTAAGTGCTCAATAAATCCATCTGTTAAAAGCTTTATCACTGATATTCCCAGAGGAATTCTCAAATTTCCAAGGGCCACCCTCTTCCACCTGAGTGGATGGGTGAAGCAGTGGCTGGTTGAAGCAGTGGCTGGTTAACCTCAAGGAAACTCTAGCCACTCTTCTGGCATTTGACTTGGCTGCTTCACACCAGATAATGCTGCCTCTGGTCTGGGCTGCTGCAGACATAAGCCCTGATGTGATTTGGCTATGTCCCCACCCAAATCTCATCTTGAATTGTAGTTCCCATAATCCACATGGAAAGGGACCTGGCAGGAGTTGATTGGATCATGGGGGCTGTTACCCCTATGCTGTTCTCATGATAGTGAGTGAGTTCTCACGAGATCTGAGGGTTTTATTAGGGACTTTTCTCCCTTTGCTCAGCACTTCTCCTCCATGTCACCTTGTGAAGAAAGTGCCTTTCTTTCCCTTTGCCTTCTGCCATGACTGTAAGTTTCCTGAGGCCTCCCCAGCCATATGGAACTGTGAGTCAATTAAACCTCTTTTCTTTATAAATTTCCCAGTCTCTGGTATCTCTTCATAGCAGCATGAGAATGAACTAATACAAGCTCCAATGTGCAAGGAGGCCCTGCCAGGGGCCCCCAACACCAGCTCCATCCCCTTCACTCCCCACTCCCAGTCTAAGATCAGCAGAATCTTGACAACTGGCCCTGTATTCCCAGAGAGGGTGTCATTATGAACAGGTGGGGGTGTCACTGGTGTGGCTTCAGCAGGATCAGTCCAGCCAGTGTGATGTTTGCCCAACCTGGATGGCTCCTCCAATCAGGCAGATACTCTTGATGTTCCGCATCATCTGTTTATGGGCAGGTCCCTGATGGAAACTCAGCCCAGGGAGCCTTGACAACTTGGTTGAGAGCAGGTGGGGAAATGCTGCTTCAGGGATTGCTTCCTGGGTTCTGGGAACCCCACCCACTGCACTGGGCAGTGACACCTGGGCAAGTGGGTGGCTCAGAGAGAGAAAGAGTTCTGGGACGGCTGCCTGGGTCTGATTCCTGGGTTCCCCATTGACCTGCTGTGTGGCCTTCACAAGGCACCTGACTTCTCTGAGCTGTTTCTCTTCCGTAAAATGGGGATAACAGTAGTGCCGACTTCACGGGGTTGTTGTAGGATGGTGCACGTAAAGTATTTGGATAGAGTTCTGCACATAGTAATTACTAACTAAATGGTAAATTATTTTTTGAAATGAAATTGTTTGTTGCCAAACTGCTCTGGGTGAGAATGAAGACAGGGAGGAGATGAGTCACACACTGCAGATTGTGGTTTTTTTTCTTCTTCTTTTTTTCATAGCAGTAGGTTCTTAACTCTGGGAAACCAGCTACCTTAAGGATCTGACAAGGCCATGTTCTCTCTCTCTTTGGAAAGTCTACATGTCCTCACATACACATAGCATTTTGCATCCAACTTCATAGAAACCCACCCATGATCCTAAAAGTAAAATCTATCCCAAAGAAAGAATAAAGGATGCGCACCAAAATATATCTACTAAGATGTGAAGGAATGAAAACAACCTAAATATCCAAAAATCAGGGATTGGTCAAAAAAACTGTGGCATGTTGGTATCAGTGGAATGCTATGTACCCATGAAAAATGTCTTGGGCTGGGTGCAGTGGCTCACACTTCTAATCCCAGCATTTTGGGAGGCTGAGGGGGGCAGATCACTTGTGCTCAGGAGTTGGAGACGAGCCTAGGCAACATCGTGATAACTCGTCTCTACAAAATATAGAAAAATTAGCCAGGCCTGGAGGCACATACCTATAGTATTAGCTACTTGGGAGGCTGAGGTGGGAGGATCACTTGAGCCAGGGAGGTCGAGGCTGAAGTGAGCCGTGATCACACCACTGCACTCCAGCCTGGGTGACAGAGAGAGAGAGAGACCCTGAAAAAAAAAAAAGGACCCAGGTAACCAGATGGAGGGGTGAAAATCTGCACAGACTCATGCCACAGTGTCACAGTGGTTATACTTGCTGATTTTTCTACAATAATAATGTATTATTTGAGAAATAAAGAAATGAGAAAAGTTTGAAAAATGACTAAGTTCACTTAGTTAAAAAAGAGCTAAGTTCACTTTTTAAAATAATAAAAATAAAGTTATTGTGGAAAGTATTGGAAAATAAAGAGAAAAAATCAAATCACCTCTCATCACCGCCCCCTTGCCTGTTATCAGTCATCTTTATGCACAGTTTGGAGTCATGTTTATTTTTATTGTGCCAGCAGCCATGTGGGTCTCTTCCTTTCTAGGAGCAACTCTAGTTGACTCTCCACTCCCACGCTGCAGGAATTGACGGCGCACAGGGAACAGTTTCTACTGCTGTCCTTCCCGTTACCTCCTCCAATGGGGCTTCAGTCACCACCTCTCTGGAAGGTGATGATGGTCGGCAGCTCCATATCGCCAGCCGTGACTCTGCCCTGAAATCTAGCCCAAGGGAGCCAACTGCCTGTTTTGTCAGGTAACACCGACAAAAATAGCAGCCATTTGTTGAGCTCACACTATGTGTCAAGGACTGTGCTCAGTAGATTCTATTACTGATCTATTTTATAGATGAGGAAACTGAGGCTGAGAGATCAAGGAGGTGGCCAAGGTTACAGAGCTAGTGAGATGGGGAGCAGGAGTCAAACTGTGGGTTGTCTGACTTCACTGCCCAGGCTTCTCATGCTGTGCTAGAGCTGACTCTAGTGAGCTGACCTCAGCCCTCCCGTGCCAAGATCCTTGGCCTGGTTCCTCTGACTTCATCAACCTCTGGCCCCTGTGTCCTCTCTCTTACAGTACTCACCCCTCATCCTGCCCTGCCCAGCCCCTGCCTGCTGCTCTGGCCTGACCAACTTGCTCTCAGTGCCCTGAGTGCCAGCAAGGCCTCTCTCCTCTGGCCTTTGTGTAAGCAGATCTTTCTACCTAGAACACTGTTGCCCTCTTTTTGCCTGGCTTCTTCCTTCAGGACTCTGCTTAGATGGCACCTCCTCCAGGAAGCCTTCCCTGATATTCCCCTCCCTAGGATTGGGTACCCTAGGGCCATATCTCCCAGGGAGAGGTGAGTCTTGGGGAGGCTCAACCCTCCCAAGTGCTCAGCTTACCACAGCTGCCAAGTCCTTGCCCTGGGATGGTGGAGACTGATGGGCAGGAGGCAGAAGGCGGAAGTCCAGCCCTTACGGCCTGTCCAAGGTCTATACGTTACATCTGCCTCAGACAGCCTTCTGGCTCTGGCTCCTGCAGGTGCCACAACTCCCTGCAGCCTGCTGTACCTGGGAAGTGCCAGTGGGCTGGACCGGATCAGCATCAGTCACTAGGGGAAGTCAGTCTCTCTCTAGTATTCACCTGGCTGAGCCTGGATGGGAGATCCCTGGAAAAACTGCCGCTGAAACTTTCCACTGACTCTGGCCTGGCTCTGGCTCCAGAGGAAAGAGAGCCCGTAGCCATTTCAGGGTTGAGCCCATTAGCCATGCTGTCCCAGGCCAGACTTACAGAGAGGAGGTGTCAGTGGGATGTGGCTAAAAAGAATTTCTGTGCCGCCAGGTCCTGGCTGTGGAATTTTGGATTCCTGCTTAGGGTTTTTTTGTTTTTTGTTTTTTGCTTCTATGTCATGAGTGAATTGGCCTGTAATTTACTTTTCTTTCATTGTCCTTGTTTAATTTTGATAGCAGTTATTATTATTATAAAATGAAGCAGGAAGTGTTCCCTCATTTTCTATTGTCTAGAAGACTCTGCCTGAACCCAAACTGATGAATTTCTCTAAAGTTTAAAAGAACTCACCTATAAAACTGCTGTTCTGATAGTAACTCATGATTCAATTTCTTATCTTTCTTTCTTTCTTTTTTTTTTTTTTTGAGATGCAGTTTTGCTCTTCTCGCTCAGGCTAGAGTGTGATGGCGTGATCTCGGCTCACTGCAAACTCCGCCTCCTGGGTTCAAGCGATTCTCTTGCCTCAGCCTCCCAAGTATCTGGGATTACAGGTGCCTGCCACCATGCCTGGCTAATTTTTGTATTTTTAGTAGAGACAGGGTTTTGCCATGTTGGCCAGGCTGGTCTTGAACTCCTGACGTCAAGTGATCCACCCACCTTGGCCTCCCAAAGTGCTGGGATTACAGGTGTGAGCCACCGCACCAGGACGATTCAATTTCTTTAACTGTTATTAACTCACTCTGTTGCCCAGGCTGGTGGAGTGCAATGGCACGATCTTGGCTCACTGCAACCTCCGCCTCCCGGGTTCAAGTGATTCTACCACCTCAGCCTCCTGAGTAGCTGGGATTACAGGTGCACACTACCACATCTGGCTGATTTTTGTATTTTTAGTAGAGATGGGGTTTCACTATGTTGGCCAGGCTGGTTTTGAGCTCCTGACCTCAAGTGATCTGCCCACCTTGCCCTCCCAAAGTGCTGAGATTACAGGCGTGAGCCACCACGTCTGGCCCAAGCCAATAGGATTTTTGTTCAACAATATTTTCTAGATGTTTCTTAAAGCCAACTACATCATTCTCTATTACGTTTTTAAAGGAACCAACTTTTGGCCATCTTCAATATCATGTATTTTTATTCTTTAATTTTGGTTCTTATTTTAATTTTTTCATGACTTTTACATTCTTTGGATTGTTTCTGTTGTTCTTTTACCAACTTTGTAACTTTGACATTTAGCTCAGTAAGTCTCAGTCTTCTTTTCAATGTGCATTTAAAACTATAACCTTCTTCTTAAGGACCATTTTAGTTGCTTCCTCCAAGTTTCAATATATAGTATTTTCATTGTCATTTGGATCTAAAGATTTTCTTGTGCCCTTACAGAGACAACATGCTGATGGGGAAAGCTAGATTTGAGACAGTTAAATAACCAAAGAAGGTAATTTCAGATGGTGGTAAGCTCTGTGAAGGAACTGCAGGACTTGGGACCAAGATGGGGGGATTTTAGCTGGAGGGAAGATAGAGAATGCCAGGCGCAGTGCCTTATGCCTGTAATCCCAGCACTTTGGGAGGCTGAGGTGTGTGGATTCCTTGAGCCCAGAAGTTGGAGACCAGCCTGGGCAACATGGTGAGACACTGTCTCTACAAAAATTACAAAAATTAGCTGGGCATGGTGGTGTGTGCCTGTAATCCCAGCTACTCAGGAGGCTGAGGTAGGAGGATCACTTGAGCCCTAAAGGCAGAGGTTGCAATGAGCCAAGATTTTGCCACTGCACCACTCCAGCCTGGGTGACAGAGCCAGACCCTGTCTCAAAAAAAAAAAAAAAAAAAAAAAAGGACTTGTCTCTGAGCTGAAACCAGAAGGAGTCAATCATGAGGAGACCTAGGGAAAGGTGCACAGGTGGAGGGAACAGTGGAGACAAAAGCTCTGAGGTGGGGAAGAGATTGGGCTGTCAGAGATACCTGTGGAGCCCAGTGTGTATGGAGTAGGGAGCCCAGAGCACGATCAGCCAGGGCCTGTGGTGTTCCTTGTAACAGCTCTTGAAGGGTTTTACCGGAGAGAAGAGGGGATCAGATTCAGAATTAAAGTAGCTCATTCTGGCTTTGCCATATGGGAACGCACTGCAGCTGGACAGGAGCTACATTGGACTTGAGGCCCCAGGAGAGCAGCTGGCAGAGGATGGATGGGTCTCAGCCAGAGGAATGTAGAACTTCAGGTGCCCGAGAAGAATGTCCACCAAGTACAGAGGTCCAGGGGGCCAGGCGTTATTGTTGTGGGTTGAATTGTATCCCCCAAAAGGAATGTTGAGGTCCTAGCTCCTACCTGTGAATGTGACTTTATTTCCAAATGTAGATTTGGAAAGCAGATGTAGTCAAGTTAAGATGAGGTCATTAGGGTAGGCCCTAATTGAATCTGACTGGTGTCCTTATAAGAGGAGAACACACACACACACACACACACACACACACACACACACACACCACCACTACCACCACCACCACCATCACCACCACCACCACGTGATGACAAGGGCAGAACACCACGGATTGCAGGCACCACCAAAAGCTAAGAGAAGGGCATGGAACAGATCCTCTGAGAGCCTTCTGAGGAGCACTCCCTGCCGACACCCTGATTTCAGCTTCTAGCCTCCAGAACTGTGCGAGAATAAACTGTTGTTTTCGGCTCCCCAGTTTCTTTTTTTTTTAGACAGAGTCTTGCTCTGTCACCCAGGCTGGAGTGCAGTGGCACGATCTCGGCTCACTGCAAGCTCCGCCTCCCGGGTTCAAGTGATTCTCCTGCCTCAGCCTCCCGAATAGCTGGGACTACAGGCACACGCCACCACATCCAGCTAACTTTTTGTATTTTTGTAGAGACGGGGTTTCACTGTGTTAGCCAGGATGGTCTCAATCTCTTGACCTTGTGATCCGCCTGCCTCGGCCTCCCAAAGTGCTGGGATTACAGGCGTGAGCCACCGCGCCTGGCCTCGGCTACCCAGTTTCTGATCGTTTGTTATGGCCGCCCCAGGAAACTCCTGTGTCACTTCACAGTGCCTGCTTGTGATGGCAGAGTCAGCATGGGACCTTCACAGACGCTGGCCGGTTCAGGGCCTGCAGGTCTCAATGGCAGGCCTCTTCCTGAACGTGCACCACATCATACAACTCAGAATGACCCCTACCTGTTCCCAGAGCTCAGGTGGGTGGAGAAAAATCCCCGGATGGTCCCTCAAAAGGACAGACACTGCCCCATTTCTGGCTGAGCTCCTGCAGGTTCTAGGTGTGACATCATCCCTATGGGACACCTCAGGCCCCGTCCTGAGCTTCCTGAGGAGCCGGATGTCACCTAGACCAAGCCAGGCTCTTCCAGCTTCCCTGTGGCAGCCTCTGTCATCTTAGATTTTAGATGAAAAAGAAAGTTCCAGCTCCTCGCCTTTCTCTCCGCCCCAGGCCCTGAGATCTGATCTCTTACTTACACAAAGCCCCTTGTTTATGTTAGTTTGGGAGACACAGTGTTCTGAAAGCCGATCCCTGGGGCCCAGGGAGGGAGCTGCGTTTTTGGGTTTCTGCCTGCGAGAAAACCGGCTTTTGATTTGGCCCCTCTTGCACCACCTCCAAACCCTTTCAAGATAGAAATTAAATTCTCCTGAACTTTAGGCCCCTCTTCAGTGCTACTCCCAGGGGAGTGGAGCCACTACCTACTATTAACTCTGCCTTGCACAAGGTGAAGATTTATTCTGGCTTGACATGAACAGCTTCAGTCCTGATGCTTGAAAAACAAGATGAACAGCTTCAATCCTGACGCTTGAAAAACAAGTCCATGAGAACGTGGGCTGTGGAGCCAGAAGTATCCAAGTTCAAGTCCCAGCTCTGGCACTTGTTGGCTCTGTGATCTTGAGACGTGAACTCAACCTCTTTGAGTCGAGCGTCTGCTTTGGTGAAATGGGGACATCGATACCTTTGTGGCTGGGTTTGTGGTGAGGATTCCATGGAAGTTCAATTATTAGAAGGCATTCTTATTTATCTTCAGGAAGTGCCCATTTTGCAGATGAGAAGGACTGAGTGAGGCTCAAGGGGGGTAGGCCCAGGTTGGCTGTGTTGTGCAAGGTTTCTGTAAGGCCTTGGCTTTTGGTGCATGTGGAGGAATCTGAACACTAGCCTGCTTTTGCACAGTGTTATCTTGTCTGAGCCCTTCATGGCTGTGAAATGGGGAAAACTACCCATGCCAGGCTGCTCAGAGAAGCCAGTGATGCTGCACACATGAGGCCCTGGCTCTGCACCTGGGGTAGAATTGGCCCTCCGAAGAATGACTGTTGCTGCCCTCTCTTTTTCTCTCCTGCCTCACTTTACCCTAAACCAGTGGGCAGCACAGCTACCTTCTCTGCTTTGACATGGAGCCCAGAGTGGGAGCCCAGAGAGGGAGGCCATCTTGCCCAGGGTCCCTCATTCAGGGCCTCTGAGGCGAATATTTTATTCTTATTCGTGAACGAGGAAGATTGGATTAGGAGGAGGTGGACTAAGATTAAAGTGGATTTAAAAAGAATTAAAATAATTTCCTTCTCTCTACTGCCTTGGAAATGAGATTTGGCCCCAAGGCCCGAGGATGGGGGGAAGGTGCCCATCTTGGGCCCCCTGTGACCTCTTCCTCTCTTGAGGTCTTAGAACATCTGGGAGTGAAGAAGGGCCCTGGTGGGCACCTGGAGGGTGGTGTTGGGGCAGGGGGTGAAGTCAGGGGGACAGGTTTGGGGTTTCTTCAATTCTGTTTCTGGGGGATTTTCTCTTTGTGTTTTGCCTCTTGTGTCTTTGTCTCTGTGTCTCTGTCTTTCTCTCTTATCTCTATTTTGAATAGTGAGCAAAAGAAAGAAGAGAGAAAAAAAGAATGTTCTCCTTGATCAAAGAGTCTGAGGCAGAAACATAGTTGTGATTTTTTTTTCCTTGAGACAAGATCTTATTCTGTCACCCAGGATGGAGTGCAGTGGTGCTACCATGGCTCACTGCAGCCTTGACCTCCTGGGCTCAAGGAATCCTCCTGCTTCAGCCTCCTGAGTAGCTGGGACTACATGTGCACCACCATGCCCAGCTAATTAATTTTTCTTTTTTTGTAGTGATGGGTCTCACTATTTTGCCCAGGCTGGTCCTGAATTCCTGGGCTCAAGTGATCCTCCCTCCTTGGCCTCCCAAACTGTTGGGATTACAGGCCGTGAGCCACTGTACCAGAACTTTACATAGCTGTTTTTTGAGAGGAGAGGATGGCATGGCAGGGTAAGTGCAGGATAGGTGGGAGAAGTTAAGGTGCCACCGAACCAAATCTGTGGCAGTCCCTAACCCCAGAACCAGGAATCTGGGGGCCCCTACGAGGCTGAAGAGGGCTGGAAAACCAAGAAGTTCTTTCAGTTCCTGGGACATGCCGCAGCCTCTCATACCTCCAGGCCTTGGCAGATGCTGTTGCCTGCTGGAAACCTCTCCCCGCCTCCTGACCTGATTAATCCTTCTTCGTCTTTTACCTCTCGGCCTCGTGGGTCCCCCTTCAGTGCCCCAGGTCCTATCTGCTTCCCTCATCATAGTACCCAGCACCTGCTCTGTCCCTGGGGATGGCTTATTTCTCTCCCATGGGGCTGTGCACCCCAAGGGTGAGCCTAAGTGCCATTCACTCATCTATCTCCAGTGCCTGGGTCCCTATGCCCAGTCAACATTTGTTGAATAAATGATGAACAAGCCATGAGGGATTTTGCATTTGGCCAGGAAGTTGTGCAGGTGGAAAGTGTGTGTAAATGTGTGTATGTGTGTGTGGTGGGGAGGTGGAGGCAGGGTGGGGAATGTGAGAATTTGGATCAGAGCCTTAGAGACATTGGAGGGGAAGGAGGGACATGTGGGGGAAACTGAGGGATTCAGTCTATGTCCCTTCCCCCCAGCCTGAAGTTCTGCATGGATCCTTCCATAAGGTTGGCCTTCAACTCAGGGTAGCTTTTGGGAAATCAGCCTCCCTCTCTCCTGCCCTCCCTTCCTTAATTAATTAATGGAGCACCTTCTATGTCACAATGGTAAACCAAAAATCAAACGGCCTCCCTTCCCTCATGGATAAATCACAGAACTATACATGAAATCACAGAGTGGTCAGCGTGGAGGAGAGACCAGAGAGCTCTGTGAGTGTGATGGGGTTTGCCCTAGTCCGGGGAAGTGGGGAGAGTGATGGTGTCATGGGGTCCCTGAGGAACTTGACCCCCTTCTAATCTCTCTGACCTTCCCAGCCACCCCTGGTAATCCTACAGGCTTGGCAAAACCTGTAGGCCTGGTAATGCACATGCGGTTCTGAGACAAGCTTGCCCTGTTCTTGTCCACTTATCTAAGCCCCTCACCCCATATAGATATTTGAGATCCACTCAGGGAAGGCTTCGTGGAAGAAGTCTCGGCTGAGCCGGTATCTTTTTTCCTTTCTTTCTCCTTTGATTCCTTCTCCCTCCTAAGCTGGGCTTCCAGCCATAAGACAGGATGGGGAAAGTTTTAGTCTTGGAAGAGGCGGTTCCAGGGCTGTGAGGGATGACGCTGTGGAATGACGGAGCAGCACTCCTCCTGGGGAGACCCAGCCAGCACCTGGGCACATGGCTCCACTGGTAGAGGGTGGGCCGGATGTCCCACTAACCCGTTCTCTTGTTGCCTTTGTGCAGTGCCCAACCTGTACACCTGTTTGAAGCAGCCCTGGGCATTCAAACCTTGAACCCAGCTTGGGGAAGGCCAAGGACAGATGGAAATAAAAGCCCCATTAGGAGGCCTTGGAGAGCAGGAAAACTGTGCCCTTTCCTGCCTCCAAAGGTCACTCTGCCTGTCTTCAAATGCCCTTTTTGGCTGCAGCCAGTCTAGTCCCCACTCCTCCTCTACACTCACCTTCTGCCCCTGGACTTCCCCAGGGGAGAAATGTCAACTCTAACTTTTTCAGGAGTTTCAGCCCAGGCCATTCTGAAGGTGGGAGTGAAGGAGGTGGCGGCATGGTTCCCAGGGAAGGGGAGGACAGTATATTTACCAGTTTGCTGAGGCTGGGGAGGAAATCATTCAGGGACTTTCAAATCTAGCGGGTAAATAGATAGAGTAAAAGGGGAGCCCGGAACTAAATGACAAATTTTAGCGCTTGGGAAACCATGCTCACAACCCCAGCATACGTGTTTGCGCCTGACCAGAGCCCTCAGGAATGTGGCCTCCCATGCACAGATGTCACCTTGGCTGGCACTAAGGACTGGGGCCAGCTTTCTGGGGTTGTGACCTGTGCAGCTGCACAGGGCTCTGAGCTCAGAAGGGCCCTGTGCTTGGTTTAATGCTCTGCTGTTGCTGTCTTGAGATTCTTAATGATTTTTGAACAAGGGACCCCACATTTTCATTTTGCACTGAGACTTGCTATGGACAAAGTGACAAGCTCATTTTTACCATGGTTGGGGAGGGCACTGGGAATCATTTAATGCAAACCTCTCTGTTCCCAGATGGGGACACTGAGACCCAAGGGCAAGCATGCATCCAGGCACTTCAAGAACTTTCTCATTTAGTTCTCACACTGATAATACTAAAGTGGGTGCTATTTTTATCCCCATTTTAGGGATGAGGAAAGCAAAGCTTAAACATCACCCAGAGAGTGAGTGCTAGAGGCTCCACTTGGCCCCAGGCCTCTTCTCCCTGAGTCTGGATGCTTTCCAAACATCTGCATAACGGGGGTTGCAGGGTGGTGGGGAGAACTTGAGCTCAGGATGCAATGTGCCTGGCCTGCCCAAGAGAGTGCTGCCTGGCTAGGCACAGCTCAGTGCAACACTAGCCCTGCCACTTCCTTACTGGTGACCTCTGAGCCTCAGTGTCTTGACCTGTGAAATGGGCATGAGAATATTAGCCCTTTCATGGGGCATTTGTGAGAATTACATGCCTAGCTCAGTGTCAGGTGGGGGAGAGGTCTTGGGAATTGCACTGAGGCCCAGGCAAGTAATGACTGGAATTGGCATGAAGGGCAGAGCAGCTTTGAGTGGTTCCCACCCAAGAAGTGGGTACAGCAGCCTCTACTTTGCTGGGCTGTGGATGTGCTGGAGGGACAGCATGAAAAAGCATTTAGGGCTGGGCTCACACCTGTAATCCCAGCACTTTGGGAGGCTGAGGTGGGTGGATCACTTGAGGTCAGGAGTTCGAGACCAGCCTGGCCAACATGACAAAACCCCATCTCTACTAAAAATACAAAAAAATTAGCTGGGCGTGGTGATGCACACCTGTAATCTTAGTTACTTGGGAGACTGAGGCAGGAGAATCACTTTAATCTGGGAGGTGGGGGTTGTTGTGAGCTGAGATTGTGCCACTGCACACCAACCTGGGTGACAGGGCGAGACTCTGTACTACCCCTATGCCCCCCCCAAAAGAAAGCATTTAGCATAGTGGCTGCTGGTGGGGTTGGAGCTCGACAATTGACATTCCCCTTCTTCCTTTCCGTCATCTTCCCTCACACCTTGGGATGGAATATCTGTCAGTGCAATTGGAATTCAATTCACATGCTGTCAGAAACTTACAAGAGCAGGTGGGGCAAGCCCTGCGGCTGGAATGCAGAGAAGTGTTGGCGGTGGATAGAAATCAGGAGGGCAATACAGGCAGGCAAATGGAGTGAGAAAAGGTGGAGAGGCTGGAATGATCCCAGAGACCAGGGCCCAGTGGGGAGGCTGCTGGGCAGGAGGGGGGCTCTGCCTTTGTTGGGGGGGATATTTTTTCCTCACCCCCATGAGCTCCTGACACATTTCTCCTCTTGTCCTTGAGCCTCCCACTCTGGGCACAGGAGTCCTTTGGGAACCCAGCTGTGGAGTCCCAATGGCACCCAGAAGTGAGGTGCAAGGCCCCTTTCTCCTCAGAGAAGCCGTCTGAGGCGGTGGGCAGAGTCAGGGTGATGGGATGGCATGCTGTGAGCGCCTCCTGATGAGGTCCTCACACGTCACTGAGCTGGGCGCAATGAGCTGGAATCCTCTGCTGGGCTTGGCGGCCCTGAGCACCAGGCAGGCCCATCCATCATCGGCAGGGAAAATTGTTCAGGGAGCCAGCAGGGCCCAGCCAGATGTGTACCTTCTGGGCTCTGATAGAATGAACACACCCTTTCAGGCCATTCATCAAATTTAGCCATAGTGCTTCTATTTTTTTCCCCTTTTGTTTCAGTCAAGGCAACTTTCTCTTAATGAAGGTGAATGCAAAGCGATGAGTGTCTTGGTAAACAACAGGGTCAGAGGACAGGACTCTTTCAGGGCCACAAAAAACCTGGGTGGTGTTGGGTTTGGAGAAATGTTTTACAGAACGAAAGCCAAGTGTCCAAACCTCCAGGGGGCTATGCTGCCGCCTCCTGCCCTGCAGAAGCTCCACCTGCAGCCTCTAGAGCAGCAGCAACAGGACCACGTGCCATTCCCTGAGCACCCACTGAGTGCTGGGCACCTCGCCCCAGCCTGCTGTGGAAGGTAAATCATCATGCTGCTTGACAGCTGAGGAAACTGAGGCTCAGAGGGGTTAAATGAGATGCCCCGACAGGGGCTCCAGGTGGGATGTGAGCACTGTTGTGTTTCCACCTTCAGAAGCGCCGGCAGTGGGGTTTGCTGTTTGAGAGGCCAGGCTCTTAGGGCAGCCTGGGTCAAATGTTAACTCCACCCTTACTAGCTGGGTGACCCTGAGCCTCTTGCTTAACCTCTCCACGTCTCTGGATTTCTGGGTGATAAAACTCTCCATGTCCAAGAGCTGTTTGAAGACTAAATGAGCGAATTGGTGCAGAAGCGGCAGTGCATGCGAGCTGTGCTCAGGAACATTTTCCATTTAGCAGCCCCTTTAAGGGTGGCATTACGGTCACAGCCTGGGGAGCTGGACTTGTGCAGGGCAGCCTCTGGAAGCTTGTGGTTGTGTCCTCTATCCTGGGCGAGGGCACTGGCCACTGCTGATTGGGGTGGAGGACGGCGTGCCCACACTCTGTTGGTGTCTATGAACTGGCTGGTGTCTGAGGCCCATGGAAGGTGCTTTTCTTGAACCCACTGCTGCCGCAGGACCTGTGGCCTTGCTGTGTAATGCAAGGGCTTAAAACGTGGCTCCCATCCAGACATCTGGGTTGAACTCACCTCTCTGGCATCAATGCATGCCCAGTGGGTCAAATGTTGAAGTTTCTGGAATGTTCCAAACAGTGTTAGAGGGATTGCTTCTGTGTGTTAAAATATCTTCTTGCAAAAACCCTGATAGAGGCCAGGGTACCCACCTTGGTGCCCTTGATAGGGGCAGATTTAAAAAAATGCCAAGTCCAAGGGAAGTTCAGGCCCTGCCTAAGAAGAACAGAAACAACAATGTCTGTGTTTTGACTCCTGGCCCAGTGGTCTATCTGTCACACCCTCGACCCTTTCAGTGTTCTTCCATTCTCTCTGCCCACCCCACAGCTGGAGAGAACGCTGTCTCTCCTCCTGGGGGGCCATTACAATGAAATGTCCAGCACTCTCCCTTCCATTGAGTAACAGCCATGCCATTGGGAGACAGATCTGTGGCTCCAAGGGTGGGCTCTGGTTGGCCTTAACCAACCACGTGATCCCTTCCATCCCCTGCCAGTGTGGGTTTAGGATTCTAGGCAAAGCCTATGCCCCTGACATTCCCCAGGGGACAAAGGTGAGTTCACCTAAAAGCAAAGTCCAGACCTTGCCTAAGAGGAATAGAAGCAACAACGCTGTGTTTTGACTCCTGGCCCAGGGGTCATGTGCCCAGTCACCTCTGCTTCAACTTTCACACATACTACCAACTATTTTTTGCCTGCCTATTAGTCTCTGCAACTGACAGGGACGGCCTCAAGGGCAGGGGCTGTGTCTCCTCACCCTTGGCTCCAGCTCCACATAGGCCCTGGCATAGGGCAGCAGGTGCCTGCCTGATCAACAGCCTTCTGTGGGAGGTTGGGGTGGGGCTGAGGAAGATGCTGTGGACAGAGCTATGGACCAGGAAGGGTGGGATGGGCTGGGTTGTTTGGAGTCAAGCAGAATGGGGTCAAAATCCTACCCAATAAAAATGAGAAATAAAAATAAAACTTTAAACAAACCCCACCCCTCCACTCTGGCAAGTGACTGAACGGACCCCCTCTTGGCCAAGGAGACCCCAGAGAAATCTTGAAAACCGGGTTTCTGGCCATGACGGGATGGGAGGTCGCACGTGCCCCGTAGTGTGCCATCCCTTGATAACCTCCGTTATCCTAATTCCCTAAGAGCTAAACAGAAACAGGCCTTTTCAAAAGACTCCATGCTGATTTCAACCAACTGCCCCTCCCTTTTGTGGTTTTAACACAAAAACCAACCAGCATTCTTTCTTGATAAGAGATCACCAATCATGGAGCGGTTCTAGCCAGTCTGCAGAGGATGCACAGTGAGGGTTTTCGTGCTCCCTGCTTCACCTTTGACATCAGAGGGCTGAAAACTCCACCCTCAGATCACACTAAGGCCAACATTTTTTTGTACCTGGGGCCTGTAAGAGGCATGAAGCTCAACTGTGCATGTAGATGTTTCTCCTTTCATAAATATTCATGACCCCTCCCACAGCTTATTGAATATGTATATTTGGCCATGCTGCTCAGCATAAATTTCTACTCCCTTTGCCTCTTCCTCAAAGTGTCAGTTTCTGGATTCTGGCCAGAGGCCATGCTTCCCAGCCTCTCGGAATGGCCACCCTGCAGGCTGCAACCCTTTATGAGAAATAAAGCTCCTCTTTCCAAATTAACAACAATAGCAGTACCCTGCTCTTTCCCCCACTAGCTGCATGACCCTGGCTAAGAAATTACTTCTTCCTTGAGTTTCTCAACCTTGATGGAACAGGTCATCACTGGTTGTCTGAGGATCAGAGTCCCATGTTTATCGGGGAGCCTCTGGGCTTGGGGTAGCACACTGAGCACTTCACAGGCATCATCTTGTTGAACTTCCCACGAAGCAGGTACCAGCCCCCCTTTATAAACAAGAACCTGAGGTCCAGAGGGGTTCAGGTCATCGCCACGGTAGGTGGGTGGTGGATCTGGGACACGGCAGCCTGTCTATGCCACTGGGATGGCAGTACCGGGTCGTTGTGGTTGGAGAGCAGTGAGCACGTAGGACAATCCCGAGAGCTGGTGAGTAAATGCAGGCCCCTCTTTGCCCCTAAGAGGCTGATCCAGGAGGTCTGATGGGCCATGAGAAAGTGACTGTTTCACAAGCTCCCTCCTACTCCCCACCCCAGGATGCTGACGCAGGGGTCCGCAGAGCACATTTCCAGAAACAGTTCTCAGGCAATGCTGTCTACAAACCCCCAGCTGAGAGCTCAGGCTTAGAAGGTGAGGGATAATAACATGAATAGAATTCTAATAATAATGGAGCAAAGCCTCTACACAGTGCCAGGCAGTGTTCCAAACACTTTCACTCATTTAATTTTCACAATGATTTTCCAAGGTAGTGATTATTATTGGCCCTATTTTACAGGTGAGGAAATAAGGTACAGAAAGCTTAAATAACTTGCCTATTGCCCTACAACTGGTAACAGCTGGTTAGCTAACTTTATAATAATAATTTTAAGATCTTTCCCCTGTATCCACCTGCATCAGACACTCTCCTGGGGTATGGGGAAGGGGTACCCAGGGAGCTTTTATTCAGGGAAGTAGAGATGTGTGTGGTTAAGACCAGGGAGCCAGAGAGATTTGGCTGCCCCCGAGTCTGTCCTAGAGATGGAGAGATAGGACACTGGTTCTTCCCTGAGCCCTTGCCTGCTTTCTAGATGCAAGTCTTGGCTGTGAGTTCCAGGGGGAGGGCTGGTGGGCACTGCCGGCTGAAGCTGCAGGGTAGGTGGGTCGGGGCTCCCACTTGCTAGGTCCAGTCTCCCTTCCCATGACCAGGGCCCCAACAGGACACTTAGAGGTTCCTACCTTCTTCCCCTGGGCTGCTCCCATGGCACGAAGTGGGCACCAGGCCTGGGTGGGCTGCAGGGGCCAGGCTGGGGTCCTCCCTGCTGGCGTTGATCTCAGGAGCCAGGACCCAAGGGGCTCCCGGGGCGAGGGCCCCCTGTCCTCTTGCGGCTCATTCTCCCAGGCACAAAGGCGGCTTTCACAGCTGCTCCTAAGCCCGGAGCGCCTCAGACAGGCTTAGGGCGATTGATCCTGACAGAGGGGCCAGTGTCCCCAGGCGGCTTCTATGCCCTTCTTGGGTCCCTGCAGCTCCTCACCTCCCAGAACCCTGCCTCTCTCAGGAAGGGAAACTGAGGCAGCTGGGAAATGAGGGAAGACGTGGGGCAGTCCTCTCATCACACACCGGTAGCTCAGGCGCGGCGGGTGACCTCTGCCTGGCCCAGCGGGCAGGACTTGGCCTTCTCACCTTGCTGGGCACCACTCAGCCGACAGGGCCAGACGGTGGAGGCCGTGGGCTGGCTGAGGTGCAGAGCTCTGGGAGGGCTGCGTGCGGATGTCAGCTTCAGCTGGACAGCCCCATTAATAATAGACCTTTGAAGATGCTTGGGGTCCGGGGCTCTCCCACAGCAGATACTCTGAGAGCAGACTCCTTCATTCAACTGGGCAGCAGGCTGCCTGGAAGGGCTGGAGGGCTGCTGGTCTGGGCCCAGGCCAAGAAAATATCTGAAGGCCAGATTCCAGGCCTGGGGCCAAGTTCTCAAAGTGCCCCCGGCAGTCACTCTCCTCCTCATTTGCCAGCCCTGTCCTTCTCCGTGATGCCAGCTTGTGGCAGAGGTTAAGGCTAAAGAGACCTTGGGCTTGAACTGTAGCTCTGTCCCTGATAGTTGTGTGGCCTTGGGGGCACGATGTTGTGTGTGTGTGTGTGTGTGTGTGTGTGTGTGTTTGTGAAGCACTCATACTGCAGAGCTAAATGGGGTAAGGTGTGTGTGTACAGCTGAAGCCATCGTTTTGCGAAAGCATAAATCAGAGCATGTTGCTCTGTTTTATCTGTCACTTCACCAAAGGTGGGGTAAGAGTTGCCCCCACTGCATGGGGCTGTGGGGATGTGCAGAGCATCTGGTGAACAACAATTCCTCAGAGAAGTTAGGTGCCACTGCTATCATGCTGCTAATAACACAAATGATATCCACTGCCCAGTGGAAAGTCCCGAATAACCAGTTCACTAAGCACAACACCGTTTCCCAAGAGGTGGGGGGGTTGGGGAGACCTTGCCACCCTTTCCTTTCCTCTAGCACGATGCCTGGCACACAGTAGGTGCCTGCAACACATACACAGATGACTTACGGAATGGCAGCTGGTGGAGGGTCAAGAATTAGGCATTCTAGATCCAGCCTTGCCAACAGAACCAAACACCCCATGGTCTGCAAGGTCTGATTGACTGTCTTGCTAGGACCTCATTTCCCTCTCCTCCCTCTCCCTGGTAGTTTCTGGGTCACAGCACCTTTCCCCCCTTCTCAGGGCCTTTGCACTTGCTATTCTCTCTGCGTGGAATGTTCTCTCCCCCACTTCCCCTCCACTGCCCATATTTTGATCTTTGCCTGATTCTATCCTTTTTGTCCTTCAGGCTCCTCAGAGAAGCTTTCTCTGTTGCCTTGTGCAAAGCAGTTCCCAGGCTCTCTGTTTATTACTTTGTTGTAGCACTCATCAGCAACTGAAATGATATGACTTCGGTGTTTATTGTCCGTCTCCTCTGCCATTCCTCTGGAATGGCAGTTCCACAAAGACCAGGGCCTGGTCTGTCCTGCTCCTCAGTTTACCCCGAGTCTAGAGCAATATTAGTGGAAGAATCCATGATGGAGGATTAAATGAAATAGTCTAAGTAGGTCGAGTGCTTAACACAGTCCTGACTCATCGAAAGTGCTCGCTTCATGGCACTGCTTAATACTGTTGTTATTGTTACTGTATTTCCTCCGATACCCATGACCCTTCCAGCCAAGCAAACATGTAGCTTCTTCCTTCCGCCCCTTCCCTTGGGTTCAGCCTCTGCCTTCCTCGGCTGCTCCCCACTCCTTTTCTCCCTGTTCCAGTCGTGGCCTGATTACAGTTTCGGATTTCCTGCAGAAAGGAGAGAGTCCACAAAATTGTAAAGGGAAATGACTAAATTGGCCTTCAGATGGAGCAGTAAAAATGCTGTAAGTCAACACGGAAGATCAAACTCCTTTGGCAACCATCCCATAATTATCCACCAGCTTGACTCTTGGTGGGGTGGGAGGAAAGAAAATGATTCTTACGCATTTATTAATGTTTTCCATCTGTTTGGAGCCCTGCCGAAATGTGGCTTAGTGCTGCAGTGAAAGCCTGGTTGACAGAGCCTGTGATTGGGCTCTGAAGTCCAGGCCCTGGCAGGATGATGGCCCAAAATGCAACATTCAGGCCACATGGCATGGGCAGGAGGAATGGGGGTGGAGGCCCCAGAGCCCAGCACTATGCCTGGCGCAGAGGATGTACTTGGAATACGTGAACAGATGATTTATGAGGTGACAGCTGGTGGTGGAGGACCAAGGAGCAGGTGTTCTAGATCCATCTTTGCCCTGTCTCACTCTGTGGCTGGGCACATCCCTTAGACTCTCTTTCTCCATCTAAAACATGAGAGTAAACATGTGTTCCTTCTTGACCCACAACCTTATAGAAGGAAGTAAGGCTTACGAAGTGTGAGGGGGGCTTTGGGTTTTAAAAAGAGGAGTTCTAAATCCCTTGAACCCAGTTCCTCTCCATCTCTTCCAAAGCAATGAAGGCAGGTGTTGAGAATGCTAACTCTGAGGTTCTGTGCAATCTTCAAAAGTCTTCAGAGGCATTCAGGAGCAGGGCAGGAGGGGGAGGAGAAAAAGGGGAAGTGGGGAAGAGAGGAGGAGAAGGAGGATGGGAGAAACTCTGTTTACCTGAGAGTAGGTTTAGGGCAAACATATCTGTTTCGTGTAATGTTGGGGACAGACTGGAATTCCAGCCCTTATTCTGAGACTCCTTATCTATGTGACTTTGGACAAGTCACTTGACCTCTCTGAGCCTCATCTTCCTTCTGTGTAAAACAGGATGACAATGGTTCCCACCCCGTGGACGAGGGGGCTATGAGGATGAAATGAGGTAATTCATGTAAAGCTCTGAGCAGAACGTCTGGAGAACTGCAATTCTCTGTAGAAGTGAGGTGCTGCAATTGTTACACTATCAGCAAGGCCGAAGATAAGTCCAGTGCCCATTGGGAAGTCCCAGATAATGAGTTCATTAGGCGCAACAGCCTTTCCCGAATTGGGTGTGTGGGGAGACCTTGCCACCCTTCCCTTTCTAGCTTGTGCCGCCACCTACTGGTGAAGACAAGAATTACAGCTTCTGGAAAGCTCTCTCCACGACCCCACCCCTCACAGCCCCATCCTCACTCCTGGGATGGGTGGGAGGCACATTGGCAGGGAGTGGGGAGGCAAATCCAAGCCCCCAGTTCTGAGGCCACGATTAGCTTGCAGAGATTCCTGAAGGCTTGTCGACCCCAGTGAGAAAATGTGTCCCAAGTCTTATCCATTTCACTTTCTGATGATCCCTGGGACAGGCCCCTGGTCCGGGCCACCACCCTCTATTCCTGGATGATATGGCAGCCTCCTCACTGGCCTCCCTTCCTCCACTCCTTCCCACAGCAGCAAGGAATTTTCAAAACATGCAGCTCTGGTCACCTTGCCCCCAGCTTAAATCTCCCAGTGTGTCCCCTGCCCTGGGACAAAGTCCAAGCCCTCTGCCCAGCTCACAAGGCCCCTCGGGCTCTGACCTCCCACTCAGCCCTGTTACCCATCCTCTGCCCCTTCCAGGCCTTGTTCATGCTGTTCCCTGGCCTGACATGCCCTTCCCTCCCTTCTTTGCCTGGTGAGCTCCTACACACTCCTGAGGGCTCAGCATGGGTGCTGCTTTCTCCAGGATGCCTTCCTGGATCCCCCAAGGCTGGGGCAGCGGTCCTGCAGTCTTTCCCCTTGCCAAGCCATGTCGCCTCTGGATTTGTATCCCCTGCTAGACTGAGTGGGAACGGTGCTGGGTTTTCTTCACTGCAGCATCCCCAAGCCTGCCGGACTCTTGATGCATATCAGGTTTGCTGAGTGATGAAAATCTTGGCGATAAAGACCCAACTCTTTACAGCTTGAGCTGACCTGGGGGTCCCTATAGTGGCCACAATGTCCTGAAAATGACGTTGAGAGTCTGACAGGTGTTTGCCACTTTTGTAACACCCACCCAAGAGGGGCCTAGTGTGGCTGGCTCGAGAATGCAGTCTCCTTGATGGGTTATGGGGGTACAATGATGGCTACTTGGGCTTATCTTCTGACTTATTCTGGGCATCTGAGGAAGGAGTGGGAAGCTGGAGTGGGGCATGATCCCTAATCTTTGCCTTGTGTTCCCTGGTGTGGAACAGCACGTTGCCTCTTCCATGGGCTCCACATGGCAGTGGCAAGTGCAGCTCCCCCACTCTGAGCTCTTTCTCCTTGAGAACTGATCCCTTTTATGACAACAATTCCTGCAGACCTGGAGGTCTTATCTCCCAGCCCAGGCTCAGGCTCAGTCCCATCCAGCTGGCCATGCCCACCACCTCTCTTAGGATGGGTACCCCAGGATCCCACTTCGGGATAGGGATTGTCGTGTAGGTGATTTGTTAAGGACTGGCCCCTGGGGACACTGGTAAGGGAGTGGAGGAGCAGGATGGGAAAGGGGAAAGAGGTAAGCAAAGGGACACTTTCAGGCAAAGTCCCAGTTCCCGCCTGATCCCTCTGGGAATCCTGGAGTGTAAATTGCACCTCGTGGTCGTCATCATGCCCCAAAATAAAGAGCTGGCCTTTCACGTTCCCATACCTGCCAGTCATTAGCTAAGGACCATCCTGGGGTGGTGTACACACCCCCAGCTTCCTGGTCTGTCTTCTTTGCACTTGTGCTCAAAGAATGTATGAGTAGCCCAAGGGCAATTCTCCAAAGAAGAGTTCAGACTGACCATTAGTAACAAAATCTGGGAAAGGGCACCTGGGACGCTTCCCTGAATTCTCTGATTGAGCCAGTTGACATGTTCTCAGTCTTCTTTGAAGTGTTGTGCAGTGCAGTTTCTGGAAAAGTCCATGTGTCTTCTCTTCAATGAGGCAGCTACCCCATGTCTTAAAATAGTGGCCACTGCCAAGAGCCCTCTGCCTAGCCCTGGTCCCTGCTCATGAGCTCATTTTAGAGGTCTTTATATGTTCTTTAAAAATTTTACAAGGTACTCCTGCTTGTTGTAAAGTGAAATTTCCGAGCTCTCAAAGGTGTTTATGGTCATCATGAAAATTTCATGCCACCTTCATTCCCAGAGCAGGTTTCTGGGCAGATGTTTTTCCAGGTAGTCTACTGATGTGGTTGGAAGTGGTTATTCAGGCCTGCCAGCATGCTCCCGCTTTCATCCGTGAGGGTGAGCTGGGGTGGGTTGGGCAGGGAGTGACAGAATTGACAGGATGTCTGGATGGGCACCTTCTGACTTCCTCAGCCAACCCTGAGCACGGCTCCCCGCCGGCTCTTTGAATTTTTTTTTTTTTTTTTTAGATGGAGTCTCGCTCTGTCACCCAGGCTGGAGTGCAGTGGTGCAATCTCGGCTCACTGCAATCCCCGCCTCCCAGGTTCAAGCGATTCTCCTGCCTCAGCCTCCCAAGTAGCTGGGATTACAGGTCAGTGCCACCATACCTGGCTAACTTTTATATGTCGGCCAGGCTGGTCTTAAACTCCTTGCCTCAGTTGATCCGCCCACCTCGGCCTCCCAAAGTGCTGGGGTTATAGGCGTGAGCCACCGCACCTGGCCTGGACCTTGATTTTGATATCACTGCAATTGTAGCCCGTGTCCCACCTGCCGTGGCCCCTGGTGGAAGGTTCACACACACTATTGTCTCTACCCCAGGCTATCTTGGCACATTTGAAGTGCTCCCTGGCCCCAGGACTTGGGAGCTGTGAGTCTCAGACCACTGGTGGGCATCTGTGCTTGGGCAGAGGGTTTCTTCTCCATGAGGTGTAGTGTCCCCAGCACATGCTCCAGGAGGCTGAGTAGCAATGCTTTCTGCCCCCACGACCTCCTTTCAAGACTTAGTCTAGAGCCTGGGAACTGGGCCCTTCTCAGAAACCTCAGGCAGGTCTTGACACCGTATCCTTGGGCCTTCCCATTTCAATGTGCTCCTGCCATTGCAGCTGGCATTGCCATCTCTTGGCTGGGGGCTTGCTGTGAAGCCACAGAGGGCCACTCTTCCCTAGGCAGGGCAGACAAGAAGCACCTAGGAATTCATATCATCCCCAACACCAGAAGCCCTCAACAAACCACTAGTGGGAGTCGGTGTGTAAATACCCCAGCTCCCTCACTCCCGGGTGGAGTATCTCCAAGGTGCATGTTCTACCCCGATTCCTAGAGCTTCGGGTGGGAGTCAGCTCCAGTCCCCACAGGGGTAGCTGGGTTGAAACCATACCCTTCACTGGCTGCCTTCCCCTCCTTCCCTTTGCCATCTCACTTCCCTACTTCTCTATTGGTGTTTCCCACAATCACCTCCCAAATATACTGGCTGCCCTTGAGTCCTTGTCTCAGGGTCCGCTCCTGGGGCGGAGACAGCCCGGCTGCCTTCCCTGAAGCCTGCAGCACAGCCTGGCGGCTCCTTCCAGCCAGGTTCAGATGTGCCCCTCCTCTCCCACTCCTGCTCTGGACTTGCTCCAGCTCTCCTTCAGACAGAGGGTGATGACAGTATTTCTTGCATCCTGTCCCTAGCTCCCTCTGTTCCTGTCCATCCCACATGTTATGCAGGAACTGAGGATTCTCTCAGGCCCATGGGAAATCCTAGAAACACAGCTCCCTCCCAGCTGCCTAAGGGGGAGCCTGAAGCTGTCACAGACCTGTCTGAACCCATGGCCCATGCTGAGTCTGGAGCAGTTCAATCCCAGGGAGAAACGTGGCCACTGGAGTGGTCAGAAAGCTCATTCAAAACCAGCAAAAATAAAATTTAATTGGGCTCAAGTCTGGGCAGTTTGTCCTTCCTCAGGACCAGCCGTCAGCAGTCCCTGACGAAAGCACCCCATTCTCTCCACAGACAGCTGGTTCCAGAAGGACCCTCTGAGGCTGGTCTTCCGGGTAGGATGTGCTGTGGGAGGGTTCTGTTTCCGAGGAGGAGAGGCGCGACACAGCGTGCAAGGACCTGCAGCACCTTCCACGCAGCACCCCCTGCTCCTCCTCCTCAGCCCCTGCCGGGCTCTGACTCCTAAGTCAGGCAGGAGCTTCTTCAGGCCCCTGGCTGAGGAAGAGCCACAGCCACCCTAAAATGGCTTCGGGGGCATGCAGCCCTCCATCTCCAGCAGCTCTGGCCATCCCTCGTATTTGTTTGTGTCTGGGCTGTTCTTTAAGAACTAGAGAGAGAGAAGACAGAGAAATATAGGCAGTGAGTGAGGCTGTTCAGAACTCATGCCCACATGGACACTGTGCTCTAAACCTAAATGGGGGTGTGGGATGTTATTAACCCACTTCACAGATGGGGAAACTGAGGCTCAGAGAGGGGATGCAACTTGCTCAAGATCTCAGAGATGGGATCAGAGCCCAGTTAACTGCTCTCACGCCCTGAAGGGTAACCAGTTGTTGGAGAGATCTGGCCCCTCCCCACAAATTCTCTGTGTCCCTCTAGGATACCTCAAATAACAATAATGATAGCAACAATAAAAAGAAGACTCCGACCATGTCTTGAGCGCTTGCTGTATGCCACGTGGTGTTCTGCAGGGCCTTATGTATTTAATCTGCACAGTGGCCCTAGGGAGTGTGCACTGTTTACATCCCATTCTACAGATGGGGAAGCTGAGGCACAGAGGGTCACTGCCCGTAGTCACTGGCTGGTAAGTGGCAGAACCACCACATAATATTAATTAATACTAATAATAAGGGGTGGGGTGCAGTGGCTCACACCTATCATCCCAGCACTTTGGGAGGGTAAGGAAGGAGGGTCACTTGAGGCCAGGAGTTCAAGACCAGCCTGGGCAACATGGGAGACCCTGTCTCTAGAAAACATAAAAAAATTAGCTGGATGTGGTGGCACATGCCTGTGGTCCCAGCTACTCAGGAGGCAGAGGCGGGAGGATCGCTTGAGCCCAGGAGGTCGAGGCTGCAGTGAGCCGAGATTGTGCCACTGCACTCCAGCCTAGGTGACAGAGCGAGACCCTATCTCTAAAATATATATATACTAGTAATAAGTATGTAAGAAGAATAAAATCACTTAGGATTGTGTCTAAAATGCTCAGGTTTGGATTATGAAAGAAAAAAACGTAAATGGCAAAATCTGCTGTTGGAATCATTGTGGCTGACTCTCAGGAATTAAAAAAGAGATTCTAGATGCTACCTGCCTAAAACCCAGTTTCCCAAGTGTGAGGACTAAGAACAGACCGGCTTAGTCCCATTAGGGTGCTTGGTTCATTTTTGTGTGTCGGTCCCGGCCAGCTGGTTGCAGATGGATGAAGATGATGCTGGGCTTCCTGTACTCCCACGCCTCCTCTGTCTTGCCGGTTCCCCTGGGTCTGGAGCCCACGCTTTGGGGCAGGAAAGCACCACCTGCCCATGCAGCCTCAGACCTCTTGCCTCTTGCTAGGGCCCTGCTGCAGCACCCCCACAGGACATTCGGGAACCACACCCGGCCGCCCCCGCCCACCGGCCTCCTGCGTTCTTCACTGCGTTCAAGTAATTTCTAGTTACCCAAATACATCCTCTTAGAAACACACGCATACAGACCAAGACCACATTTTCTAGCTTAGGAAAGAAATCCTCCCATCCCAGTCCTGGTGCCCTTCCTAGAGCTCAGCACACGGTTCCCTGCACCTGCCCCCTCCAGCACCTCTTGTCTGATGATGGCATCGGCCTCCTCCCTGCCTTCTGACTTCCCTCCTCGTTTTCTCCATGCCTCGCCAGGGAGGCTGAAGGGATGGGGACAGGCATCCTGCTCCTTTCCCCGGGATCCCCTTCCCCGCCACACAGCTCCATGTCTCCATTTCTTTCTCGTTCCTTCATGCCTCACTTGCCCATCATCCTTCTTTTCTCCTTTTCCCTCTTCCTTTTCTGATAATTATCTGTATACCTGCGTATCTATATATGACCCAGCTTTTGCGAAATGGCCAAGGCAGCTTCCTGGCCAATCAGACCACCCTGGCCTTTGGAGTGAATGACAGCCAGGGGCCTCTCCCCAGACAATCCTCCCAATTTTAAGGCCCCTGGGAGGTGAATGGGTGACTCCTTCCTACCACCACCCAGCTCCTCATGCATCCTTCATAGGGCCGGGTTGTGGCCCAGAACCCACCTGCTCAAAGGGGCTTTTACCCCTGAGGTCTTTGGCTCCTATGAAGACCCAGCTGTCCCGGAAGCCCAGTTGTTTTGCGTAGGAACTCCCCAAGTCAGAGAAGAGTTTCCTGCTTTCATCGTTCATTCTGCAGAGGACCAGAGAGGATGGTCAGGATGCGGGGGTGGGTCGCAGGGGCATCAGGTGGTGGGATTCCCATGGGGCAAGGTTCCCACTCTTCTCCCCATTCAGCATCTGCCCTGGGGGTGTCCAGAGAACGTGGCTGCACTCAGGAAGGACAGGGTAAAGGGCTTCAAGACTTCCTCTCTAAAAGGGCTTCAGATGGGGCTGGAGATGTGTTAAAACAGTACTGCTCTATTTACAAATACAATACACATTCATTTGGAAAATATGGAAGATCACAAAGAAGTAACTAAGAAATACAGTCTCACCCCTCCTCCCCTTAGTGTGATCAGTGTATGTATTTCCATACAGTGTTTTTTTTTCCCCTCACTTAGCACTAGAGGGTGAGCGATTTTCCACGTCCTTAAATACTTTCCGCACCATCATTTTTGATGCAGTCTATCTTCATTTGTGTATATATCATATCCTATGTCACCGTATGTCATAGTTTCTGTAGCCAGTCAGCTGTTATTATTGGACAGGGAGAGGGTTTCCAGTTTTTCACTGTGGTAATGAAGGCTGTGATGAACCTCCTAGAACATTTCTTTGCATACTTGTCTGATAATTTCCTCGAGATAAGTTGCCAGAAAATGGATCTGGCAAAAGAGCAGAAAAGGGTGTGCAGGGTTTGAAGGTATTCAGTTTGCATCACTGTGTGGCCTGGCAGGTAGAGTTTTCTACTTACTTGGTCCCTGGATCGTCGTAGGAGGCCACCAGCACCAGTGCACCCCCCGGAATTTCTTTAAGGAATTTCACTAGGTGCATAACATCTGGGGGAGGAAGGAAAAGGTGCTGGTGATTTAGGGGAAATGAGCCCTGGTCATTCTCATGCTTGTCTACTGCCCCATGATGCAGGAGTCAGCTAGGCCCGGTGGACACTGGGCTGAGCTCAGAAGCCAGGAGGAAGAGCATCCCAGGTGGAGCTCCCTGTAGCCCTTGTCCTAGGGGAGGGCAGAGTGACCAGAGTGAGGGGAACTCATCCAGGTGATGTGGGGTGGCTTCTGGACACTGGAATTTAGAAATTCCCCTCGTGACAGGGATTTGCAGCTGAGGGTGACCACCACTGGTAGAAGGGCCCTTGTGTGCCTACCCCTCTGGGGACGAAGTGCCATCATCTCTCAGGTGCTCTGGGCCCTTTGCATACCCCAGACCCCATTCTACGCTGGACAATGCCCAGATTATCTGTGCTGACTTTAGGTGGTATAGCACGTGGCCTCAGACAACTGAGATCCCTGGGAGAGAATTCGAGTAGACTATGAATACAACTCTCCTGCTGTGTCAAGGAGCAAGGCTCTGCGTGTGTCTTTAATGCCTCCCTAACTTGCCAAGCTCTCTATTTAACAGAGAACAGCTCTAGGTTTAGCACCTGGGGGAGGCATCAGCATCCAGCTCACTGTGAAGAGGCTGATTTGTTTCCCTTGTGATTATTATTATTATTATTATTCTGACACAGAGTTTCTCTCTCGTTGCCCAGGCTGGAGTGCAATGGCGCGATCTGCGCTCATTGCAACCTCCACCTCCTGGGTTCAAGCGATTCTCCTGCCTCAGCCTTCCAAGTAGCTGGAATTACAGGCATGCGCCGCCATGCCTGGCTAATTTTGTGTTTTTAGTAGAATTGGAGTTTCTCCATGTTGGTCAGGCTGGTCTCGAACTCCCAACCTCAGGTGATCTGCCTGTCTCGACCTCCCAAAGTGCTGGGATTACAGGCATAAGCCACTGTCCCAGGGCCCTCCATTGTGATTATTTTTATGGTCACCTTCCCTGCATAACAAGTGATAATAGCTTTCCATTTAAGGCAGTAATATAGTTTCCTTTTAAGATATATTTACTTAGGTAAGAAAAAAAGTGATCCAATTTAAAGAAAAATACTAATAATGCAGATATTATTCTAGATATGGTGCAACTCGAGTGGGCTCAAGTTTGGGAACAAGCAGCCTAGTGGCTAAAGCAGAGACTATATCTGTCAAATGAGGATGAGTAACAGCCCTGCTTATAACCTCTATGAAGTGCAAATGTGACAATAACTTTGGGCATACAGTAAGCGTACTCTAATGGAACCAAAAATTATTAGCAGGATTGGCAGCATAATTTTCAGGACCCAGTGCAGAATGAAAATGCAGGGCCTTTTAATAAAAAATGATTAAGTATTTCAAGACCACGATGGCAGAGCATGAAGTCAAGTGTGAGATTCTTCCAAGCATGGGCCCCGTGTGACTGCCCTGTCCCCAGGTCATAGGCCCACAAAGCTGGCCTTGATTATTAGTATTCCAGTGCGGACCTCTAGGACCTTGGGGAAGAAGCCATTCTCCCAACTAAGGCCAGCTGCCAGCCAGCTCAGTGACAGAGGTTTCCGGTCAACCACCACAGTCACTCTTCTAAAGAAATGGCCCTTGAACTTTTATGACAAAAGGAGGGAGCTCTTAAAGCACCATTAATTTGTGTTGTTAGCAGATATTACGGTCTGGTGCTTGTCTGGATGGACGGTGGGTATTTGAAAAAATAAAACATGCCTTCTGCTAATGATCACCTCACTTTAAAAAGCCATCATCCCCTTTTGTTTCCTGAAGGGAAGGACTACTTGCTCACAATGCTTCTGTTTCTGGGTCCCCATCAGCCGTGGCTACATTCAAGTTTATCATAAGGCATTTTAAAGCTTAGTTTCATCTTTACGCTTTTTTTCCTTTTCATTCTGACAGATGATTTCCTTGCTTCTGAGTCATCTGGACGGAATGAGGGAAGAGGGGAGCGAAGGGGAAGAGGAGGGAAGGGAGAAGACTAACATAGCTTGCCTGGACCCCTCCACCAGTCAGGCTGGATACCCTTCCACCAATTATTTCAGGTTATCTAATCTTCACATCAATTTTATGGAGTGGAAACTATAGCTGCCTCTATGTCACAGATGAAGAAACTGAGGCTCAAGAGGCATCACTTGCTTCAGGTCATGCCGCCAGTAGTCTCTGACACCGGAGACTGGACGTTTTCCATAAACCTGGCCCCAGGCCACGCTGAACATCAGTAGGACTCCAGGCAGAATGTCTGGTCCTCAGCCCCTGGCCTGTCCCCATCTCCTGTTGCCCCTGTCCTCAGCTCTATCCTGTACCAGGAGGAGGGACCTTGCACACCGCATGTGGGCACTTCAGTGGGCCCATCCAGGCTCCATCCACAGCACCCTCCCATCAAGCAACAGCCAGCCCCTGGTCACCCCTCCATCCTGGGGGAGTGTCAGAAGCCTGGGGGTGGGGCACACCTGGTAAGAGACCTGCGTGGGCCCTGATGCAGACTCCAGGTCAGCACACTCCTAGCTCTGCGGACTGCTCACCCATGAGTTGGGATGGAGATGGAGGAGGGCCGGGTGGGGTCTTATGAAGCCCTGGGCTGAGGACAGGGTTCCAGCTGCCCATCTGACGTTTCCTGAGCTCACTTCTTAAATAAAGCATTGCACTTGAATCCCTGTCTCAGGATCTGAGTCTGGGAGATCCCAACTGAGATGGCCAGAAGGAGTTTCGAAAGCAGCAGGACACCCTCAACCCCCCACCGCACCTCTTCCTGGGTGCCTCCTGTGGAAAGAAGCACCAGGTACCTCGAGCCACCAGGTCCCTTGCCACATGAAGAGGCTCAGCCCTCTGCACCGCACCCCCGACTGTGACTTCAGTGTCAGCAGAGGCACCTACCTCCAGAGTACATGTCAAATGCCTTCTGTCCCAGCACAGCTCCCGTGGTTCCTAGGGGTTAAGAGGAGAACGATTATCCCCTGTAACACGTGTCATTCTGCCTGTCGTTCTGCTGAAAATGCCTAATCTGTAGTCTAAGATCTAAAAACAGAATAAGAATCTAATGAAATCAGGTCCTATAAAGAGCACGCAGGACTAAAGTAGGTTTCCAGGAATGGCTGGGCTCATCTGAGAGGTTCAAGAACGTAATGGCTGAGGACATCTCTGGAATCGAACTGAGTCTACTCAGTCTGAGTCGGTGTTCTGTCCTACCAGTTTCTAACGCAGGACTTAGCATTTTGACCTCAATTTTTGCATCTGTACAATGGGTTGTGGGAACTAAAGGAGATACATTTAAAATATTAATAGTAGTCATACAAGATGAATTTTAGCTGCAAAATCAAAATCAAAATGACAGTCGTCATTATTATTCCCACCTAAATAGAAAACCTACAACTGGAGTCCTCCACCTCTTGAAGGCAAAGGGATTTGTGTTGGGCTAAGCGGTACTCAGTTTCCCAGGGTCCAGTAACCTGGATTGCGTTTGTGGGTTTTGTGGGAGGAGGTGGCCGAAGGCCAAGCCCTCCAGGGAACCGAGTCTTCTGGAGGAACGTTACAGTTCGCGCTCTCCGCCGCTAGATGGAGGCGTTGCAGAGGGGATGGCAGCTCCGAGGCTTACGGAGGAGGGTGGGGACCAGGCCTAGGCTGTCCAGGTGGCGCGAGCAGGCTCGCTTAGCAGCCCCTCCAGGATTCTCGGGAGCCACGTAGCGTGAACGGAATGCTTCACCTGGGGCTCTTGGAAGGAGTCTATGAACCCATGGGGCTGCTTTTGTGATCGCGTGCGCTTGTGAATGATTCTGCAATTGGAGAGTGTTGGGGGTGGGGGTGGCGGCCAGCATAGCTGGAAGATCCTGAGGACTCTCTGCCCCACTAAAGGTTAAAGACTACTGGATCCTTAGCAATCCTTGTGTTGTTCTTGGTCATATAGATGAGGACACTGAGCCCCTTACATGATTTGTTGGGCTTCCCCACATCTGGCATACATAGCACGCATGTATACAGTAGGTGCTGTATGTGTGGTTGAGACATTTCTAGTCTAGGGAGGTAGTTCAGGTGAATGATTAAGACCTGCAGTTGACTCGATCCAGGTTCAAACGTAGGTGGTTTTATAGGCTGTGTGACCTTGGGCAAGTTGCTTAACCTCTTTTTTTTTTTTGGACAGGGTCTCTCTGCAGTCCAGGCTGGAGTGCAGTGGTGTGAGCTTGGCTGACTGCAACCTCGACCTCCCAGGCTCAAGCAATCCTCCCACCTCAGCCTTAGCTGGGACTACAGGTGTGCGCCACCACACCCAGCTAATTTTTTTACTTTTTGTAGAGACGGGGCGGATTCGGGGGGTGGTTCACTGTTACTCAGGCTGTTCTTGAACTCCTGAGCTCAAGAGATCTGCCCACCTCAGCCTCTCAAAGTGCTGGGATTACAGGCATGAGCCACTGCACCCAGCCTGCTTAACCTCTTTGAGCCTTAGTTTCTTACCTGGGAAATGGGGATATTGAGCATAGCTCCATCCTAACACAGTGATGGGGTTAAATGAAAAGGCACAGTAAGTGCCCAATAAATGCTAGTTCTTATTGCCATTGATGGTTATTTTCATCCTTTTGGCTTTGTGAGAAGCAGGGAAAGAGGCCTAGTCTGGGGCCATCTCATTGGAGAATATTCAAAAAGCTTTTCTCAGGTGCGACCCATTTAGGGGAGAAAGTCAGCAGGTTTCAGCCAGGTCAGCTGCAGCCTGTGCCATTTCCTGCCTGCCCTCGCTGTGGGGTGAGGGCAGATGGATGGGAGTGTTGATGTATGCTGAGGCTCCTACAGTCTTCTGGGGTCTGGCATGCACAAAAGAGCGCTCTGAGACCAGCCTGGGCACACCCTCCCTGCAGGAGGGATGCCACTTCATTGAGGCTGGAGTGGAACAGGCCTGGGCCCTCCTCAAAGCTGCAGAGGAACGGCTGCACTCAGCCTCCTGCCACTCCCTGCCCTGGCCCTTCCTGGGCTCCTAGGAAGTTGGCCAGGGCTGTCCTCTGACTCCCATCTGTCCAGGAACAGCCCCATCACTGCTCCAGGCCTCGACTTCTCCCCTGACCCATTAGGGTTTCTTGGCAGAGCGAGAAAAGGCTTTCTCTGGAGTGAAGTGCAGGGGCTTGGAGCTGGCAAGGCCGGGGCTCCCATCCTACCCTGTTCCTTCCTAAGTGTGCTCATGTGGTCCTGCCACACACAAGCTCGACAAGTTCCTTCCTGAGCATCCCTTACACCTTTTCCCCAACTTGCCCTGACCTTTGTCCCAGAAGTGGCCCTTACAGCCAGTTCTTAGAAAACTCTGTTTTCTAAGAACAGAGGCAGAGAGGAGGTCTGGCTGGGGCTAGACCACCTGGTCCTTACCTGACCCTGTAAGTCCACTCCCTCCTGAAACGTGTCCCTACTTCAGGCTTGGCGGCCCTCTGGCCTCCTGTTTAAGTGTGTGTCCTGCAGGAGATGCAGGGTTATCAAGGCCATGGATTCCCTTGTGGTCTCCCTGCCTCCAGCCCCCCTACTCCAAGCTGGAGGGAGGTTTCTGGAGTGCATGCCTGGCCCCTCACACACTGCTCAAAGCCTTTCCGTGGCTCCCTACTGCTCTCGGCTTCCAGTCACACTTCTTAGCAGGCTTGCTAGCTCCTCATCCTCTGGCCTTGCTGCTGTCCCCAGCCTTGCCTCTCTATGTTGCCCTGCAAACCTCTCTCCCTCCCTTTCCCTTCTCCTCCCTGCACTGTGTTGCCCCTGCCTGGAAAGAGCCTTCCCCAATTTTCTCCTGGCCAGCGCCCACAATCCTTCAGGCCTTAGCTGGCCATCAGCTCCCTCTGGAAGCCTCCCCTGAACCACCCGGGGTCTGTCCCCTGTTCTGCATCCCAGCTCTGCATCCCAGCTCCCATAGCTGTGCTTCCTGCCCCTCCAGAGAGGCTCACCACATTGAGATTGTTTGTGAGCCTCACGGATACCTACGGAGGCTGTGAAGCCAGGGCCTTTCTAGTTCTTGGCTGACCCCCAGTGTCCTGTACAGAGCCTGGCCCACAGTAGCTGCTGCCTGTATTTGTTGAATGAATGAATGAAGGTGTATACTCAGCATGTGATCTTGCACTGTCATTGGTTGTCCCCACATCCTCATTTGTGTTGGCTTAAGCAGAGAGGCTTTGAGGATCGGGTCATGTTTCACTCATGTTCCATAGGAGAAGTGTGTCCTCCTGAGATAGGAGCATGTGGCAGGGGCCTGGCTAGCTCTGCGGTTCTACAGCTCTGCGGGTCTTTGAGACCTTCTGTTCCCCCAGGCCAGCCACGCTTCCCCTCCTGAGCTCTACGGGCATTCCTGCCATGAGGTAGGAGCTGAGCCAATGTTGGTTGAATGAATATGCCGCTACCCCCTACCCTCCCTGGTTCTGGGTGGGAACTGTCTGGGGATGGATATGCAACTCACCATTCACCAGGGCGATGTTTAGGCCTCTGCCCACATTGTTTTTCACAGGACTCATGATCCTGAAGACAATGAAGAAGAAATATGACAGTCGGTCCCGAGTGTGGAATGAACACTCTGCTCTCCCAGCTGGGGAACTCCGTGAGGACCCACATAAGCAATGCAGAAGCATTGGGAAACACATGCAATAACTGGGGCCATCTGTTTTCTCCTGAAAACTAGTGGTGGGCTGGATTCTCTGAAGAGTTTCTCAAGGCATGTTGGACCAGAACAACCTGCTCAGAGAAGAGGCAAGGTCCCTGCCTGGGCCTCTGAGGTGTTGGAGGTGGGGCCAGCCCACCCCCAGGCCGTGAGGCCTGGCTGCTGGAAGGAGGCAGGACCCAGAAGGTTGCTGCCATCCTGGGGTGTCTGAGTCCCCATGTGGCCCAGCTGTGTTCCTGCTGGCCCGGCATCCACACCCTTGTCTCTGGATGTGCGGTGGGAGAATTGTCTTTCTCCACGAACAGGCCAGGTGGTTCCTGGGATTGACCTCTCTCTCCCAGGTGTGGACAAGCAGAGCATCCTACGTCCCCAGCTACAGCGACTGGCTGATATGGTTTGGCTGTGTCCCCACCCAAAGCTCATCTTGAATTCCCACGTGTTGTGGGAGGGACCCAGTGGGAGGTAATTGAATCATGGGGGCAGGTCTTTCCTGTGCTGTTCTCATGATAGTGAGTAAATCTCACAAGATCTAATGGTTTTATAAGGAGGCTGCACAAGCTCTTTCTCTGCCTGCTGCCAACCATGTAAGATGTGACTTGCTCCTCCTTTGCCTTCCACCATGATTATGAGGCTTCTCCTGCCACATGGAACTGTGAGTCCATTAAAATCTTTTTCCTGGATAAATTACCTAGTCTCGGGTATGTCTTTATCAGCAGCGTGAAAACGGACTAATACGCTGGGCTAGGCTTGGTCATGTGACCCAGGCCAATCAATGAAATACAGGCTTGGGACTTTTGCAGGGATAATTTAGACAGGAAGGCTCTTTTCCCATTAGGGTGCTAGGCTGGGCTAATATGTCAAACCAGCTGGTGGTCTCCCTCTTTAACCACATGGAGAAATCCCTTGCAAGTAGAAAAAAAAAAGCAAAGCTATTAGACAGAGGAGGGTAGAGCTGAAGATGGGGTGATAGACAGCCCTGATGACATTGTTTGAATCCCTGGATCCAGGTGGTCCTGAAGCCTGCCTACCACCCCTGGTCTTTTAGGTATTTGAACCCATCACTTCCTTGTTTTGCTTAAACAAACTGTGGTTAGGTTCAGAATCCTGGTTTAAACACCCGTCCCTGAGTTCTTTCATAGGTTGCACTTGCTGTCCCAGGGCCTTTACTGTCTAGGTTGGATGATAGGTACACAGCCTTTCTCCTGTACTGGGGTGGAAGCCCTGGTGCCTGCTATATCTGGGCTTTGATGCCTGGGTCAGGATCTTGAAACTTCTCTGCAGGCATTTCCTTTCATGGGAAGCCCAGCAACTTGGCTGTTAGACTTGAGGTCAAATCCTGGTCCTGCCACTGGGCAGGTGACCCTGTCTGCACCCCACTATCCTCATCTTTACATTCTCCTGGGGATAATATCCCCACCTCCCAGGATGTCGGGGGAATGAATGAGAGATGCTGTGAAGCACCAGGCAAGGTGCTGGTGGATGTGGGAGCTGTTTCAATTATTGTTATTTGTGCCTCACACACCCAGAGTGAAAGGGAAGCTGTGGGCTGGTCTCACAGGCCAGCCCCTGCAGCCTCTGAGTTTTTTAATGAATGAATGAAATAAAATAAAATAAAATAAAATAAACATAGTTGTGTCTTAGGTACTTACATGCGGTCTTCAAAGCACATAGTAGGGCCCACGACGTTGGCGGCCCCACTGCAGATTTTAAACGCAAAGTAGTTGGCTGGGCAGGGCTTGATGAGGCCACACTTGTACTTTTTAACCTCTGGGGAGGAAAGAGACCAGCCTTGGTGGGCAGAAGCTCAGGAGGTACTTGGGGGAGAAGGAGGGGAGGGCCAGGGCTAGGGCCAGGGCGCAGCTTGGGATGAAGCTCAGAGCCTCTTTCTGGGGGAGCCTTCGCTGATTGCAAAGTCTGGGAGATGTGCCCTTCTGGGCTCCACAGTGCCTCCAACAGCCCCCACCAGAGCACACAGGACCAGCCCAGAATGAATTTTTGGGCTTCCCTTCACAGCTCCAGCCACAGCAGGGCACCCTTGGTAAATGTAACCAGAGTAAACCTGAGTCACTATGACGAAGGGACTCTCCTGAGAACCTCTCGTTTGGGCCATGGCAGCCTTCTGAGTCCCCAGAGGCCCCTGTTGAGAACTCCCAGGGACCCTGGCGGGGTGAGTGGGAGCACTTCTGTCTAGCCAGGTTCCCTTGGGCAAATTCTCAACCTCCTTGCACCTCATCTTATCTGCAAAATGGGGTATCTGTGGTGCCTCCCCCACTGGGTTCTTGTGAGGAATACATGAGTGTGGTTTAATGCTCAGTACACATTGGCTATTCTTCTCATCATTCATTCATTTATCACTCATTTACTGAGCATCTACTAAGTGCCTGATGCTGGAATACAACAGAGAACAGGCAGACGGTTCCGGTTCTCCCACTGGGAGCTCAGCACGGTGTTGGGAGCCCACTGGGTACTCACTAAGTGGCACCTCTGGTGATGCTGGCTGTTCCTAAGACCTGCATCTTCTCCATGCAGCCTTCACAGGGTAAATTGGGGAGGTCCATGCCTGGGGGGAGATGCTGGTGGGACCTAAAGATGTGGCTGAGCGGCTGAGCCCTCAACGTGCTCTGTGAGTTCTGGGATGACACCCGCCCTTGCAGCCTGGCATGTTCTAATTCATCCTAATGTGTGCTTTTTAGCACCCGCTGACAGTTTGGAAGGCAGCATTAAGGAGGACTGGGTAAACATGGATTTGGAGAATGCTCATCTGCAAAGGGAAAACGGGGGTTGGGCAGCCTTTCCCTCCCCAGCCCCTGTGCCAGGCATCTGGCCAAGGTCTGCCAGTGTGTGCTTTGGAGCAAAGCTGCAGGCTCCTTAAGGAAGCTTGCACATGCCAAGACCTTGCTGCATGCAAGGCACTGGGGCCAGGACTTTGTGTTTATTATCTTATTGACTCATCCTGAAAACTCCTGTGTCTGGCACATAGTAGGCAGTGGGTAGTCTTCACTGCATAACATGTACAATATTTGGGCCAGGCTACACCTGAGGCTGGTAGGGACCATGAGGTTTCCAGGGCCCTCCCTGGTCTATAGGGAGCTTTTAGGTGAATCAGGAAAATGCACCCCTCTGGAGGGGCACAACCCACTGGTGCCAGGCTTGGTGAGCACCTTTGAGTAGGTAAAGGTGCCCCTTCTAGGAGCAAATGCAGCCCACACCAGGGAACCCTGCTGGCTTGGTTTCCCTCCACTGAGCAGGCAACCCTGGGAATCTGAGAGGAAATGCCTGTCCAGGGCTCCCCCTCTCCTGGTTTCAGCACACACATGTGATGGGTGGAACTGAACTCAAACCATGACATTGTCACCCAGAGAGTGGGCAGTGGGCAGAGGCATCCGTGAAGGGCTGTTCAGGAGAGAGTGGGTATCCAAGCCTGTGGCTTAGGGGAGAGAGGGCCGGGCTGGGGGTGGACCAACTCCCCTTCTCCTCCTTCTGGGCAGGATCCCTATGAAGGGGCCCAGCCCCCACCTATGGGATTGGCTGAGGAGTGATGCTGGGGAGGGAAGCCAGGGCATGGCTCCTGGTCTCCTACAGCCTTGGGGCCCCACCTCCAGCCACATGCACCCCTCACCCGGGGATCTCACCTATGCAGGGAGATCATTCCCAGCCCTGGGGACCACTTCTGGTGTTTGCCCAGAGCCTAATCAATTGCAGCTAAGTCTGATAAACCTGATGTCAACAGGCTGGCTTAAGCAGGCTTTTCCAGCATTGATTTTCTGACCATCCAGCCTTCACAGTCACGCTGCTGGATGAAGGGAGATGAGGCCAAGGGGGCCTCAGCCTCTGGGAGGCAGGAGATTTGCTCTCTGGGTTCTGGCATAGAAGGCTGCTCCCATCAGCTGCCTCAATCCCTGAGGCCCAACCCCCCCGGGAACCCTTGTGCTGTTGCTCAGAGCATGGAACTGGTGTGCTACCAAGAGCACTGGGGCAGGGATTCATTCAGGAAATAGGCTGCTCTTTCATTAATCTGCTCTGTGGCTTGCCAGAAATTGCTCCCTTTATCTTTGCCAGCTGTGAAATCAGGAAGTTGGTTTAGATCAGGGTTGTCAAACAGGTTTCCTCTTAAATGTCAATGTGGACCTCCTGTTAAAGGCTTAATGATAAATCTCTCAAGGCTGCCTATGGGCTTGGAGGGAAAGAATGCTGGGATTGATTGGTGATGTCTGCCATGGGAACAGGCAGGGTGGAAAACAGCATGTGTGCTTGAATTTGCTATCCCCCCAGCAGGTGATGTCTAAGTGTTTGATAGCAACAAGATGCTGTGACACTCTGTGTCCACTTCAGAATATGACTGAGGAGACTTCAGGGAGCTAGGGTTAAGGGTGTGGAGGTGAATGATTTGTGTTGCTTCATATTGTCTTTGCCTTCTGTAATCTCACAGTGTACTGGGGCACCCATGTCCTTCTTAGCCAGGCAAAATCCTATTTTGGGAGCCACAGCCCTCTTCAGAGTCACCACCATGTTGAGAAGGAAATGGAGAGGGCCTGGAGGTGCTGCCTCTTGCAAAGAGGGGTTGAGGGGGTGGGCTCTGGACTAGATGGTGGAGGGGGTTTGACTTCTGCCTCACCACTTACAGCTGTGTGACCCTGGCCAAAAGATTTCACTTCTCGGTGCCTTAGTTTCCTTACCTATAAAAGGGGCTACTTATAGCACCAACATAGGGTTGTATGTAGGATTGCATGAGATGCCTGTGAAGTTCTGAATCCAGTGCCTGGCACATAATAGACACTCAATCATCGTTACTAGTACCATCATCACAGCTCTCCCTCCCCTTCCTTGTCCTGACTCTCTAGCCAAGGACTCCACTGGAGCATTCTTGCCTTTAGGCCTTTGCAGAGGGGATACCTCCTCCCTGAGGCCTTGCAGGGGGTGCCCCTCCTGGAACCCAGAGCACTTTCTCCACTTCTCTTAGGCAGGTCTGGCATTTCCACCCCAACAGACAATCAGCACCCACTTCTGTTTGTCTCTGGGGCCCCTGTAGTGCCTGATGTGGTCTCTGGCACTTTGCAGCAGGAACCCTGAGCCAAGCCTGGGGTCACTGCAATGGGGTTAAGGAGCACAGCCCTGGTCCTCGGGCTCCCAGCTGTGTGGGGTTGTCAGAGACAGGGGGCAGGGGCAGGGTTCGGTCCAGACTGCAGCAGGGGTACTGGAGAAGGGGCAGAGTTGAACTGTGTCTCTACAGTCTGAATGACTGAGAGGGGGGCCACCCCTGCCACAGGGCTTAGAGGCTTCAGAAGGCACCATTGGGCCATGGGAGGAGAGGACTGGGAAGAATCAGGAAGCCCAGGTTTCTCTGGCACCTGCAGGGCTCAGAGCAGGGGCCCTGGGCCTTGTTGCCCTAGGGCAAATGGGAGCAGGGGGTGAGTGGATGAGGTCGGGGGAGGTGTGGGGCTGCACAGATACTCACGGATCTCCTTGGTGGGCGAGGCTGCTGGAGAGAAGACAGAATCTGGTTAGAGGAAAAGCACTTCGGACCCTCCTGCAGGATGGAGGTTGGGGGCTGGGGGCTGGGGAGTGGGAATAAGGGGATTTAAATTGGCGCCATTGAAATGAACTAAAAATGCCTTGCCACTGTCACCCCTTCACACACATACATACACACACAGCACACATATACACAGATACACATGTGTACACACACGCACACACATATACACATGCACACACACACACATGCAGATATATGTGACACTCATGTATGCATAGAGACACACAGGTATGGTCACATATACAGACACACATGTGTGCACACACAGACGTGTACACACACGCAGACATACACATGTGTGTGCATATACACACATACACTTGTACAAGACACACACACGACTCTCCCTTGGTTCAAAAGAAGCTGGGCTGTTTGAGACCATTAGAGTTTGTGCCCTAGTTCCTAGTATATGACTGCATGAGACATTTAACCTCCCTGGGCCTCAGTTTCCTTGACAGCACATGTAGATGGCATGTGTGATGACAGCCACCCTCACAGGGCCATGGAGGGGACCCAGTGAGATCACTGTGTGAGGGCCAAGCCCGGTGCCTGGCCCCTGGGCCCCAGTGAAGGGTAGAGTTGTGCTGCTGTGGGTGTTTGGCCCATATTGGGGTGTCTCTTTCCTGACTGCCCACAGTGCATATTGTCTGCACTGGCTCTAGGGCCCTTGGCCACTTCCTGAAATCTTATACCATATCCTAGTTGTTTCTGTGGTTCTACATCGTATCTCCCACCACGCCAGCAGTGACGCCTGGAGGACAGGGCCTCCAGAGGAAGCAGAAATCCTAGGGGAAGAAACTCTCCTTTTTTGGGGGAACCCCCCCCAACACTTACACGCTTTCCATTTGGTTCTCAGGGGCTGTCCATCTGGAAATGTCCCTACCCCTTGCCTCCAAGGCCCCAGGAGTGGCATGAGACCCAAGCTGGGTCAATCATACTATTACATTTCTCTGGAGACAGAGCCCTTCCCTACTTCCCTATGTTGATACATAGTTGGTGGGGGCAGGGGGAGAGGGAGAGACAGAGAGAGAGAGAGAAAGTGCTTTTTCAGCCAAGGGAGAAGATAAGCATCGGGAGAGGAGCCATCGTGCCTGCCTTAGAGAGAAAGCTGCCCATGGAATGAGGCCCTAATCTGTTGAGGTCAAGTAGCAACAAGCAAAGCCCAGGGATGTAGAAAGAAGAGAGACCAGCTCTGGGGACTTCATGGGAGACTCCTGGATTCAGCCACACCTGAAGCCACAAGATGCCCATAGTGGACGATCAAGACCTCATGTTTTGTTGAAACCAGTTAAAGTTGAGTTGGTCACTCTCATCTTTTTATTTTTTATTTTTATTTTTTTGAGACAGAGTCTCGCTCCGTCGCCCAGGCTGGAGTGCAGTGGCGCGATCTCGGCTCACTGCAAGCTCCGCCTCCCGGGTTCACGCCATTCTCCTGCCTCAACCTCCCAAGTAGCTGGGACTACAGGCGCCCGCCACCACGCCCGGCTAATTTTTTGTACTTTTAGTAGAGATGGGGTTTCACCGTGTTAGCCAGGATGGTCTCCATCTCCTGACCTCGTGATCTGCCCGCCTCGGCATCCCAAAGTGCTGGGATTACAGGCGTGAGCCACCGTGCCCGGCTGGTCACTCTTATCCGAAAGAACTCTGATTAACTTTCTAGGCACAGGGGTTCTTAATCTGGTTTCTGTGCCATGATTCCCTTTGGTGGTTTGGAAAAGCCCATGAACTCCTCTCAGAATAAAATTATTCTCACTTCCCTTGAGACACTTATCACTTTATACTCCAACAGACTGTGTTATTAAATGCATAAAGTAAAATAGATTGGAAACCAATTATATATCAATATAATAGTAAAAACAAAAACCAAATTTGTGCTATAGTAATATATGTGCTTCTATATCAGTGCATTAAATAATAAAATGAGGGTATGTGCACTCAGGTTAGGAACCTCTGAAGTAAATGAAAATTACTCCCTTCAGTGCTGAAACATCAATGGTTTTTACTGGCCATCTTTCCCACTGGTTACATTTCCTGCCATTGTAAACATTTCCTGAGACTCTGCATCATGTTAATGCACTTTCATTTTTCCACATGCTGTAATGAAGTCTGTTTCTTTCTCTGACTCAGACCATGAGCAGGGCCACATGTTCCTCATTGAGGGTCCCTGGGGCCAAACACAGAGTTCAAAACCCAGCAGTCACTTAATGATGGTTGGTTGGAGATGTTGGCTTGTCAAACCCCAGGTAGTTGAGTACTGAGAGAGAAATAATTACTGGGTCTCTTTTCAATTACTGCCCCTCTCCCACCTCGGACTGGGGCACTCTTCTCTAGAGGACACCCCTGAGCCTCCTACACTGACTTGGGCCCCTCACCTTTGAGGCCATTAGTGCAGCCACATCACTGTCTAGTTTGTAAAAGCAGCGATCCTGGGTGGGGGTGGGGGGCGCGGGGGTGGGGACACTTGGCCACTAAGCATCTATATAAACTTCTAAATCATCTCAGCATGGGCTGTGGAACATGCTTGACAAGAAGCAAACAAGGTAAGGGATCGCAGACACTCCACTGTGGGGTCATGTTCAAGAAGGAGTGACTGGTTTACTTGCTGCCTTAGGAAGCTGGGAGAGGCTCAGGTCACTGATGTTTGTGATGATGTCAATGTACATGGTTCTTGGTCTTCAAGCGGGATGAATCCAGAGATATAAATCCCTTCCCTTCACTTCTTCCTTTGATCAGAAAGGATATGAATCTGGGAGACCTGGGTTCCCGTTCTTGTTCTAATATCTCCAAGAGGAACTTGGGTGAGTTTTTAAATCTCCTCAAGCTTCTGTTTTCTCAGAACACATGTGAAACCACATCAAGGATTGTGCTTGAGTCCATTCCACAACCACACCATAGATCACTCTGTGGAACATTTGTGCAGGTTAAATGAGACTATGCATGTAAAGCAGCTAGCATCCAGCATCCTTCCACCTGTCCATCCATTCATTCATTCATTCATTCATCTATCCACCCACCCACCCACCATCTACCCATCTAGCCATCCACCCATCCATCTACTCACTCATCCCTTCTCCACCCACTCATCCATCCATCCACCCTTCCCTCCATCTACCCATCTACCCATCCACCCATCCATCTACTCACTCATCCCTTCTCCACCCACTCATCCATCCATCCACCCTTCCCTCCATCTACCCATCTACCCATCCACCCATCCATCTACCCACTCATCTGTTCTCCACCAACCCATCCATCTACTTATCCCTCCATCTATCCATCCAGCCATTCACACATTCACCCACTCACTCATCCATTCTCCACCCACTCATTCATTCGCCCATCTCTCCATTTGCCCATTCATCTGTCCATCTACTCATCCCTCCATCTACCCATCCAACCATCCATTTATCTATCCACCCACCCACTCAGCCATTCTTCACTCATCCATCCATCTGTCCATCCATCTGTCCATCCATCCATCCATCCATCCATCCATCCATCTCTCCATCTACCCATCCATCCATCTACTCATCCTTCCAACTACCCATCCATCCACCCACCCATTTATCCATCCATCCATCCGTTTTTTTTTTTTCACTCATCAAATGTTTACTAGGCATCTGCTCTGTGCCAGGCACTAGAGAGGTGGATGCACACAAAATAAAATCCTTGTCTTCAGGAAGCTCACATTCTAGGGTGTGGAGACTGGCAACAAACAATGAAACATAAAAACCATAATGACAGATAATGATGGTGTTCTGAAAGGAAAAGCCTGACATGAGAGAAGCTAAACTAGGAGGAAGGGGTGCAATCTTAGCAGGGCAACCTTAGCTGAAACTCGAAGGCTGAGAAGGAGCCAGGTGGGAGGGCAGGTGGGGGGGATCTGCATGAAGAGATACAGGAAGAGGGAGCAGCAGGTGCAGGTGAAGACGCTCAATATATGATTTTCTTTCTTCCTTTCCTCCCACCTCCCTTCCTTCTGTTCTTCCTCCCTCTGTCCTTCCTCCTTTCTTTCCTTCCTTCTTCGGGTCACCTTTTCAAAGTGGTCCTCGATGTGGGCACATGTGTTGCCCAGGCCCTTGCAATGCACCTCTGTTCCCCATGGACTCCACCCTTCCTGGTAGTCTGGGGGTGCCCCCTCTCCCTGCAATTGCTGGGGTCCCAAAGGCAGCACAGCTTGTCATGTCTCCTGGGTCACCTAGGGATGGAGGGAAGAATATGTCTTCGGCCCCCAGGCCTGGTCTGCAGTTCCTGCCCCCAGCAGTGAGCCCCACTCACCCAGCCAGCGTGGCAGACGGATGGTTTTCATGCTGAAGCTCATGTAGCTTCGAATAAACATCCATGTCGTGACTATGGCAAAGATGAGGGCCAGGAGGCGAAGCACACCTGCTGAGCAAGGGGATGCTGCCAGGAGACCACAGAGCCAAGACCACATTGCAAGACCACGTGTGAGTTCTTCCCAAATCCCACAGACCCCATGCTATAGGCTCAGACCACATCCATGCTGGGGACCAGACCATGGGACCATGTGGTAAGATGTGTGAATTTGTCCAGTGGCCAGTTAGTGAGATTGTGATGCCAGGTCATGTGGCAACATTGCCCCAAGTGGGTCCCCTGGGAGAGAAAGTTAAAAATGTGCCTGCCTGGGCTCCACTTAGCCCTCCAGAGGGAGAGAATCTCTAGCAATGAGGCCAGCATTCTAGACCTTTCTGTAGCCCCTTAAGGGGAGGCCTGAGAACTGCAGTGGGAGGGCAGGACTCTGGGAGGGGAGCCCTGGAAAGGGAGTCAGGAAGGCTGTGGCCAGTGCTCAGGGCAGCCAGCAGTGCTGTGTGACTCTGAGTAGGAGCTCAGCCTCTCTGAGCTGAAGTCCTTCAGGCACAGAGCAGACCTGGTAACACCCTTGCCCCTGAGCTTGTTGGCAGGGATATTGTAGTTGTCAAAAGTAGGCAGCCTCCAGGTGGCTTGGGGTTGGGGCTGCCCCCCACAGTTTCCATCAATTCTCCCTCAAGGCCTCCACAAATAACCGCACACTGGACTTGCTGTGCAGCTTCCAGACAAGCCACAGCTCCCTGGCCCCTGCCTCATGGCCAGATTGCTTTCTGATTCCCCATGTGATTGGGGAACAACCCCACACATGGGGACGAGCCACCTGGAGTTCCCTTTCTTTACAGGGACCGGAAAGCAGGCTCCATTTCACATCCCTGCTACCTTCTGAATCAGACCCACCCATTCTGCTCTGACTCTTGAGGCACAGGCCCAGCTGTGGCACCCCTCCCTCTGACCTCCCTGTTGGCATCTCCCCTGCTCCCCAGCCCCGAATTCAGCTCTAGAGCCTTGAACTAGTCTCTGACTACTCAGGCTGGGGAGAAGGCCCGCCGGGTCCTGTGGGGTGGGATGCAGGTCTGTGGGGATCCCTGGTCTTCAATGGCACAGCACGGATCTAGGCACCCAGAATTCCTCTTGGGTATCAGCTCATGTTCACCCAGCACTCAATTTTGTGCCAGGCACCATGTGAGCAACTTTTGAATACATTATCTCAGTTCATTCTCTGAGTAACCCTATGTGCTGGATACATTGATTATTCCCATTTTACATATGAGGAAACTGAGAGGCGGTCACTTCCCCACTGTCACTTGGCTAGTAAGTGTCAAAAGTGGGGTTTACACCCAGAGAAGTAAGCCGACTTCAAAACCCTGTGCCCCTGACTCCTTACAGCTGTTCTAGAATGTAAATGAGGCAGGTGCATTTCGTGTCTGCTGCCTCAGTTTCCCTATCTGTACAAAGGGGGATACAGTATGAGGGTGTGGACTAGAAGGCCTTTGCCTCCCTCTAGAATTTTTATGGTATAAAAATTCTAGAATAGCCCTCCTCGAGGTAAATATTTTTGTCTCTAATTTCCAACCAGGCCAAGTGTTTCCAAGATGGGCAGTCTCAATGATCCCAGCCATGTGGGGCCTCTGTGCAAAAGTTCCTCATGCCTTTCAGCCTAGAGACAGGAAGTCGCCTCTTCTACTCTTCCAGCCTCCCCTGGATTGCTTTCCTCCTGGAATTCGGGCCTGACCATTTGAGAACAGATACAGCCAAATCACTGTGAGCCCAGGATGGGTGGACACAGCTGACAGAAAAATGACTCCAAAACCAATTTCAGAGCCTACCTGACACTCTCATCCTGTCCAGGTGAAGGGTGGCTTGGGGTCAGCTTCCACCTATGGAGAGAAGAAAATCCAGTCGGAAACTGGCATCAGGTCTGCAAGTGATCAAGCCTGAAGATGAGGGAAAGGGACCTCTAACTGTGGAGATCATAATTCTTTCAGTTGGGTTCCTCACCACCTGCCATATGAACAAGAGGGCAATTTTCCTCCTTTCCTGTCTGCCTCCATGTCTCCTTCACTCTTGCCCCTGGAGTTTTATATTCAATTCTCCATGTTTTTTTGAAGTGCAGAGATTAGAAAGTAGAGGAAGGTGTAGTCTGGTAAGCCACTGTCTTTTGGGAGATTTGATTTATTCACTTATCCATCTATCCATTTGTTCATCCATCTCTTCACCCATCCATTCATCAACCCATCAGTTGATTAATCCATCCTTCCATCCATCCATCCTCTATCTGTTCACTTTTCCATCCATCTGTCTATCCTCTATCTACCTGTCCATCCATCCTTTCAGCTGTCTATTTAGCCCTCCTTCCCTTCCTTCCTTCCTTCCTACCAGCCAGCCAGGGAGGTTGAGCTAGCTAGCTGCAGTGAAACCATCAGGGAGCAGAAGCCCAATCGATCTTTGTTTATTGTACCAAGATAAAGAGTAATCACAACTCACGTATTGCAGGTGACTTTGTGCCAGGTGCCATCTATGCATTATCTCTTTAATCCTCACAACCCCCATGTTAGGGATGAGTAAGCAAGACCCACCATGGCTAAGTTCAGGGTTATTCAGCTTGCAAGGGTGAGAGCCAGAATTTGGATGCAGGTTTCTGGCTGCTGAACACTCCCTGAAACCCCTCTTCATCTGTCCTACTGCGGTCTCACTGCCAAGAATTTTTATCTCAGAGGAGGGTTGAAACCAAAGTTTTCTCCCTTATTCAGTTCTGAGCAGGGCAGGGTCATCTTTCTCTTCACCTCCCCCTGTGTCACCCCCCAGGTGCTGGGCAGTTACCAGTGATTTGCAGCTTTGAAACCCCCAGAAGGTCTGTGGAGACTTAGAGGACAGGAGGTCTTTGGTCCCAGACTTCCCACACCAGCTCCAAGGCAGCAGGTAACCTTCTCTGACTGTGATGACCTCTCCCACAACTCTTCCTGTCCCCTGCCCACCCCAGAGTCTTTATCCTAAAAATCCATCTCAACAGACATGGTCTCCAAAGTTCAACTGCCAAAGGCTCAGACCTGAGACAGGAGACTGGGCTCATGCCTGGCACAGCCCCCAACACCCTCTTCAACCTTGAGCAAGTCTATTCGCCTCCTTGGCCCTCCATATGTACATTGAGAGGTGCTCGGGCTGAACCAGTCCTTAATGTTTAAGCAACAATAACAGCAACAGCAGCAGCAACTGCAAAACCACACCTCCTCTTGTGAATTGTAACAGTCCTCCCACCACCCTGATCCTACTCCTCTAGGGCCTTCCAGATTAGAAAACCAAGCTGTCACCTGGCTCTACCCACAGAAAAATTGTGGAACTTTAACTTCCTGAAATTCAGATTACCAGCTTCTTTTTTCCAGATAAAAAATATATTATGATCACGACTACGCTTTGGATGCGACCTACAGTCCAGGAACCTAGGTTCTTGGATGAGACTCAAAAGACACTCGGAGGAACCCCATGTTAGAGGAGCCAGGAGAGTCGGTGGCCGGACAGGATGGAAGGACAGGGACAGGGTCAGAGAGATGGGGTTGGATGGACAGACAGACATGAATATTCACAGAGGGTGTGTACAGAGACACTCCAGTCTGGGACAGAGTTGAAGGGGGAGACGGAGAGAAGGGGCGGGGTGGTGGGGAAGAGAGAGAGAGAGAGAGAGAATGAGAAGAGGGAGACACAACAAGTACTTTTAATATGCGCACACACAGATTCAAAGAGAAACACTCAGAGACAGACAAGAGAGATAGGGACAGAGACAGAGGGTAGGGGACACACACCTGGGCAGAGGGTTAGCCTCTTGCTGTCCTGTCCATGCTGAGCAGGAAATCTGGCTTCAGGGCAGTGGGGTGGAGAGGGGCAGGGGCCAGGGGTCAGTCCCCATTGGGCGGTGAGGGCTCCCCAGCCTGCTCTTCCTCTGGGCTGAGTTGCCCTCCCAGCACCTGCAGAGCTACCTGGTGTCGTGAGTTTCTAGCCTGCTCACCCTGGCAGCCCGTGAGTGCTCTGGAGCTGGGGCCCAGGACTGGCCTGCTGGGGTGGGGAGGGGGAAAGACACTCGGAGCAGGTACACAGGGTGGAGCAAGAATCCCTCTGTAGCCACCCAAACCCAAAAGAGTGTGTTTTCTCCTTCCTGTTGGAGATTGTCCCAACCTGTTATTCAGGTTACAAAGTTGCCCGGCAAAGGAACGAGGAGAAAAGTTCTATTGCCCTGGATGCTTACCTAGCCAGCCTAGCATGGCTAAGTCCGCTTAGGGGTGGTGTATGTGCAAGTGGCAGTGGAAAGGGAGGGGGCAGGTCTGGGGACAAGGTGGGGTTGGTGAAGGCATGAATCACTGCAAGCCACCCCGTTCCTCCCATTGTCTGTCCTCACTGTCCTTGGACCTCTTCCTCTGAACTGCCCTTCCCCATAGCTCCCTTCTCATTTCTGACTGCAGGTCAGCCGTGTGTGTAAGCCCCAAGCCTCTCTTTTCAATGGCAGGCCTAGGATGCGGGGCATTGAGGAAGTGCTGGATGAATATTTGGAAACTGAATGAATTGAATTCTTGCATCGTCCTGGAAGGTTAGAATGATTAAACCACCAGATAGAGAAGAAAGTTGAAGTTCAGAAAGGGCAAGTCACTTGTCTAGGGCCACACAGTCAGTTGTGGAGCTCATTTCCAAAGCATTCCCTGAGCATCCCTGGGAAGATTGGGGGAGATAGGGCTGTGAGCAAGACAAGTTCTGGAGCAGCCCCGGGCCTTTGCACTTGCGAGTCCCTCTGTCTGAATACGGTTCTCCTATTTCTTTGTCTGGAATACTCCTTTGTCTGGAATCCTTCAGGTCTCATTGGAGAAATCACTTCTGGGAAGCCTTCCCTGACTCTCTGAGTCAAGGTTCAACACCTACCTGTGGTCCTGGATGGGAGCACATCCATCATGGCACCCGCCCTGTCATAAGGGTCTGGCCAATCAGAGCTTTGCAATTTCCCTGTGATTGGTTCAGGAGTGAGCATGTGACCCAAGCAAGGCCAACCAGACTTTTCCCTGCAATTGATGTATGGGAAACTGGGGAGAGAGAGGCTCTCTTCTCCCTGGAGATGCTAAGCTAGATGTGATAAGTCTGGGGCTACTGAGGTCCCATCCTCAACCACTACGGTGCATCCCTCCTGTGGTAGACGTGTCCTGCCAGCAGATGCAAATACAGGGGCAGAGCAGCTGGGGCAATGCATGTGATCTTGGTCTTAAAAGCATCAGGCAGCGAAAACCTGTGATACTGGGAGAAGAGAACGAATTTGTGGATCAGACAGACCTGGGTTTGCCACTTACTAGTTGTGTGTTTTTCCGCACATCTCTCCAGGCTTTGATTTCTTCCTTTGTGAAAAGAAGGTGATGCTATCTACCTGTCCTGGAAGGGATGTTGGGCAGTGAGGCCACCTGTCTGGAAGGGGTCCGCCGTCCTGGCAGGGTCCACTCATCTCTTCCCTGTTGACAGGCCCCCTTCACTCTGCTGCCTCTCGCTAGTGCACCTCCAGGGCACGATTCCTATACGGATGTTTGCTCTTTCTGCAGACCCAAAATGCCATCACAGCTCCTTTCTGCCTGCCGGTCTGTGACATTTCTTAAAGGCCCTACAGGAGCCGGGATGTCAGCACTTCCTGTTGCCTGCGGCCTTCTGTACACAGGGCCTTTAATCTCAACCATGACCTGTCCCAGAGCCAAGATGGACAGAGAAAGAGATGCTGTCTCTCCAGGCTGAGAAGGTGGAGCAGTGCACCCTGGTGGAGAAAGAAGTGACTATTTTCCCTGCTTAAATCCTGGCTCCTGGCCCGGCATTCTGTGAATCTCTCCGTGAAAGCACCTTGTCAGCCTTCACAGTCAGCCCTGATTTTCAGGCCAGCTTCCCCTCCAGGGAGTGGCTCTCAAAGGCTTTCTTCGTCCGCGGCCGGATGCTAGCACCGAGGCACACAGTAGGTGTGCAGTAAATGTTGTTGGAAGGAAGGAAGTGGGTTTCCGTTTGGGAAAGGAAACTGGGAGGTAAAAAGCTAGGAGCTGCTCCCTCCATCTAAATGACTTCTTTTTTTTTCACCTCATTACTAACATTTTTCTCCGAAGTAGAAGTCTGCCCAGAAGACATGCTCAGACTCTAGGACCTAACTAGTCTCTTCTGGAAATCCAAGTCCAGCTCTTTTCCTCATTATCCCGGGAAATTCTGCAGACAGAGTGTGGTCACCAGAGGCAGAGGGGTTCCATCAGTTCTTCCTCTTCAGGCTCCTTTCTGCTCCACTTGTCTCTACCAGCAATGCTGCTTGGGCAAGGCTTCATAGCAGGGGGTGAATTCTGTGTGCATGAGTGCGGGAGATGGAAACTCTACAGAGATAGTGACAGGGCTGAGGGAGACAGACTTCAAAAGAAAGAGACAAGACTGAGGTAGAGAGACAAAGAGAATGAAAAAGAAACAGAGACACTCAGAGACTGGAAGTGGCTGGCATATTAACAGACACACAGGCACACATGTAGGCATGCATGCACGTGAGTCAGGGCACTGCCATGGGTCCTGCCCTGAAGCAGGGGGTGTGCAACCCTGCCTAGACCCAGTTGCCCCTTGCTATGAGTCTCCCATCACCCCCAAAAGCCATCCTGAACACCCGCAATTGTGACCCAGGCCTGTGTGAAGGAATCAAAGTAACCAGAGGCCCCCTTTCATCCTCTAAATGGTCCTTCTTATAAACGCCCAATATTTATGGGCAATTATTGATCATGTCGCCAATACAGACGGGGAGATAAACAGCGAATAAATCCATAAACAATAAGACTAGTGGTTTGAACAATTTGTTCCAGTGACATTTATTTTGGAAGGAAAGAAGCCCATTATTCCCATTATGCCCTGTTTTAATTTTATTTATTGGTGTTAATGGTTTTCTCCAGCTCTGGCCAATGGTAGAATTATTGGGCCAGTCAGAGCTGCATGGCGGGAAATGCAAGAAGACACGAAAATGTGCAGGATTTTTAGGGTTTTTACTCCTCAAGTTCCTAGGGTACTTCCCAGAATAAGACAACAAACGCCACATGCCAGATACTACCCTGAGACTCTGACTTATTTTAACTTGTTTAATCTTACAACAGCTCAATGAAGAAGTAAGGGAAACTGAGGCACGGCGGTCAAGTCACATAGCTGGCAAGAGTCAAAGATAGAAAAGATCCCAGAAATAAACCCAGGCGATATGTGTCAGGAGACCACACATTCTTAACCACTTTGCCCAACTCAAGCACAAGTTGTAAAGGATCACATAGTAAATATTTTGGGCTTGGCAGGCCGTATGTTCTGTTACAACTACTCAACTCTGCCTTTGTAGGAGGAAAGCAGCCACAGACAATATATAAATGAATACATGTAACTGTGTTCCAATAAAACTTTATTTATAAAAACATGTGGCCGCTGCATTTGACCTGCGGGCTGTTGTTTGCCCACCTGTGCCCTGGGTGTGGCCTCTTTTAGCTCTAGGTAGACCCGAGCCTCGGGTGTTCCTTTTGCTGAGCTTCAGCCTGCCTGTCTTTGGCTCAGCCAAGGTGAGGGAGAAGGGAGCCTCCCATGGGATAAGAGTGAGTTTCTAAGATTCTGTTCTCCCACCCCCATGTCTCTCACCAGCCAGTACCCTCCTCGGGGGGTGGCTCCATGAGCTCTGCTTTCTTGGCAGGGGTCAGCCACCTCTCTCCTCTCCTCAGATAGGTTTTAGGGAGACTTTCCTCCCATTCACCTGACAGATCATCCTCTGAAGGTGCCACGCTCAGTACCTGGCACCCAGGTCACCCTCAGTAAGTGGCAGCTCCAGTCATATTTGCACCCTTCGACTTTGCAGAGGCCTCGTGTGGCCTGGGAATTGGGAGTCTGTATAACGTGGTGGCTAAGAGTGGGGGCTTTGGTGCCCATCTAGGTCCTGTCATGGGAGCGTGGACACAGTCCTCTCTCGGCCTCAGCTTCCTTTCACATGGCCATCACGATCTCTAATTTAGTGAAGATTAAAGGCAAGAATGCACCCAAAACCCAACACCTGGCACAGAGGAAGTGCTCTGCAAGTAACAGTTGTTAATCAAGCAGGCTTTCTTGCCCTCTCCCTTGGAGATGCTCCTCGCACCCTCCATCCCCCTTCTCAAGGAGGCAGAAATAGGCTGAAGAACAGGGTGTGCTCCACATGGAAAATGGGTTCCTCCAGGTCCCAGCAGAGCAGCTGGAGAGAGAGGAAGCCATCTGGACAGACATTCAGCCCCTTCCCTGCCCTCCAGTGTCTGAGGGGATGGGGGAAATCTCAGGATACTGGACATCTGCAGGTCCATTAGCCCCAGAGGCCAGTTTGTGCCCCAGAATTTCTCTTTGCTGAGAGCTGGGTGTGTTTTCCCCAGAGAGGACAAACTGGATCAGGGTGGGGCTGGGTGGAGTATCTGGGTTCACCCCCTGGCCCCTGCAGGCCTGCTGCTGGCCTATTGGAATCACTTCAGCAGGCCAAGCATGAAGCATGAAGAGATTCACCTCCCGCCCAGTGGGTAATTTATTCATTTCCGTCTGAGACAGCTGGGTCTTGACCTCTTTAATTAACCAACGTGGTGGCCTCCACAACAAAGTCGATGGTGGCTTGGGAAGCCATTAAGAGATAAGTCTTGCCTAGGAAGGCACGGGATCAGGAGATCTCACTGAAGAAGTAATAATCTTAATAACAATCACAATAATAATTCTAATAGGTATTATTAGTATTCTGCCAATATTAAGCCCTGTGTCTTTTCATTTAATTTTCCCAACAATCTTATTGGCAGATTCTTTTTCTTAACTGCATTTACCAGTGAGGAAAGAGCTTTAGAGAGAGTAAGTGGCTGGTCCAGAGTCACATAAGTAGAATGACTTATGTGGTATGCCATCTGTGACTTTGCTAACAGTAGTGTAATAAAGTAGGGGCAGTTGGAGTTGGGGTGGTGGACATCTGTTCCCCCTTCTTCTGCTGACCACCCTAATTTTCCTTTGGGAATCAACCCCTCCCTCCGAGGCAGTTGGTGGGGGTTACTCCCTTCTCTGGCTCCAGGGGTGACTCTGTGGTCCTGGCTTAGCAGATGAGTATGATCTATCTCTGGGTTGCAGAGATGGGGTCAGACACGGGCTGGTGGCCCAAGCCAAGAAGACCAGAGCCTTCCTAGCACTTTTTGTTTGTTTTTGAAATGGAATCTTGCTCTGTTGCCCAGGCTGGAGTGCAGTGGCGATCTCAGCTCACTGCAACCTCCGCCTCCCGAGTTCAAGCGATTCTCCTGCCTCAGCCTCCCCAGTAGCTGGGACTACAGGCATCCGCCCCCATGCCCAGCTAATTATTGTATTTTTAGTAGAGACAAGCTTTCAACATGTTGGCCAGGCTGGTCTCAAACTCCTGACCTCAAGTGATCCACCTGCCTTGGCCTCCTGAAGTGCTGGGATTACAGGCCTGGGCCACCATGCCTGGTCTCCTCCTACCACTTTTGAAGGACTTTCCAGGAGAGAGGAGCTGCCTTTCTGCTGGAGTGGCTAAGTTGAGATGACTCTGAACTGGAGATGTTATGTATATCTTTGCCACCACATGAACACAGGCTGTCTGAGCATAGAACAACATGGAGAAAAGGCTCCCAGAGATGGACACAGAGTGCCGGGGGTGTCATGTGAGCCCCCAGATCTGCCTTCTTGAAGTCAGAATTATCTCTGGACTTTTCTGTTGTGTATGTCAATACCTGTCCTTTACTTGTTGGGCTGGTTTGAGCTGGTTTCTGTCACTTGCACCCAGAAAAGTCCTACCTGATACATGATTTTCCCATTTCAAACTACAGTTACATCTGCAAGAAAGACTCGGATTACACTCCCACCCTACCCCTTCCCTCCTGAGGTTTGAACACTTCAGTCCTCATGGGACCTAAAGAATCGGGCCAACTCTTGGCTTTTTCTCTGTGTCTTCAGCAACAGCCTCCTTCCTGATGGCTTCCATACCAGAAGCCACACTGCTCCTGTCATTTTCACCAGAACATTCCTCCAACACAGAACCAGTTGTACCTGCAGAAAGGTCCAAGGCCTTGGTTTTGTGCCTGGCTCCCAGCCTCTCCCCGGCCCTGCTGGGTGACTCCCAGCTCCCAGCTCCCAGCTCCATGCCTCTGCTCACAGGGATTTCTCCACCAGGGCTGCCCTCACCTGTCCTCGCCAGAGGAATTCCATACTTTGTGGAATGTGGCCTCCTTTGTGAGGTCCCCCTTCTGCAGCCTGTGCAGGCCTAGATCATTCCCTCTGCGATGTGTGTGCATGTCGGAGGGAGAGGAGTGTGGTGGCCAACAGCATGGATCCTGGAGCTGGACTGCCTGGCCATAAAGCTTCTCTCTACCGTTCATAGCCTTGCCACCTTGGGCAGGTTACCTCACCTCCTTAGGCCTCAGTAGTTCACTGCAAAATGGGGATGATAAGACCTCCCATGCAAAGTTATTGTATTTAAACCAGCTAATCCATGTACAGTACTTGGCACCATTCTATAGACACAGTCAACCCTCCATATGCGTTGCCCAGTTTTGGGACTGCTGTTTGTACTGATTACGTAGAACTTGTTCACATCTCTTGTACAGTGCAGTCCCTGACTCCTTTTACTCTCAATCATTGATGTGACTAATTTATCTGATAGGCTGTGAACTTCCTGAGACAGTGTCTAATCATTTCTGAATGCCCAGTTCCATGCAGACTGCCTGGTGCATAGAAGGTGCACAGCTTGGACAACAGCACTGTCCTATATTGTGCACCTACTACGTGGCAAGCATCATGGTAGATGCTTTGCACACATTGTCTTTTTCAAAATGCACACTGTCAAATCCCAAAGAACTTATTACCGTCCTCATTCTTTTGAGATAAGGGAGGGTCAGACAAGCCAATAAGATAGGCAACTTGCCTAAGGTCACATGGTTGGAAAAAGGGCAGAACTGGGATTCAAATGCCAAAGGCAGGGTTGCTCTCCCCACAACCTCTATGTCTTTGTCTCCCCAGGCCACACCCTTGGGGGAGCAAACCTCTGAGCCTCCAGAAGCAAGGGATTGGCACCAACTGTAGGAAATGTCTGCTCCGCTCCAGGGCACCTGCCCTCTGGGACTGCAGGCTGGGTGGGGGCTGCCAGTCCCCCAGGCAGGCTTGTCGGCTGCCCACTTGAAGTCTCACCAGGACTGCCAGTAGTAGACAGGTAGGTCTCCTCCAAGGGGGAGCAGCTGCCCCAGCACCAGGAAATGTTGGCAAATGATGACTTCGAGCATCCCCCACCGCAGGGAAGTGCCAATGAGGAAGTTAGGCCCCTGGGTTCTGGAGGCTTCAACATTCCTATGGGAAGCAGCAGGGTCTGTGTGTAAAGATGGAGTTGAGCTCAGGAAGAGGTGTGCACACCATGGCCATAAGACAGAAGCCCCTAAACCTCCAGGTGCCCAAGGGCAGACAGGCAGATGCACAGATTTGGGCAGATGCTGAGCAATGGCAAACTCCTCCCTAGCCTGTGCAGACCTGGGCGCAACAACCTCACTGACTTCACCTTCCACCACCAGCTACTACCCCTTTCCTGCTTGAGCTGCTCTGCCCTCCTCTTTCTTTCCTCCTGTTCCCCCTTCTCAGAGATTCTCCACTGACCCAATCTTTTCCTCCCCTGCCCTTCACTCCTGAAGGACCCGGCATTCTCTTGGGAGAAGTCTGCCCTGACTCCCAGGCTATCTCCATGGTGTATGTCAAACTGTTTTGAAAATGACTATCTGTGCAAGTTTTCCCTTTCTGGTTAGAACCATGTATGATACCTCATCTTGTTAATCATTGTGTCTTTTTTACCTGACCCAATTAATGCTCACTGGATGAATCATCTAGAAGGACACTCTTGTACCCAGGCAGCCCACTTCCAGCCATGGACTCAGAATCCACTGCAGTGTAGAGTCAGTGTGGCATAGTGGGCAGGAGCAAAAGCTTTGCAGCCAGATTGCCTGGGGAAGTTATTAAATCTCTCACTGCCTTGGCTCTCCGTCTGCAGAGTGGGAATAATCATGGTGCTTTCCTTGTAGAGGTGATAGGAAGATTAAATGTGTTATTATATGGAGAGCACTTAGCACATCATACATGTTATTTTATGTACTTCAGTGATGATTATCATAGTTGCGTAGACAATGAGAACTTCAGCGATTGATGGGGGATATTCAGACTCTCTCTCCCATTTTACAGATGAGGAAACTGAGTCTTAGTGAAAGGGACTAGCTCAATATTACATAGCTAGAAAATCTCTCAAGTCCATGCACCTTTGTCATAACTTTTCAGATCATTACCTTATGAGAAAAATGAGATTTGGGGCCAAAGAACAACATTCCTTTCTTTTTTATTCATTTTTCAAATATTTGTGTGGCTCACTGTTGATCATTGGAATGTGTTTTTTTGAATCAATAGATGAGTGAATGAAAGAATAAATGTTGAGGGGCCCCTGTGGTTAAGGAAAAAACCCTGCAGTGTGGGTTATCAAATCCCTAGCTGGCATGCCCTACAGCTCCTTCTTGTGCCCATGGCAGACATAGCTAATCAATCATAGCATGCTTTTGCCTGAGCCCGAACCCAGCCCCAGAATCCTTTTTATCACAGTCTAATTTCATTGATCAGGCCTGGTGCCTCAGATGAAATCTATTTGCCTTCCTGAGTCTGATCTCAGGAATCTCTTCGATTATGTGGTTTCCTTCTTTCTTTCCTTTCATCATTCTGTCTCAGGCTCTTTCACTCCTATTTCCCACCCTCCCCACCTCCATTTTCCCCTCTGTCAATCATGTGTACCTGGAACCATAGCCCTTTCCATTCTTGGGGGGACGTACCCGAGGGCTCGAGGCTCCCACTTCCCTGCTTCGATGGAGAAGGCGAGGTGGTCCAGCAGGTGCCGTAGGTCCCTGACCCAGCTGACCACCACCCTGGGCCAGCTTCTGACAGTCCCACCTCCCAGTTGCTGGAGGGGTAGTGGCCTCACAGACGGCCCTCCTCTAGATGCAGTGGGCCCAGAGGGTGAGACGGAGTGTTGCGGGCCGCCAGTGGGCCAGCTGCTCCTGCCCTGCGCAGGCTCTGCCCCTCCTTTGAGGAAGTTTGCCATCAACTCTCCCTGCCCTGTTAAACAATCTCACAAGGAAGGAGGAAGTTTATTCTAAGTGCTCACGGGGCAGGAAATGAGTCTAAAGTCTTGCCTGGCTGAGGAGTGGCTTAGGGCCTGGCTGGGGCCTGGGGAGAAGGGCCATGCCTGTTCCCTTCCTGTAGAGCTATCCTGACCTTGGCAAGGGAGGTTTGGGTGGGAATTCAAGCAACTTAATCAGGAATGAGATACCACAATCTGCCTTCGAAAACAGCCAAAAAACCTTACAAAAAACCCGACCCTGTGCTAACAACCTCCCCAGGCGCTGGGAGGTGTGGGGCTGGTAGAGCGAGTAACTGCAGCTGATGATCACCTGCTTTGAGGTTCTGGACTAGAGTGTGGGGGGGTGCTGGAGGGGCTGACTGGAAAGAGGGGAACCCAGGCAAGAAACTCAGGACAGGAAAGATGGAGGAGGTCAAAGGCAACTGCAAGATATTGAGCTTGGATGATGGAAAAGGGAGGCTTCTTGGTCAAGAGTGAGGAAGATGGGGGAGAGGAAGTGGTTTGGGAAAAGATTCTGGATTTGGGTGGGGCATATTGAATTAGAGGTTAAAGGTGGAGGGGGTGGGGTGTGGAGAAAGGGAAAGACGGAGAAAGAAAAGAAGGGCTGCTCAGTGGCAGACTTTTAGTGAAATGGTGAATGCAGCCTTTGTCTCCCTTCTCTCTCCTTAGGACCCAAGGTGCACTGAGAGGGGCTCAGCTTCCCCCTCCCCTGATCCAGCACTCCCAGTCTTTGTCACAAATCATGGTCTCTTTCCCAAGCGCTTTCCTCTTAGGAGGAGTTCTTGCCTCGGTCCTTGGCACACAGGCTCCTGGCAACTTCCTCCCTTGTTTGCTGACTCTGAATGCTTCCGTAGGCTGTGTGGCCCACTTGGAAGGAATATTCAGGGGCATGAGGTCCAGCAGCTGGTCAGGAAATGAAGATGCATGCCCAGGGAGCTGGTGCAAGGGAAGAGCAGGGAGCGGACCCTGTGTGATGAGGTGCCGGGAGTGGCCCCAGTTCTGCTGTTCCAGCTGCCCATCCCCAGGTAGGCACGTGGGCCCCCTCAGGATGTATCCCAGGGCGAGGCAGTGCTTTCCTTCACTCTGACTGGCTTTAGGACTGGTCCTGTCCTCTGTCCCATCTCCTTGCCTCTTGCTCTCCCTTATTCTGCTAGGACGGTTCTGCCCATAACTGGTGCCTGGGTCTTGTTCAGACCTGACCTGCAGTGTCACTTCCTCAGGGGGGCCCTCCTGACCCTCACTTCCAATATAAATAAGCACACAAGTGTAGGGGAGTAAAAATGGCTTTCTCTACCCTTCTAGCTGCCTTGGCTGGTCAGGAATTAAACTGACAGCAGGGAGAATAACAGGAGAAAAGGTACAGACATTTATCACATGCATGGGGGCATCCCAGGAAAGAAAAGGAATTCCCCACACCCAGTAAGATTTAGAAGCTTGTATACCCTCTTCACAAGGGAGAGAGGGGTGGGGTGTCAGCACCGTAGTGGAGAGTAAATGATTTCTGGGGAAGAGGAGTGGGCCCTCAGCAGGACAGGTGACGACAGCCTGTGACAAAGGCTATCTGGACGTAGTGTGGACCTTTAGACTCCTGTGAAACGAGCCAGTCCTTCCGGCTGATGAGATTCCCTGGGCGGAGATTCATGGCCACTGCGTTTGCTCTGGACAATCTGTCTTTAGACAGAAAAGGAAAACTCGGAAAGCCCCTCCCTGCAGTTGCTGTTCCCCAAGTGACCTCAGTTCAAAGTCTCAAAGTGGCATATTTTGGGGAGTTACTTCGGAACTCCTTCACAAGCAAATCATTTAAAATTGAGACATTCTGTGAAAGAACCCATGAAAGTGATTCCAGGAGAACTTTCCTCAGCAGGTGGTCAGGGAAGGCCTCTCTGAGGAGGGGTGCTTTGAGGAGCTGCAGTAACAAACAAACACAGACCAGCAGCTTCATAACACAGCTGTGAAGCTAACCACTCTGGAGGGCAGGAGCTTGATATGGGTCTCACTGGGTTGGAATCACGGTGCTGGCAGGCTTGCATTCCTTTCTGGAGACTCCAGAAGAAACATTTTTTGTCTTTTCTAGTGCCTAGAAGCCACCTGCATTTCTTGGCTCATGGCCCCTTCCTCCATCTTCAAAGCCAGCAATGTTGGGTCTCCATGACAATTCTTCCTTCCTTACATCTCCCTCTAACTCTTTTATGCTTTCATCTTCCACTTTTAAGGACCCGGTGACAACACTGGGCCCACTTGGATAATCCAGGTTACTCTCCCTATCCTAAGGTCAGCTGATCGGCAACTCTAATTCCATTTGAGACCTTAATTCCCCTTTGCTCAGTTATGTTATATATTCGCATGCTCTGGGGATCAGGATGCAGACCTAATCCCATTAGGGGGCCAAGAGTCTGCTAATCACAGGTGCAATTTTGTTTCCTTTTCGTTATCGAACTTAACAGCCTGAAATGATATTTCCTGACTATTGTTTACTTGTCACCTGTCTCACTCTTCTGGAAAGCGAATCCCAAGAGGGCAGGGATCTTGCAGGTGCTGCTCATTCACCCCTGTAATCCCAGCACTTTGGGAGGCTGAGGCGGGCGGATCATGAGGTCAGGAGATTGAGACCATCCTGGCTAATACAGTGAAACCCCATCTCTACTAAAAATACAAAAAATTAGCCGGGCTTGGTGGTGGGCACCTGTAGTCCCAGCTACTCGGGAGGCTGAGGCAGGAGAATGGCATGAACCCTGCAGGTGGAACTTGCAGTGAGCTGAGATTGCGCCACTGCACTCCAGCCTGGGCGACAGAGCGAGACTCCGTCTCAAACAACAACAACAACAACAACAACAACAACAACAACAACAACAACAACAACAACAAAAACAGTGCCTGGAACTCAGCAGGTGCTCAACAAAGACTTACTGAATCAATGGACAGGTGATTGAGCTTGAGCTCATTTCTGCATCAGAGTCAACACAGACAGTACTGGTCTGAGTGCCGGGAGCTGTGACCCCCACCGCACCCTGTGAAGTTGTGTGACCTGGAGCCTTCCTTTCCCCTCTCTGAGTCTCAGGCATTCTCACCCCAGCCCTAGGAGGAAGGGAAGGCACAGGGCAGCCACCCTGACGTCTTCAGATCTTGAAGGAGTTAATTGCTGTCATGAAGTCATCGCTTATTTCCTCCCAATAGCAAAAGCCCTGCTGAGGCAGCAGTAGCCTGAGCAGGTATCCGAGGATCACTCTCCCCAGAGTACACTCAGGGAGCAATCAGTGGGGTCTGGCATTGGTGCTGGTTCCTGGGCATGCCACCCCCTGCCCCACCACCCCCTGCTCTACTCACCAGCCCATGGCAGGTGGAGAACATGGGCCCTGGGTGAGACAGGCCTGCTTGTATGTCCTAACTCTGTTTGTGACCAGTGGGGTCACCTTGATGAGTAATTTCCCCTTCCCAAGCCTTCATTTTCTCTTCTATTAAGTAGGATAATCCGTTTATTACAGGGTGGTCAAGAGAATAAAGTAAGAGAGTACATTGGAAGGGCCTGGCCCATAGTAGATGCTCAGTAAATGCTGCCTGTTATCATCATTACTTCTTACTGGTGTAATATCACCTGTGAATCAGAATTTCCTGGTGAAAGAGACCAGAATGCCTTCTCTTCTGTCTCAGAGGGCAACACTGACAGAGTGGGTATCAGTGTCAAGTCTAGATACACGGCTTGGCAGGAGGTCTTGAAAGTACAATAATTGGTAATTCATCCTTTCCCTGGGGTGTTGGTGCCAAAGGCAGCCGTGGTGGCAGGGAGGAGGTGGGAAGCACCAACAGCCCTTTCATTGCCAATGAACTTGGACTCTGCCTCTGCTGCCAGCCAAGCTGTATATATACTTAGGGAAGTTATTGTAACACAAAAGTGTTGCAGGGAACTGACAACTCTCTGGCCCAGTGGTGCGGGGGTAAAATAGTTTACCAAGACAGTTGTAGGTAAAGAAAGGCAGGTTTATTGGAGAAAGTAGAAAAATACATTGCAAGGAGGGCAGCCTGCATGACAGAAGCCGACTGCAAAGAAACAAAGGCCGGCTGGAGATTTTATAGGACGGTGCAGATGCTGTGTGCTGAAGAGGGCTGTGCGCAGCACCACGACACCAAGCTTGCAGTGAGCTCACCTGCAGATGTCTGGTGACAGCTGGGCGCAGGAAGATGGTGACTTATTTGTGCAGGAGGGCTGTGTCCTGGACCATGAAGAAAGGCAGACTTGTAGCTCATCTGCTTTCTCCTTTTGCTTTCCCCTGGTCCCAACAGCCTGACTCCCTTTCCCTAATTAGGACTCCACAGAAAGCTTATTTCTCTTATTTAGTTATAAAAATAATACAGTCCCATCATGAAAACTTTGGAAGAAAACAAAAGTGTAAAGGAAACAAATCAGGCAAGTACAGTCTCCCTTGGGGCTGGCTGTTAGTGCCTTGGGCTATTTCCTTTCCCCGGTTGTGTTGTGTGGCTCTTCCCAAACATCCAGCTCGGTATCCTCCTCTCTTCACTTGTTGTTACAGTTGGGGCATCTCCCTGGGTCGTTAAAAACTTGTAAATGTGATTTCTTAATGACTGCAGATGATCACATGTCGCAAAGCACCATCTTCACCTCCCCTCCTCAACTCCTGGGCGCTTAGTTTCTGGGTGTGTGTGTATTAAAAGTACACCACAATGAATCTTTACAGGCATATCTTGTGACTTTGTGCACCTGTTTCCTTCTTTCTAAAAATGGCCCCTAAATCTATAAAAATTTTAAAATGGGACCAATAATTCCAGTCTTCCCACTCCACAAGGTTTTATGAGGCTTAAAGGAGGAAACAGATATCAAGGTGCTTTGAAAACCATGGAGAAAAGAGCCACCCAAATGCAAGGCCAGATTTTGAGCACTACCTGTTTAAGATAGGAGTGTGTGTGTGTGTGTGTGTGTGTGTGTGTGTGTGTGTGTGTGTTCCTCAACAGTTGGGAGATAGATGAGGGTGGAACTAGGAATAACAGCCACCACAGCATTCAACATTTATAGAGCACCTGCTGGGCACTCTATTAAACAAGACACATTCATGATCTGAATTCGTTCTAACTACCACATCGAGGGGGAGTACTATTATTACCTAGAACCTACAAATGGGGAAACTGAGGCCCAGAGCAGTTAAGCAATTTGCTCGTGGAGACCCAGCTTTCAAGTGGGAAGTTGAGGAGGGACACACATACACCCTTTCCCTGACAGCTGCAGGCATCAGCGATGAGGGCCCCAGAGCACTGCAATAGTGGATTCCCTGGGGCTTCAGAGCACCCAAGACCCCCAGCATTTCCTGAAATGATGTACTGTTCTTTACTGAGCACAGTCTGGTGTTCCTGGCAGGCAGACAAACTAATCTGAAGATTATTTCCCCAGAGCTGGGGTATGAGAATGCTTCATTCAAAGGGAAAAGCCCAGAGGAGAAAAACCCACCCCCGGCACGTCTGAGACAAAATGGCAGAGCGGACTCACTGTATGTGTATGTGAGTGTGTGTGCCTGAGGGTGTGTACCAAGTGTGGGTACCCTGAGACAGGTGTGTGTGCATGTGTATGCGTGTGAATGCACAGGAGTACACAGATGTGAGTGGCTGTATAGGCTGTATTTGACCTTCTGGGTGCCCAAAGACAGAAGAGTTGGCTCACCGATGGGATAAATGACCGTTGCATCGATTTTTCTAGTTCTAATCTTTGAGAAGAAACTAGACCAGGCAGTAATTTATTTACATTCCCTTCAGCATTTTTCACAGCAGCCACAAGCCTTGATAACAAAAGGAAGCCAGGTGCGCTCTGAAGCCAAGGGAGAAAGTCACAGAGCATGACTGCGCCAAGTGCTTCAGCAAGAAACTACCAACAATTTAGTTTCCCTCACCTCGGTAATTGACCACATCCAATGTGGCCACGTGTGCCTCATGGCCTGATTGGCTTTGTAATAAAGTCAGTGCCTTGGTGTAAGAGACGAAGTTGAGGATAGCATACTGAGTTACAAATTTCCCTTGCAACCATTAATAATTCATTCTTCCATTCATTTCTTTAATGCTACTGCCGTTCCTTTGAACAACAGCAATAACAAGCCATGAAATAGAAGCCTTTCCATCGGTGCTGAGGACTGGAGTGGGCGGTGGGCACAGGTGCTCCTGCACTCAGAGGCCTTGCTCACTGGTCACCAGCCACTCTGTCCACAGTCTGTCTCCAACTGTGGGTGGGCAGAGGTGTAGGGTGGCTGAGTCAGGTCCCAGTCTGATGGGTCTCACTGAGCTAAAACCAAGGTGTCACAGGGCTACATTCCTTTCTGGGGGCTCCTGGGAAAGCTCATTTCCTTGCTTCTTCTAGTATCTAGAGGCCACCCACTCTCCTTGGCTCATGGCTCCTTCCCCATCTTCGAAGCCAGTGAGGTTGCATCTTTATGGCCCTTCTTCCATTGTACCATCTCCCTGACGCTCATCCTTTTGCCTCCCTCCCTCTTTCACCTTATTTTTATTTTTAGAGATGGGGTCTTGCTATGTTGCCCAGGTTGGTCTTGAACTCTTGAACTCAAGCAATCCTCCTGCCTCAGCCTCCTGAGTACCTAGGACTACTGGTGTGAACCTTATGCCTGGCTCTTCTTTCACTTTAAAGGAGCTTTGTGACTACATTGGGGCCCCCAATAATCCAGGACATTCTCCCAATTTTTTTTTTTAAATCATACTTTAAGTTCTGGGATACATGTGCAGAATGTGCAGATTTGTTACATAGGTATACATGTGCCATGGTGGTTTGCTGCACTCATCAACCCATCATCTACATTAGGTATTTGTCCTAATGCTATCCCTCCCCTAGCCCCTCATCCCCCGACAGGGCCCGGTGTGTGTTGTTTCCCTCCCTGTGTCCGTGTGTTCTCATTGTTCAACTCCCACTTATGAATGAGAACATGCGGTGTTTGGTTTTCTGTTCCTGTGTTAGTTTGCTGAGAATGATCGTTTCCAGCTTCATCCATGTCCCTGTAAAGGACATGAACTCATCTCTTTTTATGGCTGTGTAGTATATGTGCCACATTTTCTTTATCCAGTCTATCATTGATGGGCATTTGGGTTGGTTCCAAGTCTTTGCTATTGTGAATAGTGCTGCAATAAACATACGTGTGCATGTGTCTTTATAGTAGAATAATTTGTAATCCTTTGGGTTATACCCAGTGATGGGATTGCTGGGTCAAATGGTATTTCTGGTTCTAGATCCTTGAGGAATCGCCACACTGTCCTCCACAATAGTTGAACTAATTTACACTCCTACCAACAGTGTAAAAGCATTCCTGTTTCTCCACATCCTCTCCAGCATCTATTGTTGCCTGACTTTTTAGTGATCGCCATTCTAACTGGCATGAGATGGTATCTCATTGTGGTTTTGATTTGCATTTCTCTAATGACCAGTGATGATGAGCTTTGTATTCTGTCTGTTGGACACATAAATGTCTTCTTTTGAGAAGTGTCTGTTTATATCCTTTGCCCACTTTTTGATGGGGTTATTTTTTTCTTGTAAATTTGTTTAAGTTCCTTGTTGATTCTGGATGTTAGCCCTTTGTCAGATGGATAGATTGTAAAAATTTTCTCCCATTCTGTAGGTTGCCTGTTCACTCTGATGATAGTTTCTTTTGCTGTGCAGAAGCTCTTTAGTTTAATTAGATCCCATTTGTCAATTTTGCTATTGTTGCAATTGCTTTTGGTGTTTTAGTCATGAAGTCTTTACCTATGCCTATGTCCTGAATGGTATCATCTAGGGTTTTTATGGTTTTAGGTCTTATGTTTAAGTCTTTAATCCATCTTGAGTTAATTTTTGTATAAGATGTAAGGAAGGGGTCCAGTTTCAGTTTTCTGCATATGGCTATCCAGTTTTCCCAACACCATTTATTAAATAGGGAATCCTTTCCCCATTGCTTGTTTTTGTAAGGTTTGTCAAAGGTCAGATGGTTGTAGACGTGTGGCATTATTTCTGAGGCCTCTGTTCTGTTCCATTGGTCTATATATCTGTTTTGGTACCAGTACCATGCTGTTTTGGTTACTGTACCCTTGTAGCATAAATTGAAGTCAGGTAGCGTGATGCCTCTAGACTTTGTTCTTTTTGCTTAGGATTGTCTTGGCTATACAGGCTCTTTTTTGGTTCCATATGAAATTTAAAGTAGTTTTTTCTAATTCTGTGAAGAAAGTCAATGGTAGCTTGATGGGGATAGTATTGAATCTATAAATTACTTTGGACAGTATGGCCATTTGCATGATATTGATTCTTTCTATTCATGAGCATGGAATGTTTTTCCATTTGCTTGTGTCCTCTATTATTTTCTTGAGTAGTGGTTTGTAGTTCTCCTTGAAGAGGTCCTTCACCTCCTCAATTTCAGAACTTGCTATTGCTCTATTCAGGGATTTGACTTCTTCCTGGTTTAGTGTTGGGAGGGTGTATGTGTCCAGGAATTTATTCATTTCTTCTAGATTTTCTAGTTTATTTGCATAGAGGTGTTTATAGTATTCTCTGATGGTAGTTTGTATTTTTGTGGGATCAGTTGTGATACCCCCTTTATCATTTTTTATTGTGTCTATCTGATCCTTCTCTCTTTTCTTCTTTATTAGTCTGGCTAGCAGTCTATCTATTTTGTTAATCTTTAAAAAAAAAAACCAGCTCCAGGATTCATTGATTTTTTGAAGGTTTTTTTGTGTCTCTATCCCCTTCAGTTCTGCTCTGATCTTAGTTATTTCTTATCTTCTGCTAGCTTTTGAATTTGTTTGCCCTTGCTTCTCTAGTTCTTTTAATTGTGATGTTAGGGTGTCGATTTTAGATCTTTCCAACTTTCTCCTTTGGGCATTTAGGCTATAAATTTCCCCCTAAACACTGCTTTAGCTGTGTCCCAGAGATTCTGGTATATTCTGCCTTTGTTCTCATTGGTTTCAAATAACTTACTCATTTCTGCCTTAATTTCGTTATTTACCCAGTAGTCATTCAGGAGCAGGTTGTTCAGTTTCCATGTAGTTGTGGGGTTTTTAGTGAGTTTCTTAATCCTGAGTTCTAATTTGATTGCACTGTGGTCTGAGAGACTGTTTGTTATGATTTCTCTTCTTTTGCATTTGCTGAGGAGTGTTTTACTTCCAATTATGTGGTCAATTTTAGAATAAGTGCAATGCGGTGCCGAGAAGAATGTATATTCTGTTGATTTCGGATGGAAAGTTCTGTAGATGTCTATTAGGTCTGCTTTGTCCAAAGCTGAGTTCAAGTCCTGAATATCCTTGTTAATTTTCTGTGTTATTGATCTGTCTAATATTGACAGTGGGGTGTTAAAGTCTCCCACTATTATTGTGTGGGAGTCTAAGTCTCTTTGTAGGTCTCTAAGAACCTGCTTTATGAATCTGGTTGCTCCTGTATTGGGTGTATATATATTTGGGATAGTTAGCTCTTTTTATTGCGTTGATCCCTTTACCATTATGTAATGCCCTTCTTTGTCTTTTTTGATCTTTGTGGTTTAAAGTCTGTTTTATCAGAGACTAAGATTGCAACGCCTAATTTTTTTTTCTTTCCATTTGCTTGGTAAATCTTCCTCCACCCTTTAATTTTGAGCCTGTGTGTCTTTGCATGTGAGATGGGTCTCCTAAATACAGCACACTGATGGGTCTTGACTCTTTATCCCATTTGCTAGTCTGTGTCTTTTAATTGGGGCATTTAGCCCTTATTATTTAAGGTTAATATTGTTATGTGTGAATTTGATCCTGTCGTTATGATGCTAGCTGGTTATTTTGCCTGTTGGTTTATGCAGCTACTTCATAGTGTCGATGGTCTTTACAATTTGGTATGTTTTTGCAGTGGCTGGTACCAGTTTTTTTTTTTTTTTTCCATATTTAGTGCTTCTTTCAGGAGCTCTTGTAAAACAGGCCTGGTGGTGACAAAATCTCTCAGCAGTTGCTTGTCTGTAAAGGATTTTATTTCTCCTTTGCTTATGAAGCTTAGTTTGGCTGGATATGAAATTCTGGGTTGAAAATTCTTTTCTTTAAAAATGTTGAATATTGGCCCCCACTCTCTTCTGGCTTTTAGGGTTTCTGCAGAGAGATCCACTGTTAGTCTGATGGGCTTCCCTTTGTGTGTAACCCGACCTTTATCTCTGGCTGCCCTTATAATTTTTTCTTTCATTTCAACCTTGGTGAATCTGATGATTATGTGTCTTGGGGTTGCTCTTCTCGAGGAGTATCTTTGTGGTGTTCTCTGTGTTTCCTGAATTTGAATGTTGACCTGTCTTGCTAGGTTGGGGAAGTTCTCCTGGATAATATCCTGAAGAGTGTTTTCCAACTTGGTTCCATTCTCCCTGTCACTTTCAGGTACACCAATCAATCAGGTTTGTTTTCTTCACATAGTCCCATATTTTTTGAAGGCTTTATTCGTTCGTTTTCATTCTTTTTTCTTTAATCTTGTCTTCACGTTTTATTTCATTAAGATGATTTTCAATCTCTGATATCCTTTCTTCTGCTTGATCGATTCAGCTATTGATACTTGCATATGCTGACGAAGTTCTCATGCTGTGTTTTTCAGCTCCATCAGGTCATTATGTTCTTCTCTAAACTGGTTATTCTAGTTAGCCATTCCTCTAACCTTTTTTCAAGGTTCTTAGCTTCCTTGCATTGGGTTAGAACATGCTCCTTTAGCTCGGAGTAGTTTGTTATTACCCACCTTCTCAAGCCTACTTCTGTCAATTTGTCAAACTCCTTCTCCCTCCAGTTTTGATTCCTTGCTGGAGAGGAGCTGTGATCCTTTGGAGGAGAAGAGGCATTCTGGTTTTTGGAATTTTCAGCCTTTTGCACTGGTTTTTCTTCATCTTCATGAATTTATCTACCTTTGGTCTTCAATGTTCGTGACCTTTGGATGGGGTTTTTGTGTGGACGTCCTTTTTGTTGATGTTGATGCTATTCCTTTCTGTTTGTTAGTTTTCCTTTTAACAGTCCGGCCCTTCTGCTACATGTCTGCAGAAGTTTGCTGGAGGTCCACTCCAGACCCTGTTTGCCTGGGTATCACCAGTGGAGGCTGCAGAACAGTAAAGATTGCTGCCTGTTCCTTCCTCTGGAAGCTGTGTCTCAGAGGGGCACCTGCCAAATGCCAGCGGGAGCCCTCCTGTATGAGGTGTCTGTTGACCCCTGCTGGGAGGTTTCTCCCAGTCAGGAGGCACAGGGGTCAGGGGCCCACTTGAGGAGGCAGTCTGTCCCTTAGCAGAGCTCGAGCACTGTGCTGGGAGATCCGCTGCTCTCTTCAGAGCTGGCAGGCAGGAACGTTTAAGTCTGCTGAAGCTGTGCCCACAGCCACCCCTTCCCCCAGGTGCTCTGTCCCAGGGAGATGGGAGTTTTATCTATAAGCCCCTGACTGGGGCTGCTGCCTTTCTTTCAGAGATGCCATGCCTGGAGAGGAGGAATCTAGACAGGAAGTCTGGCTACAGCAGCTTTGCTGAGCTGCGGTGGGCTCCGTCCAGTTTGAACTTCCCCTTTGTTTACACTGTGAGGGGAAAACTGCCTACTCAAGTCTCAATAATGGCAGATGCCCTTCCCCCCACCAAGCTCGAGCATCCCAGGTCGACTTCAGACTGCTGTGCTGGCAGCGAGAATTTCAAACCAGTGGATCTTAGCTTGCTGGCCTCCATGGGGGTAGGATCCACTGAGTAGACCACTTGGCTCCCTGGCTTCATCCCCCTTTCCAGGGGAGTGAATGGTTATGTCTCACTGGCATTCTGGGCACCACTGGGGTATGGATAAAAAAACTGCATCTAGCTCAGTGTCTGCCCAAATGGCCGCCCAGTTTTTTGCTTGAAACCCAGGGCCCTGGTGGCATGGGCATCCAAGGGAATCTCCTGGTTTGCAGGTTTTGAAGACCATGGGAAAAGCGTAGTATCTGGGCCGGAATGCACTGTTCCTCACGGCACGGTCCCTCACGGCTTCCCCTTGGCTAGGGGAGGGAGTTCCCTGATCCCTTGTGCTTCCCGGGTGAGGTGACACCCTACCCTGCTTCAGCTCACCCTCTGTGGGCTGCATCCACTGTGTAACCAGTCCTAATGAGATAAGCCGGGTACCTCAGTTGGAAATGCAGAAATCACCCGCCTTCTGTGTTGATCTTGCTGGGAGCTGCAGACTGGAGCTGTTCCTACTCAGCCGTCTTGCCCAGGTTCCCCCCATTCTCCCAATTTTAAGGTGAGCTGATCAGCAACCTTAATTTTACCTGCAATCTTAATTCTCCTTTGCCATGTAACCTATTCATAATATTTGAAGTGGGAAAATCACTTCAAATGTTTTAAGAATTATGAAAATAATACTTGTTTATGGTAAAATATTCAGAACAGTGCAGAGCTATATGAAATATCTATTTAAATGCTCATCTTTACTCACTCTTGAAGATGAACCACTATTCATAATTTCTAAGTATTTTTCTAGAATTTTCTATGCATTCACAAGCATATATATGTCCTTCTCTCTGGTTCTTTGTCTTTCCCTTTCTGTTTTTCTCTGTTTCTCTCTCCCTTTTTCCTTGCTAGCCAAGCAGCCATACATCAGCTGGCATGAATTTTACTCTCTGCCATGGGTATAAGAAATATCATATTTCTTTATATTTCTAAATCAGGTTAAATTTCACTCCAACCCTCCACTTGTCAGCGTGGTGAGAACTTCAGTATCTACCATAATTTAACTTCAGTGCCAACCATAAATTCCGGAGTTTCTCTCATCCTTCTTAAGGCTGCCAAAAAATGGGGGTGTGGGGGCTTAGTGATGTTATGGAAATAGGATCGGATGTCTCCTTTTCTTTCCACATAGTCACGCATTTTAAAATAGTATCCTGGGAATGGTTCTGATGAAAACAATGTAAATAAACAAACCCACATAGAGACGAAAGACTGCAAGAGATGCAGCAAACTGCCAAATGGCTGTTTCCTGGAGGAGGTGTTTTGGCGATTTTAACTTTCTCCTTGATACTACTCTCTCTGTTCTACAGGTAACAGATGTAACTTTGGAATCATCATAATAAAGTTCAGGATAAGTACTCTATGTGGCTTCTCCACCTGCCTTTCCTTTCGGCTGAGTGTTTGCCCAACTTCCCAGGGGCAAACCCTCCTCGGGCATGGGCACAGGTTTAACAACGCTGGGAAATCCTCAGGATGTGAACCAGAGGCAGCTCCTACTGTGTCATCACTGCCTTCCTAGGTTTAAGGAAGTGTCTGGGTGGGGCAGGGATTTAGAGATCCTGGAAGGAAGCCTTTATGGACACCTCATAGCTTTTTTTATTGGGGTTTACAGCTGTTGTCCTTTTATTCAAAGAGGGAGTACTCACCCTCCCTGGCTTCCAGGCAGCTGGGCTGGCTGGAATTTGCCCTCTTGTCCTGGCTTCTCCAGTGACTTAGGGGAGGCAGAGGCCCCACTGAGGTAGGTGACCTGGAATTTCCCTCCTAGGAGCCAGGCTCTGAGTGGGTGGGCCAGCCAGGCATGTGGGCTGGTGGGTCTTCTCCCAGGGGCAGCCTGAGGGTGGGAGCAGCTCAGAGAACGCAGACATTGAGCACATCTGGGGACCAAAAGGACCCCTGGGAATTTCCTTTTGCAGGTTGTGCACAGGCAGCTTTGGAGTGGGGCAGGGAAGGCCGCTGCTCTGGTATAACCAAGCCTTATGGCATTCCTCGGTCCAGCTGTTCATCGACAAATGCTTAATGAATACCTTCTCTGGGCCAGAAAGCAGGCTGGGGTCTGTGGATATGAGGAAAAGCAAGAGGAGACCCACTTCCTGGTACAATCTGGGGTGGACACCATCAGAGGGATGCTGCCATTTGTTTCCTTTTGCCTGTCTTGCTTTTTTTTTTGGCTTTGTCTCCCATGCCTAAAATATAGTAGGAGCTCAATAAAAATGTGTGAAAAGAATGAAAAATGTGTTTCCTGCTAGTTGGAGTAATCAGTCCATCCCTAAAGAAATCTGAAAATCAAATGAAATGAAAGGATTTTATTTCTGATTCTCATAGATCATCGTCATCATTATCATCTCATCTTCATTGTCATCTCCATCATGATCATAGCTATGGGTGAGGCTCTTTTTTTCTTCATGCTTCCCTGTCATGCTCACATTTCATCATCACTAAGATGCCTGGGAGGAAGCCGGCCTCACCCATCACTTTAGCATGCATGTGGTCTGGTTGCCTGTGTTCAAATCCCGGCTCCTACACTGAGCAGCAGTGTGAGCTTGCTTGGGCAAGTCATTTTGTTTTTCTGAGCCCCGATGTCCTCTGTAAAATGAGGCTGTTAAGAGAGATGCCCCATCGGGTTGTTGTGAGGATGAAATGAGAAGATGCAGATCCAGTGTGCAGCAGGAAGCCTGGCTCAGCAGGGACTGCTTCCGCCCTTTTAGCCGCTGTCTTTCCCTGTGCTCTCCTTGACTTCACTGCCCTCCTCCTTTGCAAGAGGTCCTGACGCTGAGGGAGGGCTTGCTGCCTCAGGGGTGGGGCCCACATCTCTAGGGCTGTGGAGGGTGCTGGAACCAGGACTCAGACATGGAGCAGCAAAGGGAACACTGTGACTGATACTGTTCTCCAAATGCCTCCTTCCTCATTCAAATCCAAGGAGGCCCAGCGTGGGGCTGGGTGACCAGACCAGGGACAGGGTGATGTCGAGGACCAGTGTCTCACCACATCCTCCTAACATCATTGAGAGCAGAACCCAGGTCAGAAATCACCCCATTCAGACCCTTTCAGTGTGAGCGAGAAACCATGCCCCTCCACTCCTGCAGGACTTTGTGGGTACCCTGAGGCTTGCTCTTGACTCACTGATTGTCCTCTACCTGTCTCCACCAGTGCTGGGCTGATAAATGTTTGTCAATTAACTCTCCAGAGAAAAAAATGTATACTTGTCTGTACATACATAAATGGGTTATGTTTTACTGGTATTGAGGTTGTGTAGCAAACACATACCTTGAAATTTAAATAATAATAAGATATATAATACCCACTGTAAATTCCACACAGCCAATTGGCCTACAGCATACTTTCACTCATTTTTGCCAGCTTCTTGAATTAGCCAACCTGTAGTTGCAATTTAACCATGATTTGACAAAAGTAGACTGTGAATATATGGTTGCTTAGTTTCCCATTTAGCGAAGAGGTCTCTCAGGTCATCAAATGAATGAGTGTAGTTTTGTCATGAACATTGGTTGATGTTTTCATTTATATTAATGAATAAGATGAAAGTGAAACAATGAAGACACAGTCAATACTCCACTCAATCACAGTGACATGAATGACTTCTTTGCTGAATCAGATAACAGTTTTTGAATACTGGAAGAACATTTCCTTTTTTTTCCATTCACAACGTAATGGCCACAGACAGCCCATACCTTAATGTTTAATCTGCATTATTAACATTTTCTCTATCCTTTCTTAAGCCTAGGGTTTAGACAATCAACAGAACAAAAAATCAAGCTCCAATTTATAGTGTTTGTCAATTTCCATGATGTAAATGCACACGCTATGACTAATTTCAAGCTACCACTGTGAAATCACTAATGTGTAGCTGGAAAGATATGCACAGTAGCACACCACTATGTGATATTTCTACCATGCAGATACACTATATGTAAATAACTTCAAGAGCATAGATAATAGTAAGAGGTAGAAAAATCATTGGGAACTGACGGGTTTTGAGTGTTTGGTTTTTTTTTTTTTGAGACCAGGTCTGATTCTGTCACCCAGGCTGGAGTGCAGTGGTACATTCACAGCTTGACTTCTCAGGCTCAAGTGATCCTCCCACCTCAGCTCCCTGAGTAGCTGGAACCACGGGCATGCACCACCACACCCAGAAAAAATTTTAAAATTTTTTTTAGAGGTGGGCTCTCCATATGTTGCTCAGGCTGGTCTCGAACTCCTGAGCTCAAGCAATCCTCCCACCTTGGCCTCCCAAAGTGCTGGGATTACAAGTATGAGCCACTGTACCTGGCCAACGTTTGTTTTTAATATAATGTGTTTACTTGTAAGTTAAAATAATTTAACTTTTAATAATGACTGTTTAGCTACTGGATCACAAGATTCCCAAAAATTTAACAATTGGCTCTGGCAAGCTGGTATGAACTGGCTCCAGCATACCACCGAGGCTCTCCGCAATCTGACTGATTCCTCCAGCTGGGCAGGTCTTTATCCTTCTCTGGTCACATGCTTAGCGCAGTGTCTGCCACTCTGGCAGCCTTCCATAAATATGTGCTAACGAAGGAATGACTTGCATTATCTGTGTGCCATCTGTCCTTGTCTGTAAGCTCCTTGAAAGAAGGACCAGGTTACAGTCATCTTTGAATTCTCAGGACACCCAGGGCTTGGCACATAGTAGGTATTCAATAAATTGATGAATGACCAAGTTTACACCCTAGGGAGTATCTGAAATGCTTTGTCTGGGAGCAGAAATGAACCACAAGTGCCACAAGAAGGATGTTACAAAGGGTGGGAAATGATGAATCAAAGAGTGGGCAAGTAATGCGTCTCTGGTTGCTATTTCTGTCCCACTCTTCCCTGGGATCAGCTCATGTCACTGCCTGCATTAGTTATCTATTGCTGCCTAACAAATCACCACACTCTTAATGGTTTAAAACAACACATACTTATTCTCTCACAGCTTCTGTGGGCCAGGAGTCCAGGTGCATCTTAAACAGGCCTTCTGCTTGGTGCCTCACAAGGCTGTGATCAAGGCATTCATTTGGTAGCATTCTCATCTGGAAACTTGACTGGGGAATAATTCACTTTCAAGTTTATTTGTGTTGTGGTGTGACTGAGGCTGTCACGCATTCCTGTGGTTGTGTGACTGAGGCCCTCAGATGTCTGCTGGCTGTTGGCTGGAGGCCGCCCCCAGGTCCTGGAGGCTGTGGCCCTAGTTCCTTGCCATGGAGACTTCCTCAGCAGGGCTTCTTACTTCATCAGGCCAGCAAGAACAATCTCTCCGGGAGGGCGTAGTCTCTCTTCTAAGATTCACTAGATTCACTGGATTCACTAGATTAAGTAGATTAAGTAATTATGATTCACTAGATTAAGTCAGGCCCACTGAGGATAATCTCTCTGTTGAGGAACTCCACATAAACTGATATGGGCCATTAAATCAGCAAAATCCCTTCATGTTTGTTATATTCTATTGGCTAGAAGCAAGTCACAGTTTCCACCCACACTCAGGGGAAGGGATTATACTGGATGTGAACACCAAGTGGCGGAGATCCCTGGAGATCACCTGAGGGTCTTCTGGCCACACTGCTTTGTATCTCTGTCCCCACCCTAACACAGAGTATATGTAGCTTTAGCCCTTGAGTAGAGTCAGCCAGTGACACTGGTGTTCCCTCACTTCAGGACATTTTGCCTTCCCCTTGTTGAGTGGTTGATCTCTATAATTTTGATATTTATCTCATGCTGATGTTGGATGTGTGGGAGGAGCCGAGTGGTTCTCTTAGTGCCAAGATGTCTGGTAAACCCAAGTCCTTTTGTACTTATGGAGCAGGTGCTGAGTGTCCTAAGACATCAAGAGGCCTCAGAGAAAAAGAAGAAATTGCCAAAACAAACATCCCAGGCTTAGAAAAAATTAAAGTCAGAGTGGTAGGTAGACTCCTCCCCTTGTTTTCACCTGGAGTGCCATGGTGATGAGAGGGGGTTTTGGAATGATGCAATACAATGGAAAAGTGGGCTCAATGACTTGAATGGATCTTTGAAATGCACTGCAATATCAGGAAGGCAGGGGATGTCCATCATCTTATTTCCATGGGGGCATCGGGAAGGCCTCCTGGTATCAGTGAAATTGTCCATACTGTGAGTTCAATTTGTTTGCATTTTTTTAATAGCAAAACCCTCCAACCTTAAGGAAGTCCAAATCTGAAAAGCGGGGTCCTGGTATCACTCACAACTACAAAATTGGGGAGTTTGCCGCTTCATCCATTTCCACAGCGAATACTTCTTGATCCACAACTATGTGCCAGGCCCCATGGGAGGTATCAGCAATAGAATAGAAAACAAACTGACCTCCTGGGATTCCCAGTCCAGGAGGAAGCCAACAAAGGACTTATGCAACAAAAGTATTACCCAGTGTGAAAAGAGCTTTGACTAAGACAAAGTTAAAAAAGAAGAATCCCAGCACTTTGGGAGGCCAAGGCGGGTGGGTCACCTGAGGTTGGGAGTTCAAGACCAGCCTGACCAACATGGAGACACTCCGTCTGTATTAAAAATACAAAAAATTAGCTGGGCATGGTGGCATGCGCCTGTAATCCCAGCTACTCAGGAGGCTGAGGTAGGAGAATCCCTGGAACCCAGGAGGCGGAGGTTGGGTTGAGCCGAGATTGCGCCACTACACTCCAGCCTGGGCAACAAGAGCAAACTCCGTCTCAAACAAAAAGAAGAAAAAATAATATAGGGGGTGTTACTTTAGATGGCATAACCTGGGGAAGTGTTTAAGAGAAGAGACATTGAAGTTGAGACCTGAACGATGAGAAGACACCAGCCATTCTAGGAGGAGGGACTCTAGGAGTATGCAAGTCCCAGAGCAGGAGAGTGCTTGGTGTGGTTGGGGCCCCACGAGTGAGGGGAGCAGGACCACATAATGTCGATATATTTGGAACATAAGATGGAGAGCATGTGATGGATTGGAATTGGAAGATGAGAGGAAGGTGAGTATCATGAATGACTCTTAGATTTTCACTTGAGAAATGAGTGGAGCCAGGGACTGAGACCCCGCACATTCCCCCACAACCTTCCTTTGGTGGGAACCCTTGGCACACTGGTATAGCATAATTCACTGGTACACGGGCTCCCCGCTTCTTCCACGAAAAGCCCTGGTTCACAGTGTTTGTTGATTCTGTGCTGTAAATACTATCTCACCACAGCCAGCTTCAAACCGTAAGCCCGTTCTCAAGAATCCTGAAGAGGTAGCAATCAGGTCTTGTGAGCCGGCAGCAGTCAGCCCCAGCAAAACAAACCAACACAGGGTCTCAGCATGTCCTCTCTTGGGAACGATTCACCAGGCGGTGGCTTTGAGGTCCCAGAAAACTCCCTGTCTTCCTTGTCACCTCTCTGCCTCTGTTTCTTCCTGTTTTCCTGCAGTCACCTCAGGTGGCAGCCGCAATGAAAAACGTACCATCTCACTGCTGACTGCTCTCAGGGAGCTGTTGCCTAGGTTTAACGACAATTGTCTAATTACTTCTTAGGAGCCCATTCCAGAAAATGCTGATAGATAAACTAGTGCAATTAACTGGTCTTTGTAAAGCATTTAGCAAAAGTCAGCCTGTCATAGAAGCCTTAATCTAGAGAGCACGTCTAGGGGAACCTGTCGTAAATGAAAAGAAGTGGGGGGGAATTGCCTCCCAGGACTAAGCAGAGAGTCTGCACCACCCAACCCAGTGCACGTGAATTCCCTTGAACAATGCTCCTTTAGACCCTCGGCCTCAATGTGTTCCATGTTAGACTCATCCGCATTTCTCTCAAAACAGTTTCTGTTAGGATTTTCCCATTCCCATGGAGGACACTGTCATTAACCCGGGCTCTCAAGCTCACAACCTGGAGGCAAATGTGACCGAGCCCTCTCTTTTGTCCTCTGCATTCCAATCAGTAGATTTGAGTAGATTCCAAGTTGTGGCATTTCTCACACCTGCTTCTTTATAGTTGTCCTCATCATCATTCTCAGGTCTTGGAGTCTCCAGCATCTGTCACCTGGTCTATCTCCCCATCTAACCATTCTCTGAGACAGAGAAGCCCAGACTCCCTTCCTGGCCTGCAGGGCCGTGGCAGGCATTATCTCTTCTGGCATCATCTCACGCCACTGGCCACTGATGCTCTTGCTCCAGCCAGGAGAGATATCCCCCTCCTCCAAGGTGCTGTGTTCTCTTTCGCTTTTGTATTTTTGTGTTTTCCTGCCAGAAACATGCTTTCCTATTGGATCAGTTAGGATCAGGTAGGTTATCTGGTGGTAACAAATTAACACCCAAATCTCAGTGACTTAACAAGGATGGTTTGTATCTCACTCTTGTGAGGTGCAATGTGGGTCGAGTGGTCCTTCTTCAGGTGGCTACTTCTTCAGCCAAGGTCACTGCGGCAAAGGAAGAAAGGATGGAGGAGGCACCTGGAACTTAATGGGATCAGCCCGGGAGTGGCTCCTGTCTATTGGCCAGAATTGGTCACATGGCCCTATGCTAACTGCAGGGCAGGCTGGGTAATGTAGAGGAGCATGTGGAATGCTGAGTGGGCACTGCTGCTTGGTGCCACATAGTTCTCTTCTTCTGACCCATTCTTTAGGTCTCTGTGAGAACTCACTTCCTCCAGGAAGTCCTCCCAGCCCCCAGCACTGGGTTCAAATTTCCTCCTATGTGCGTTCTATGCACACCCTCACCCTGAATGATCGGGCTGGCTGCTGGTCCTCTGCTCGTCCCGGGGCTTTGTGAAAGCAGGGACTGGGTCTGTCTCCTGCTCGGGGCTGCCTCCCCTCAGTACTCAGCATGGTGCCTGCCATACCGCATGGCCCAGTGAACCCTCCTTGAGTGGATGGCCATTCCCTACCCAGCCTTCAGAGCTCTCTAGAATCTGGACCAGTTCCACTGCTTCTCCCCGCTCCTCTGCATCCAGTTGCTCTGGATTTTAGGCATTTTATGTATAGTACGATGGGAAGTTTTTGGACTTTTGGTGGGGCAGCTCTAAATCTGATTGCCAGTTTCAGTGTTTACTTGTTACAGGGCCCTAGGCAGTTTACTTCATTGCATTGTGCCTCAGTTTCCTCATCTGTCAAATGGATTCCAATAGACCTGTTTAATTGTGCAGGTTCAATAAAAATGCTCTTAAAATGCATTATTATAGAACATGGCAAATATCATACTTCACTGATTCCCAAGTGCATTTTCTTTTTTTCACCTTTTAACATATCTGAAATTGGGATTCATCTTACCATAACTATTAAAAGAGCACTTTGTCATTGTTCAATTAGCAGTTTTTATTTTTTCTCAGTGGGACATAATTGTGTGTCTTATATTCCATGACATATGAATTAATAAGTGATCATTAATTACTATTATTTTGCCTCTGTAAATGACTTCCACCTCCGATAAATGTTAATTGGCAGACACTTCTCCTACCCTTCCAAGCTTTTTGATTGAAATGAATGTGAAAACTCAAGACCAGGATGGCTTCCCCATCACATCTTATAAGGGAATAGGTCTTGTAAGTTTTACCTATGTCTCCTCATCCAAGAGGCCCCCCTGCTCCTGTCTCACTCACTCTTTCTCTCCTTCTTTTGAATTTCTCCCAGTGTGAGCACTAACCAAGGTCTACCTGGGATATTATTAAAAAGTACTTTACTAAAATTAATCTCATCTAATTTTTGAGTGCTGATGATGTGCTGGGCACTATGCTATGCCCTTACTTGTACATCTCATGCAATCTCCACAACTTATGAGAAAAGCATTATTTCTAAGATGGGGAAACTGAGGCACAGAGAGGTTTGGTAACAGATGAAAAGACACACAGCCAGCAAATGAAGGACCTGAGATTAATTGGGCTCTTTATGATGGGAGATCACACTAAGCAGCCTCTGGTATATGTTTTGCTTTGTCTTTGGGGTGTTTATAACACAAGGACAACCACACAGCAGGTGCTCAAAATATCCTTGCTAGTGAATGGAAGAGGCCACTTGGTTAGGCACTTGGGTACTGTTAGCAATGTAAATCCTCAGTTGTCATTCTCCTACTGAATGCCCTATTACATTCCTCTGATCTTTGCCCAGAGAGAAAGAGTCTATTGCTTTATTTACAGCCCCTGCCTTTCCCAAAGCTGTCCTGCTTGAACATTCCCAATGTTATCTTTTGAATAAGTCCCCGCCTACCGCTTGTGTATGATCACATCATATCTCAGCCACTCTGCTCTGTGCAACCCATCCAGTTGTCTCAGAAGCATCTCCATGACAGCAGCTGGTGTTGTTGGAGGTTTGCCCAATAGCACAACAAAGGAAGAGTACACTTTGAGTTCCTGAAAACACTGAAACATACCATTCACTGCCCCCCACCCCAACACGCGCCAGTTGCTGCCTCTGAAAATCAGACTGATGCAGCCCCCAGGGCTGCTGAGAAGGTAAATTTTCTTATCTGTGGCCTCTGGACATGCACATGTGAGTGAGCCATGAGCAGGGAGAGGATGCTTACAGAGCTGGGGGAAATGGTGCCAGATTCTTTCCTTGGGTGGCAAGGGGACTGTGTAGGGGCAAGGGGACTGTGTAGGGGGATTGGTGCATTTAATAAAATGTGGCCTCCAAAGCCAAGTCTAATGGGGGCTCAGATAAAGTCCACTCCACTGCAAGTGGCTTTGGCTTAGTACAGATGATGTCTTGGGGAAGAAGGAAATAGAGGGGATGAGCATTGAAAAATACCTTTGCCGTGAATGGTGGGAGCAAGTTGGTGAAGGTACCAAAGGTGACAGTCCCATGGCTTTAGGTCACATTGGAGCTGAAGCCCTGGATGACCCGTTGCCTGAACATGCTGTGGGACTGAGCCTGTGCCTCCACTGGCCAAATCTCTGGGCCTGAGCAGAGGCAGCACTGTACTCACCTTCTCTTCTGCTAGTCCTTCTTTCCTCACTTGCTTCTTGATCTTCCCTGGCCATTTCTACAGGCAGTTTCTGTAGGGGAAAGGCAGCTGTGGTAGGTCCTTGGAGCAGTTTGTGGGTTTAGCTTTGGCCGAGGCCTCCTGCTCTAGGTTGAGCCTCGTGAGTTCATAATTTAGGGTTCAAGAGGGAATGTGCCTACTACTCTCTAGGTGTTCCTGATTCCCAGAGGTATTCCTGTGGAAGCTGGACAAACTCTGGAAGATACAGAGAGAATTCCTGAGCTGCTGGGGAATTGGGAGAGAATGGAGGGAATGAGATGGACTCTGGGTTCCTGAAAACTCTGATCTTCTATTTATCTGTCTGTCAATCAATCCACACATGGATGGTTTTTCATCAATCTATAGTGGAGATGAGTGTTCCCTGCCTTCCCTTCCTTGCTAGATGTTGCCTTTGACTACTCTGATTTGTCTCCTTTACATTTGATACCATCCCTCTCTCCTATCCAAGGTAGGTTCTGTGGTTACCATTTCAGTTCTCAGAGCTTTTGTCATGTGCAATCTGGCGAAGAGTTAGAGAGATAGCTGGAGAAGAAAGGGAGAAGGACATAGCCAGAAAGGCTGAGTTGAAATCAGATACAAAGGGCTGGAAGTGAGGGTGGAGGTGGGAGGGAGGAAAAAATTCCTTGAGGTCAGGGGTGGAGAAAGTTGGGGAAGTGTGGTCTAGAGAGGCTGCTGCCGGGTGTGAGAAAATTAAGGAGAAGAGCAGAGAGGACTTGAGGGATATTAACTGGCTCCTTTATCATGTTTCCTGAGAAACTCAAGTAAAAATTGGGATTCTTTTAAAGTTTTCTTTTAGAGATTGGACTACACTTATTTGAACATAACTGCAGAAATTGGGCCAGGGAGGCTCCTGAATCTATTAGAGTTATAAAGCATTCATTGTCTCAACCATGCCAGACTGTGCTAGGGACTGAGGGAACAAATAGGACTAAGAGGTAATTTATGTCCTGGAGGAGCTCATGGAATGCAATGATTCTGTCAGGTTGTCATCCTAAGATTGTAATATTTCAGAATTCCATTTTGCGGAAATTCTCAACCCCAACATGTGGACTGAGAAGTATACTTCCAGTACTTGAGTCAGGGGACAGAATGTCTTGGAGAAGGCAGTCTGTGTCTCCTCCTCTTCCTTCTCTTAGGAAGGGCCTGGTCTCTGGGTAGGTCCTAGGACCAAAGTCCAGTTGCCTTTGGGAGGATCCCTATCTGCCAACTCAGAAGATAGCTGTGATCATGCCACTGCATTCCAGCCTGGGTGACAGAGTGAGACCCTGTCTCGAAAAAAAAAAAAAAAGACTCAAGAGAGTATGAGTAAGTTGTATATGCATAAGCCATCTGATTGGGATATTCCCTCAATTGTTATTTCCACTGAACAACAATTCTTATCAAGGTCTGGGGCTTAGTTAAGCTAACAAGCCATTATCCTTCAACAGAGACTTTGAACATTGATCCTAGTCAATGAATCTACATCGCTACAAGATATTCTGCCCCCCAACTCAAGTGCTGGAAGTATACTTCTCAGTCCACATGTTGGGGTTGAGAATTTCAGTAAAATGGAATTCTGAAATATTACAATCTTAGAATGACTCCGAAGATACATTTTCCTGGAACAAAAAGCTCAGTGTGGTAGACCCATCACCCTGGCTCCATTTCTGATCTTTGTCCAGCTGTGTTCTCACTCTTGAGCCCCCTCTCTAGACAAACTTGGGCACCAGAGCAATGCCTGAAATGAGTTGCAGAGTCCAACTGTGGCCTAAATCTCCAAAGAGAGCTATGTAGATTCGTTGACTAGGATAAATGTTCAAAGTCTCCGTTGAAGGGTAATGGCTTGTTAGCTTAACTAAGCCCCAGACTTTGATAAAAAATGTTGTTCAGTGGAAATATCAATTGAGGAAATATCCCAATCAGAAGGCTTATGCATATACAATTTACTCGCACTCTCTTGAGTCTTTTTTTTTTTTTTTTTTTGAGACTGGGTCTCACTCTGTCACCCAGGCTGGAATGCAGTGGCATGATCACAGCTCACTGCAGCCTCAGGCTCCTGGGCTCAGATGATCCCTCCACCTCAGGCTCCTGAGTAGCTAGGACTACCAGCACCCACCACCATGACTGGCTAATTTTTGTATTTCTTGTAAGGACAGATGAGGCAGGAAAATAAGGTCTAGAGGCAGAGAACATAAGGCTGATTCACACTTCAGCTATAACAGAAAATATCCTCTCCATAGGGCATACACCAAGTATATAACTTTGTAATTTTACTTCATACTCTTCATTTACATAGGATGTACCCCAAGTAGAGGGCATTTAAATTCACAAAAACTCTGTAACATGCCTTTTGAGCCCCTATGCTCAGGCCCTCTCCCACATTGTGGAGTGTACTTTCATTTTCAATAAATCCCTTCATTCCTTCCTCTTATTGGCATCTTCTTAGGAGCCTGAAGATGAGGTTTTAATTGCTTTCATTGTTTAAGATTTAGCAGGACATAGTGTCTTTTGTAGACCCAGGGGTCAAAGCCCTGTAACTCAATGTCACAAGGACTTTAAAAACACACAGGAAGATACATGGATATAATAACCTCAATTAACATTTTTTTCTCTCAGTTTGTTTTTTCCTAAGCAAACCAAAACTTAATAATGATATGACAACTTGATAATATAAAAGTTTTTTTTAAAAACAAATCCTCTTAGTGTGACTTACGCTGACCATTTATGACATGCTTGGACTTTGTGGTTTGTCCTGAACATCCCTTCTTCTTAAACAGTCATTTTATTTTAGGACTAAATTTACCATACAAGATTCTTTCTCATATAAAATTATTTCTCTTTAAGCTTTCTAACTACAACAAGTCTCTTTATTTTTATAACTTTGTTTACATCTTTTTTATTTCCTAGTTCCTTTTACCTTGTTTTATACATGACCTTTAAATAAGGTTTGAATTAGACAAAAATTGTTCACCTTTTTTGAGAGGACACACTTTTTTTTAAAAGAATGTTTTCCTATGATTATAGTTTTATTGGAAAATATCTAAATAATGAAATGAAATATCTATTATTTAATTTAACTTTAGATTCTAAATTATGATGAATTTATCTACAAGTATTTATCCTATTCCTTTTACCTAATTATTTTGTTTTAATTGTTTACTAGATTATTTATGAAAACTGCTATAGTCATCATTTAAAGTTATGAAACTGCCATTGCAAAATTTTAACTGAGACAGTAAAAAAGATTTGACCTAACTGACTCCATCTTGCTTTTAATTTCCAAGCTGTCCTTGTTCATTCCTGGGCGTAGGCCAAACTAACTTTGGGATGGATTTAGTTTATAGTTTAGCTTTGAAACAAAGATGATAACAGTCCTTTCCCAAAACAAACCTCCTTACCGCCTGTGGACTATACTGCCTAAAGCCACAGGATTAGAAGTTATGGTAATCTTACTAAATTCAAGATGCAGCTATTTTCATTAAACCAATATCAATGTCTTATTTATTAAAAATTACACAAGCAAAGATCATCCTTTTTTGGGCTGGGTTTATAGTTTTGTAACCCCTATACCAAATTTTGACACCTTATAGTATTTGGCAGGGATAAGTATGGAATTGCTTGATTAATAAATGCAAACAGAAATTTATGCTGGAAATTCTTAAGATATTTCTAATATTACTTTATCAATAATTTTAAAGCTAGATTAGTTATTAAATATTTTACTTAAGTTACATAAACTTGAAAAAGCATTTGACTAGTCTTTTCTTTTTTAGTACCTGATTTAAACACTTTTATTTTTTTAAGCCAATTAATTAGAGCTCTTTTATATATTTTTAGTGGTGAAACATTGTGTACACAACACATAAATACATAGACATATTAGGCATGCTGATAGAAGTACATCTTATAGATTCATAAAAACTTTTTTTTCCTTAGACTTTCAGATTGTTGATAACCTGTTTCACAAGACTGAGCAGTTGCCAGCTAATTTGCATATCAAAGGAAACAACTCAGGTGAAAATCAAATAGCGAAATTTACATTATAAGGTGCAGAGAGAAGAAGTTTGGTGTGTTAGAGGGAGATTAAAACAGACTTAATTGCTAATTAAAGATAACATTGTAGAAATGATAAAGGCCTTTGAAATACACACACACATGCACACGCACACACACACAGAAGATTCTATAGCTTTTACTTTAGAACTTTTAGCCATGAGATAAATACAAATTCACTGGCTTGCAAAAAGAACTTGTTGGATCTAAACAGTGGTTTTTATCTTAATAGAAAAATAGCAGCAGGTTTAGAGCAAGCAGAAAGTAAAAAATAGATTAAAAAAGGACTTAGGAACTCTATAGTTTGCAGATCGACCTTAGGGCTCTTTTTCCTTAACATAAATGTACACAAAGGCCATATTATTTCCATATTATATAAGCTCTGGCAAGTAGAGGCACCATAAAACCTATGGAGTGCTCGAAAGGGAGTCATTCTCCTTGTTTTCTCTTCATTCTTAGATCATTTGTTTCCTACCTTTTTTTTTTATCTTAAAAGGAGGAACTGAGCTGTGGCCTAGGGTTTTTGTGGACGGATCCATGTGTGCTGCTGGTGGGCAGGACTCCACAGTGTGTCACCACTGAGTGGTTTCCACCCTCTTAAGTGTCTTGTTTCTCTCTCCAGAGGTCTATGACCTCAGTCAGAGAGGACTCAAAACACTGGGTGATCAGCTCTTATATGTGTTTCCTGGACAAGCCATTTTAAAAATTAATTTTTGTTGGGGATTTTCCTGCAGGGCAGCTGCACATTGTAGGGGGTCAATCCTCCAGGCACTCCCAGAGGCCTTCAGTCACCTAGGGCACTTTTCGGCTGAGGGGAGCAAATGCCCTTTCTCTTAAGAGCTGAGAAAACTCAGTCACTCATTAACGTATGAAAACAACAGTTCAGTTCCTCATGCAAATATGCACAGACAAACCAAATTAAGATTAATTTGGGAGAAAAAGCAATAGAGAAGACTCTTTAGAATGCATCTCCGAACTAGAATTAGGATCCTAAAACAACAACTTCCTACAAGAGAAAAATAAAAAAACCAGCCAAGATCACTTCCTGTAAACTGTACTCAGCTACCCGTTACTTTGTAGCTCTCGTGTGACATTATACATGCCAAGGTCAAATCCTCTCACAGTGCAAAGTCATTTCTGGAACCCCAAAGCCAAAAAAGTCAGGTCATGCAATACAGGAAAACAGCTTTAGACCTAAAAGAAATATGCCCTTGACTCTTGAAACTCCCCAAAGAGAACAGAACACCCCAAAAGCAGGTGAGTGGTGCCTTTGTTCTGAATTCTTTAAAAGGGGTTCAAGTCATTAGACTCCTTCTCTAAATTTTTTGGTACTGCAGATGGCAAAAGGGGAAAGGAGATATAGGGTGGAAGGAAAATAAATGAAAGATTTTTTTTTTTTTTAAGGCAGGAAGCAAACACAGAGCCCAAACACATGGCTTTTTTTTTCTTTTGCAGCTGTGAGGAATTTTAGCAAAATTAGAGAGGCCCTGTTTCCCATAATTTGGAATTCTCACTTGGATTTGACCAACTCAGGTAGAGTTGGTCAAATCTGATGGGAGAAAGACCAGAACAAACAACACCCCCAACAATATGATCACTGAGTGCTCTAATGGCAAGGAGAAATTAAGTCCAGCTGGTTGTTAATCTCAACTTAACCAAGACAAACTCCAATTCAGTTACTAAGACCCAGGGATGGATCTTAGGCTGAAGACTTCTGTCTACCATCCTAGAAGCAGGAAAAAAAAGCTCGTCTTCCCTGTCAGAAGTGAGCTCAAATCAAACTCCATAAAGGAGTTACCTGCCTTCCACCATCATGGAAGCAGAAAAACTTGCCTTCCTTGTGTTGGAAGCAAGTAAAACTCCAAAAAAAGAGGAGTTGTACAGCAAAATAAACTTTAGATCTTGACCAAATTTTGAGAGATCAGGGATTCCCTGAAGGGGGTGCTCTCAGACCTCAGCAAATTGTCCTATTGGTTTCAGCCATAACGTTAGCTCATGCTCGTACCAAGCACCACAGGAAATTTGTCAAAGGTCAGGAGCATCTCCACTCAGAATGCCCCCGTGGTTACCAAATGTGAACCCCCAAAATTTGAGACAGGTCTCAGTTAACTTAGGTTTATTTTGCCAAGGTTGAGGACGAGTGCCCATAACACAGCTTTAGGAAGTCCTGAGGACATGTGCCCAAGGTGGTCGGGGCACAGCTTGATTTTATACACTTTAGGGAAACATGAGACATCAATGAATACATATAAGAAGTACATTGGTTCTGTCCAGAAAGGGGAGGACACCTTGAAGCAAGGAGGGGGCTTCCAAGTCACAGGTAGGTGAGAGACAAATGGTTGCATTCTTTTGAGTTTCTGATAAGCCTTTTCAAGGGAGGAGATCAGACTATGCATCTGTCTCAGTGAGCAGAAGGATGACTTTAAATAGAATGGCAGGCAAGTTTGCCCTGAGCAGTTCCCAGCTTGACTTTTCCCTTTAGCTTAGTAATTTTGGGGCCCCAAGATTTTCCTTTTACACCTACCTGTGCCCACACTCACAAAACACCAAAAACAAATGTTTGCAAGGATGCTTTTCATAGAGCTGGACGGTTTTAAGGTTATAGAAAATGATTGCCAAATACATTTCTGTCCTAGTTTCCTTATGCCAAGCCTGTGTTTTATTGCTGGGTGTACTTTCTTCACACACAGTCCACCTTTATCAGGAGTAGGAGTTATCCAGGTTTTCACAAGGGCTTAGCTTTCTGCACTGGGTGCCAGTGCACACCTTTGTTTATGGAGCTGAAGCAGAACTAGACAGGAGGGAATCAGAGATGTTTGGACAAGAGGAGGGTTTCATTGTGGCTGTTTTTTAAAAGGTTGAATGCTTCCTGAGGGATGGGAGGCTTCAAAGGCTTGGTGTTCTGGTAAAAGCAGTGGGGGAAACTCCCTTTCTATGGCCTGCAGAGGAAATGCCAATGCACTCAGTTGCTCCTGTCATCTCTCTCCCTCCCTCTGCCCCTCACCATTGCAGGGACCCCCACACTGGGTCCAAGGTCCCTGATGCACTCATTTTATTGTATATTTTGGGGTCTGATCACCACTGATTTCTCCTCTCCAGCTAGGAAAATCCTAGATGGTGTCTTCTTCCAATAGAAGGCTGTTTCATCTACATTGAAAATCTGTTGTTCGATTTAGCCACCTTTGTCAGAGGCATGTGAACCAGAGAAACTCCATCTTAAGCAGGAGCTGGGAAAAATGAGGCTGAAACCTACTGGGCCTTATTCCCAGATGGTTAGGGCATTCTAAGTCACAGGATGAGATAGGAGGTCAGCACAAAAAACAGGTCATAAAGAGCTTGTTGATAAAACAGGTTGCAGAAAAGAAGCTGAGCAAAGCCAAAATGGCCACAAGAGTGACCTCTGGTCATCCTCAGTGCTACACTCCCACCAGTGCCATGACAGTTTACAAATGCCATGGCAACGACAGGAAATTACCCTATATGGTCTAAAAAGTGGGGGGAATGAATAATCCACCCCTTGTTTAGCATATCATCAAGAAATAACCATAAAAATGGGCAACCAGCAACTCTCGGGGCTGCTCTGTCTATGGAGTAGCCATTCTTTTATTGCTTTAGTTTCTTAATAAACTTGCTTTCACTTTGCACTGCAGACTCGCCCTGAATTATTTCTTGCATGAGATCTAAGAACCCTTTCTTGGGGTCTGGATTGGGACCCCTTTCCTATAACATATTTCTTTGTTCTGTAACACCTTCTTCAATGATCTCAGCTGGATCTTCTAGATAACTGGCAGCTTCTTCATCAGCACTTGCTGCTTCACTGTGTATTTTTATGTTATGGAGACAGCTTCTCTCCTTAAACCTCATGAATCAAACTTTGCTATATTCCAACTTTTCTTCTGCAGTTTTCTCACTTGTCTCAGCCTTCATAGAACTGAAGAGAGTTAGGGCCTTGCTCTGGATTAGGCTTTGGCTTAGGGAATGTTTTGCATCCTGATCTTCTATCCAGATCCCTCAAACTTTCTCCTTATCAGCAATAAAGCTGTTTTGCTATCTTATCATTCATGTTCACTGGAGTAGCACTTTCAATTTCCTTCAAGAACTTTTACTTTGCATCTACCACTTGACTACCACTTGGCCCAAGAGGCCTAGCTTTTGGCCTGTCTTGGCTTTTGATATGACTTTCTCACTAAGTTTAATCATTTCTAGCTTTTGGTAAAAGGTGAGAGATGTGCAACTCTTTCTTTCACTTTAACACTGAGAGTCCATGGTAGGGTTATGAATTGGCCTCATGTCAATATTGTTGTGTCTCAGGGAATAGGGAGGCCTGAGGAGAGGGAGAGAGATGGGTGAATGACTGGTTGGTGACACAGTCAGGACACACACATTTATTAAGTTTGCCATCTTACATATGCTCAGTTTGTGGTGCCCCAAAACAATTACAATAGTAACGTCAAAGATTGCGGATCACAGATCACCATAACAAGAATGTTAAATATTGAGAGAATTACCAGAATGAGACACAGAGACGCAAAGTGAATACTTGCATTGGGAAAATGGCGCTGACAGACTTGCTTGCCACAGAATCTTGAATTTGTAAAAAACACAATATCTGTGAAGTGCAATAAAAGCAAAGTGCGAAAAAATGAGGTATGCCTGTATGGCTCAGCAATAAAAAGAAATAAACTGTGGCTACGTGCAACAACTTGGATGGACTTCAAGAATATTATGCTGAGAGAAAAAAACATTCTCAAAAGGTTATGCATACTTATATTTATGTAACACTCTACAAATGATAATAATATAGGAATGGAGTGCTTGGCAGGTTAGGAGTTGGGGAGGCTGTGACTATAAAGGGAGAGGAGGAGGCAGTTTCTTTGTGGTGATGGAGCCCTTCTGTATCCTGATTGTGGTGGTGATTGCATACATCTGCACATGTGATAACATTTCATAATTCTATACACAGAAAGCTGTGTCAAAACTGATGGAACCCAAGTAAGAGTTCAGTAAATAGTGTACCATTGTGATTTTTTGTTTTTTTTGAGGCAGGGTCTCACTCTGTTGCCCAGGCTGGAGTATAGTGGCATGAACATGGCTTACTGCAGCCTCAATCTCCCAGGTTCAAATGATCCTCCCACCTCAGCCTCCTGAGTGGCTGGGACTACAGGCACACACCACCATGCCTGACTAATTTTTTATTTTTTTTGTAGAGACAGGTTCTCACTATGTTGCCCAGGCTGGTCTCAAACTCCTGGATGCAAGTGATCCTCCTGCCTTGGCCTCCCGAAGTGCTGGGATTACAGGCCTGAGCCACCATGCCTGGCCCACCATTGTGAATTTTTTGATAATGTACTGTGGTTATGTTAAATTTCATTATTAGAAAAAGCTGTGTGAAGGGTAGATGAGAACTCTTTGTACTGTTTTTATAATTTCTTGTATTAAAACTTTTTTTCAAAATAAACAGCAAAAAAACAAACAAATAAAACTCCAAAACAAAACAAAACAAAACACACCTCCCGCCCGCCCAGTCTTCTCACTCTGCAGCTTGAGCTCTGTCTCCTTTGCGTGATGCTGCTTGTGTCATGCTGCATTGTTTGCCATCATAAAACCAGAACTAAAAAGGAGAAGAAACCAACATTTTGGCAAAAACAGTGTTTCTCAAAGGGTGTCTGTTAAACACTGATTCAGTAGGATTTGTTAGGGAGGAATAAATATTCTGTGTCCAAGCACACTCAGGAAATCCTGGGTTAAACAGTTTTCTTTACTGAAAGACTTAGGATATGAATGTATGCTACGGATCTCTAAGGGGAGGCTAAAGAATACGGCAACTCCTTAGGTTTTTGTCCATAGACTCTTTTGTTTTCTCTTCTGAGTATCCCAAGAGACTAGAGATCCATGTGCTTGGGAAACGCTGAGCTAACGCATTCATCGGAGAAGAGAAAAGCAAGGAGCTGTGGATCAGTTTCACTCTGGAGTTGGGTGTTGAGCTTCAGGCCCTGGCTCTGCCTAGCCTTTTGCAACGTACTTAGTGTAATAACTTACAGGAGACAACTGGAAAGAAAGAGGTCAATCTTCATGGTGCAAAAGGTTTGATTTTCATTTTTTAAATTCTCCACTTTGAGCAGTGACTTTGGAGAGAGTTCTTCTTCCTCCTCTGCTCTATCTTTAGGGTTGGAGGCCCCGTTCCTCATCTGACAGTGGGCCTGGATGGATGGAGAATAATTGACAATCCACACTGGGAGGTAAGCAGGAGATGATGGGCGTTTGGGGACACAGGTGGAGGGTCGTGAAGAAGCAGGTCCAGGAGGAACATTCTCTGATGACTACAGGGTTGGCCAGCCATGCAGTGAACTCTAAGTTTCTAAGACATTCGCTCATGAGGAGTGAAACCTGGGGTTGGAGGAGATGATCTGAGTAGACTGAAGAAGTCACCCCAAATATTATCATTATGTGGGCTTTTTATGGTTATAACATTTCTAGTGCATTAGTTACCTGTTTTTGCATAACAAATTACCTCCAAACTTAGTGGTTTAAAACAGCAATACATTTTGTTATCTCACAGTTTCTCTTGGTCAGGAATTTGGGAGGGATTTAACTGAGTGGTTCTGGGTTCTGGTCTCTCATGAAGCTGCAGTCTTCTGGAGATTTGTTTGGGGCTGGAGGATCTGATTCCAAGATGTTGCACCCACGTGGATTGCACATTCATGTTGGCTGTTAGCAAAAAATCCCTCAGTTCCTCACCATGTGGACCTCAGATAAATCTGCTTGAGTGTTCTCACAACATGGCAGCTGGCTTCTTCCAGAGCAAGTGATCCAAGACAGAAAGAGCAAAGTGGAAGCTGCCATGTCTTTTGTGATGTAGTCTTAGAAGTCACACTTCATCATTTCTGCAATATCCTAACGGTTATACATAGATTAGCCCTATTCATCCCTATTGAATGTGGGGTGGGGGCTATATATATAATGGCATAAATTTCAGAATGAAAGAATCATTGGGAGCCATCTTGAAAGTCTACTACTACAAGTAACCTATAAGAGAAAGAAATTATTGAATGAACATCTTTAAGTGGGGTGATATGCATTCTTAAATGGTTAAAAGCATGACAATTTTTTAAAGACTATACTACCATTTTTTTTCCAAAAGCAGGAGCAAAATGCTAGGGTCTCAATTTGCCCTTTCTTTCAACAAATATTTGTTGAGCACCTATGTTGTGCCACCAGTTTGCTTAGGATCTTTGCACTGGGAGCCCTGCTAGAGAAACATATTGCAGGTGCACAGTCAGAAACCAGATAGACAAGACCAGGAAGAAGTACTGCCTTGATTCATAACCAGACCTGAATATTTGTCATTCATCCTAGTAATAAGTAGGAGCCTCAAGTAATTGCACTGGCCTGAACAGCACTTCCAGCCTTTGTTTGTTGGTTGGATAATGACTTCATTTCATGTGCTCTAGTAAACCGATTGACTGTCCTCTCCCACCTCTCTCTCTGATCATAATTCTTTCTGTGCCCATTTCATTCAGAGACGTGTGCCCTCCAAACCACACTCCCCACATTTATCAAAGCTAAATAGCTTCCTGATGCCTTCCCCCATATTTCTAAAAGCAAGCTCCTCTTACCTTACACAGAGAGACTAAGTTGAACAGGAAACTTAATTAATACACAATTTATCTTTTCCTTCAGGTTATTTATTTCTCAGTCAAAACTCTTGGTTGCCTGCAAGAAACGGATGCTGGCCCTGTTAAGCATAAGGGAATTTATTGGAAGGACACGAGAGTTCTCAGCATTGATAGGTAGCTTGAAAACCAAGCTTAGGAAAGAGATGAGAACCAAGGGCTTTTTCTGGTGCCAGGCACCAGTGTGCCACTGCGGCCACTGTGATAAGGCACCTTCAATTGATCCTCTTGTCCTTGCTTCACACCTACAATATTCAAAGTTTTGGGAAATAACATCCAATTGGCTTGGCCAAGGCTCTGGGTTTCATAGGTGGGAAGTAGCAAGACCTGACTCATTTTGTTGTCAACAACAACAAGAAAAGGAGGGAAGGAAGGAAGGAAGGAAGAGAAAGAGAAAGAGAAAGAAAAAGGGCAAATGTTTTTACACATTTACTAAATGGCTCTTGTTGATTTGTTTCCAAGCCATTCAAACTGAACCTTTCCGTTACCCAAGGAAGAGTCAATTACTTCATACTCCTCAGGATCCACCCAAAGCTTGTATTTTCCATAAACAAGCTCCCCAAATTGGCAAACACTCACAAGAAGTGCTTTAATTGGATATTCTGTTAATTTACCAATAATCATCTTTGAATGCCATTTATTACAGAAAATTAGATGAATTTAGCACGAACAGAAAAATATTGATTGCCACCCTCTGAATTTTTAATATGAGTGTTTGATTTATAAATTAATCCTTCATTTTGTTAATTAGAGCAAAGAGGCAGTCTCCAAACCCGGGCTATGGTGCTGAGCATTATTGTAACTTTCATCAGCAATTTTAGTTAAGAATGATTTATTAAAATGAATTTCTTGTCTGGTTCAGGTTTTGTGTCTTGCTGTAGCAAGCAGCCTCATGCTTGCCAGGTTTGTGGTTATGTTTTTATAACTCTTTCTTCAGTCCTTCATTCTCAACCTACCTGCCCATTTTGGTTGGCTTTATTCCAAGCATTTTTCCAGAGGGTTAACCTGGTTGACCTCTACTTTGCCCCAGGATCCTGTAACATCTTTCAGAAGAGTGTTGGGTTTTAAATGACTCAAAGGGCCTCCGATTGTCCAAATGTCTATCCCCAAAACCTAGACCCCGCTTGGTAAGTAGCAGAAGTGCAGGTAATTACTGGATTGACATGCACTCACCTGCACACCTTTTAAACTTCACAGGAACTAGACCCAGTCCACAGCCCAAGCACGTTAATTGGATTGGGCTGCACTACGCCTCTTGCCAGTGATCATTTTAGGCATTACCATGTGTCACCATTCTGGGCAGTAAGAAATCAGGAGAAGCTGCTAAGGTAGGGGGCAAGAGGAGACACTTCTGTAAAAAATTTAACTTGCTGAGAAAAAGAAACTGAAGGAAGAAATAGTCCATTTATCTACCCCATACACACATTGTTTTTTTTTATAAAAATGGTTGTCAATGATTGAAAGAGTGAGAAAGTGAACAGACCCTGTCTTAGTTTGTTTGGGTTTCTATAGCAAAGTACCATAACTGGGGAGCTTATGAGCAACAGAAAATTATTTCTCACAGTTCTGGAGGCTGGAAAAGTCCAAGATCAAGAGGCCAGCAGATTCAGTGTCTGGTGAGAGACCATATTCTGGTTCATAGATGGCACCTTCTTGCTGTGTCCTCACACGGCGGAAGAGATAAGAGGTCTTTCTTGGGCCTCTTTTGTAAGGGCTCTAATCCCATTCTTGAGGGCTCTGCCCTAATGACCTAATTATTTCCCAAAGCCCCCCCATCCCATTCCCCCAGCCTTGGGGTTTAGAATTTCAACCTATGAATTTTGGAAAAACACAAACATTCAGACCATAGCAAATGCTTTCAGTTTTTCAAGGATCTTCCACCATAAGTATCCTGCTTCATTTTTAAAATCACCCTGAGAAATGGAGAAAATATAGTCTGGTTGATTCACACTCAGGTCCTGGAGTTAAACAGAATCCTGTCTTTGCCATTAGCTAGCTGCGGTGATGTGAAACAAGTTAATTTACCTCTCTGATCCTCTGTTTCTTTATCAATAAAATAAGAACAATAAGATTCCCTATTTCATGGAGCTTACTTTGTGGTTGCCCTGTGAAGAGGGCAGGATCAACGACCCCCAACCCCGAATTGGTTCAAATATTGAAATTGATGATGTCACAAGTGCACCAAAAGTGGAGGAAAATATTTTTTACTCAGTTCATGAGTCTTTTTGGGAGGGTTTGGGAGGCACCCAAGTTGGTCTGAAAATGGCTCAAAGTGGCAGTGCCTTTGGTTTTTATTGTGGTTAGAAGATGGGGCTGGGATTTGAGTTCCTACAATCACACACAGCTTGACTTTTGCACAGCTTGACTTTTCCCACTGGTGCCAAGGGAGGGAGTATTTGGGCTTTCTTATCAGCTTGCCCAGACTTGGGGCAAAGGGAACGGGAATGGTGGAAGCTTGAAAACTGTCAGCAGTCAAACATAAAAAATGACATCTATGATAGAGTTGTTATGAGAAAATATCTGCCTAAAGCACTGAGCTCAGTGCAGTGTTACAGTAAGTGGTTAATAAACAAATTATTAATGTCATGATTGATTTAATCATTTTCAGAAGCTTTTGCATCTATGACCTCATTTCCTCTGCATATTAACCCAAGAAATTGAGAGATCTGATCAGAAGTAGATCTGGTAAAATTAAAGCACTCAATGAGTGGTTGCTTCTGGCATCACTATCACCATTCCCATCATCACCATCATCATCAACTTTGTCATTATCACCATCACAATCATCACCACCACCACCACCATCATCACCAGCTTCATCATCAGCATCATCATAAGAATCAGATCATCACCACGATTACTTTTGCCACAATCATCATGAGCATCACCAACACCATGATTGCTATCACTACCACCAGTGTCCCATTGTTGTTACCATCATGATCATCATTATCACCATTGCCTTCATCACAATCTCCACCACCAGCATCATCACTAATATAAGATTTCTTTTAGATTATCCACCTTTTTGTGTAAAAAGTAAAGTAGAGGTTTCTCTTTTCTTCCCTGTCTAATTAGGTATAAATAGTAACTTCTCTTAGAAGCAAAATTTATTCAAAGACCTGTGCTAACATTCTTAGATATCTGCTAGCCATAATAAAGAAATCAATGTGCTTTGTGTTCTTAGCTCCCACAATTTAGCCTAAATATTTGCCCTGGCATGCTTATGCTGGTCCAAACAAGCATTAGGTCATAGCCTGTTCCTCTTCCTTATTTGGAGGGTTTTCACCTTTCCCAGCATTCCATAAGTTACTTCCTCCTTCCTTTGTTCTCCTCTGCCTTTGCCTCTTTAGAAAGTTCTAAGCTGCTAGCCAATCAGGACAAATACAGAATGTGAGGTTCCATTCCAGCCAATGGAAACCGGACACAGCAGTAGGGTGGACGTGTCAGGTTATAAATATCCATTTATATTTATATATATATGCTGGCCCACCAGCATCCATTCCTGCAGCAATTAGCTAAGACTGGAGGGTGGGCCATGTTCCCTTCAGGCCACCTTGCCCATTCATCATGGACTGAAAGAAAACTTCCTTTGAAAAGGGGTTGGGGGAGTTTCCCTGGAGGTGTTCAGGCAAGAAGGAAATGACCGTTAGAGGAAAAGATGGGCCTCTCTACTGTTGTTAATGGCTAAATAAATACACTGAAGTTGGCTCACAGCTGCAGTAACCACACCACCTGAGGAACCTGTTGGCCACAATGGAGGCTCTGTCATATGTGTAATGCCTAGACACCCACATAGATAAGTCCCAAAAACGTGTTGCAATGAAAAAGAACACAGCCAACACCATCAAAAGTGCTTTCACAAATAACTCAGCTCCTTTATTTGTATGATTTTGAGTACTTTGATGATGACACTCTTCACTGATATTCTTGAAATCCTGTTTTATAAACCTGTGCCATTCACTCTCTCATGACCCAGTTCTCTACATCTACCTCTCTCCACACACACAAAACCAAAGCCTCCTTCAGCCTCCTCCCTGACTGCCTCCTGTTATCTTGCCTCCCTTTTCTTCTTCATTCTCTCATCATGAAAGCCAGAGAACCCATCTGGCTGGGCCAGGCACTTCTCAGAGGGTGGAGTCAGGAAATGGGTTGCGATGGTTAATTTTATGTGTTAAGTTGGATGGGTCACAGTGCCCAGATAATTGTTCAAACATTATTCTGGATGTTTCTGTGATGGTGTCTTTTTGGATTAGATTTACATTTAAATCGGTGGATCTTAAGTAAAGCAGATTACGCTCCCTAATGTGGATGGGCCTCTGGGCCTCATTTAGTCATTTGAAGGCTGTATGGAACAAAGACTGATTTCCCCTGCCCAAAAAGGATTCTGCCAGCAGACTGCCTTGGGTCTCACTGCAACTCTTCCCTGGACCTCCAGTCTGTGGTCTATCCTGGAGATTTTAGGCTTACCAGGCCTCCATAATAATGTAAGCCAGTTTCTGAAATTAAATCTCTCCCTCTATACACACATCCTGCTGCTTCTGCTTTTCTGGAGAGCCCTGACTAATTCATGGCCCAAGCCTGAATTCTCTTTTCTGGGCAGGGGACGAGGAAAGTCTGGTAATACATCTACAGTTAATTTTAATGACATCACAGGTAGAAAGATTCTGGAAACTGACTTTTTTTTTTTTTCCCCTCTGCAGGTGCAGATCATATTTTCTGCTTAGAGCAGATTCCTTCCTGGGCAGACATTGAGCACACAGCCAGCTGCAGTGGGCACCAGAGACATTGCGTCCTTTCTACTCTTCATGTCCTGATCCCAGTGATAATCTTTGAGGCCCCAGTCGGTGGTTCTTTTTTTTTTTTTTTTTTTGAGATGGAGTTTTGCTCTTTTGCCCAGGCTGGAGTGCAGTGGTGCGATCTCAGCTCACTGCAACCTCCACCCACCAGGTTTAAGTGATTCTCCTGCCTCAGCCTCCCGAGTACCTGGGATTATAGGCATCTGCCAGCATGTGCAGCTAATTTTTGTATTTTTGGTAGAGACAGGGTTTTGCCATGTTGGCCAGGCTGGTCTCAAACTCCTGGCCTCAGGTGATCCACCTGCCTCGGCCTCCCAAAGTGCTAGGATTACAGGCATGAGCCACCATGCCTGGCCCAGTAAGTGGTTTTTAATGAGGGTGATTTTGCCCCCTTTGGGTACATTTGGAATGTCTGGAGACATTTTTGATGATCATGCCTGGGAGGTGGATAGTGTTACCGGCATCTAGTGAGCAGAGGCCAGGGATGCTGCTATATATCCTAGTATAGGTACAAGCCCACTGCCACTCCCTAATGAAGAATTATCTAGCTCAAAATGTCAAAGGCACTTGAACCAGAGTGACTCCATCTTGAATAGGGACTCAGTAAAATGAGGCTGAGACCTGCTGGGCTGTATCCTCAGGAGGTTATGCATTTGTAGTCACAGGATGATAGGAGGTCACAAGATACAGGTCACAAAGATTCCACTGATAAAACAGGATGCAATAAAGAAGTCTGCCAAAATTTGCTAAAACCAAGATGGCAGCAAAAGTGATCTCTAGTCATTCTCACTGCTCATTATATGCTAATTATAATGCATTAACATGCTAAAAGACACTCCTACCAGCACCATGACAGTTTACAAATGCCACAGCAACATCCAGAAGTTACCCTATATGGCCTAAAAGGAAGAGGAACCCTTCATTCTGGGAAATCCCTGCCCCTTTCCTGGAAAACTCATGAATAATCCACTACTTATTTAGCATATAATCAAGAAATAACCATAAAATTAGCCAACCAGAAGCCCTCAGGGCTTTTCTGTCGATGGAGTAGTCATTCTTTTATTCTTTTGCTTTCTTAATAAACTTTCTTTCACTCTAGTCTGTGGACTTGCCCCAAATTCTTTCTTGTGTGAGATCCAAAACCCCTTTCTTGGGGTCTGGATCAGGTCCCCTTTCTGGTAACAAAAATGTCAATAGTGCTAAGGTTGAGAAACCCTAATTAAGGTAATTAAATAATAGATAAAAAAGACATTCCTTTCAATCCTACCTTCCAAAAAATGCACACACACTCTCTCTTTCCTTCTCTTTCTCTTTCTAAGATCACTTTGTAAGCTGAGAGAATTATGACAGAGACTGGAGCGACAGCATTTTATTTCACTGTATCTCTGTCCTTTAACACCTCAGTGCTCCCAGCCCCAGGCCTCTTGTGTCCCAGCATAAAATCTGTGAGATTTAAACATATACTATGAGATGCCTTATAAAACATACAGAATATGATCTGACAAGGTCCTTTGACAATGCCCTCTTTCGCACAAAATCTTCAGGCAGTAATTCAATTTCGAGGCTTTTCTCCTATTGAAATACGGTGTGTGACACTACCCAGGCCCTGGACTGCAGCACAATCTTCAGCACTGGGCATTTTTTTTCCTGGGTAATGGATTTTATTTCACCAAAAATAAGCATTAAAAGGCTTCCAAGGGGACACCATTGTGCTTACTGATTTTTTTTTTTCTTTGGAAAATGTGAGATGTTGCTGCATAATGACAATAATCATTAACTTTAGGTTTATTCTGGGGTTAATGAATTATTATAGTGCAGTGAAAAATTATTCTCCAATAAATGTTGAATTCCATTTTTTCTGAAACTTCTCTCTCTTTTTTTTATATGTTTGGTATTTTTGTCTTTTCCATTAAAGATGTGCAGATTTCAGATGAATAGAATTTGTCTGTGTTTTCTTTACCTGCTTCTGACTCTTAAAAAAATCCCATGTTAATTATTAAGCTGCATTGGGGAAAATAAATGATATTCAGTAGCTCTCCTATTCCTTAATAAGAGATTCTTGGTGAACTTAGTGGAAACGTATTTTTTAAAGCTAATAAGCTTTAAAAATTGGCCATTTCCACAAAATTTTCAAGTTCAACCTGATGGATTATAAGGCTTCTATCACCAATGTCAATCCTTCTTATATGGATTATTTATGACAATGGCAGGAAATAGATCTGTTGAGCTGATGGAACTGTTTCAGAAGGGCATTCAACACTAGCCAGATCCCTCTATTACACTGAAGCAGTCTCTGGGTGTGGGTCAAAGTTGTCAAAATGAGTTTGAGGACATGCACAGCTTTACTCATGGCTTCCCCCTCACCCACTTCCTGCCCCTGCTCTCCTGTCTGAGTTGTTATCATTGAATGCTTCTGCTGAAGAGTCAGGGGCCCGAAAATCAACTCCCAGGATAATACAACCAACACTCGTTCAACTATTGTTTACTTAGCACCTACTATGGGTCACATCCAGTGTGTAGAAATAGGGACACAGGAGTACAATATGAACCCTGGCCCCAAGGAGGTCACCACCTGTGTTCTCAGAATCTGTACAGCTCTAACCTTTAGCCCTAGGGTGCTGAGACAACACAAAGGACTGCATTGCCAGATCAGACTTGCAAGAATCAGATTTCATCTAGTATCAAACTGTACTGGCAATTTTAAGCGTATTAGTAATTGTGAGGCACAGGCCAAAGCACAGAGAGGGCCCAGTGAAGATCCCCAGATTCTCTCTTGCCACATTAGAATGCCCTCTCCTCCATTAACAAGTGAAATCTAAGCAATGGCAGTGGGAGAAACACACAAAAGAGGGCTCTTTTTGAGAAGTGAAGCTGGCTGGGCTTCTGGGTCAGGTGCGGACTTGGAGAACTTTTCTAACTAGCTAAAGGATTGTAAATGCATGAATCAGCACTCTGTGTCTAGCTAAAGGTTTGTAAACGCACCAATCAGAGCTCTGTGTCTAGCTAATTGGGTGGGGACTTGGAGAACTTTTCTGTCTAGCTAAAGGATTGTAAATGCACCAATCAGTGCTCTGTGTCTAGCTAAAGGTTTGTAAATGCACCAATCAGAACTCTGTAAAAATGGACCAGTCAGCCTCTGTAAAACGGACCAATCAGCACTCTGTAAAATGGACCAATCAGCAGGATGTGGGTGGGGCCAAATAAGGGAATAAAAGCAGGCCACCCCAGCCAGCAGAAGCAACCTGCTTGGGTCCCCTTCCATGCTGTGAAGCTTTGTTCTTTTGCTTTTTGCAATAAATCTTGTTGCTGCTCACTCGTTGGGTCTGCACTACCTTTATGAGCTGTAACACTCACAGTGAAGGTCTGCAGCTTCATTCCTGAAGCCAGTGAGACCATAAACCCACTGGGTGGAATGAACAACTCCTGACATGCCACCTTTAAGAGCTGTAACACTCACTGCGAAGGTCTGCAGCTTCACTCCTGAAATCAGCAAGACCACGCACCCACCAGAAGGAAGAAACTCTGGACACATCTGAACATCTGAAGGAACAAACTCCTGGTACACCATCTTTAAGAACTGTAACACTCACCCTGAGGGTCCGCAGCTTCATTCTTGAAGTCAGCAAGACCAAGAACCCACTGGAAGGAACCAATTCCGGACACATTTTGATCATGAGGCATCTCCATTTGATATTTCAAAAATTACAAAGGTTATATGACATTTTCCAGGAAGACATGCCCCAAAAATCCATGGATCCCACATTTGTTTGCCATGAGTAACTCAGACACTCAGGTATACCTTGCCAAAATCATTCCATGGGTAAGAACTCTCCCCTAGTAAATACCGTCAGTGTGTTTTCCAGAAGGTCTGTCATTATTAGCATGTTTAGAAGAAAATCTGATCAAGTACTTCCCTTTCTTTCCCAAAGCATTCCTTGTAGAGGGAAAGAATGGATTGCAGGCCTACTGCTGGCTCTGTCCTCCCCAGGTGCCATGATTGACTAGCAATGTCTGCCATAGCTGGTTGTGGAGGGGGTTGGAGGGTAGGAGAGCAAGTGTGTGCCTCCAAGCAACCCTGACCAGGCTTTGAGAGAGCAGTGAGTTGCTGAAGGTAACTCGCTTTGAGGCCTTGAGAGAGCAGTGAGTTGCTAAAGGTGATACCAGGGTGTGGTTAGAGAAAAGACTCAAACTCAGGACCCTAAACTCTAGGACTTTTCATTGATATTCTTACATATCATAATGATAACTAGAACAGACTCTGCAGTGAAAAAACCAGATATCCTTGACTTCTCACTAGCTATGATGTTGCCAAGTTCTTAGCCTTTAGATATTCAGAAGGGGAAAGGATATTATCAGTCCCTGTTTTTCCAGGACCTACTCTGAGCCAGATGCTAGACTAAGTGCTTCATACCTAGTATCTGATTTAATACTCCCTGCAACTCTATGGAGTGGGTCCTGTTGTTATTCTCATTTTACAGATGAGGAAACTGAGGCTGAGAGAGGTTAAGTGACTTACCCAAGGTCACATATCTTACGTGTGCAGAGGGGATAGTAAAGGCCACACTGTTTACCAGGGTGTCTCAGTCATGCATTTGGCTAGATTAGAGGGGCTGCCTTTCCAAAAGTGGCTTCATCAAGGGTACCAGCCATCATCTCTACCCCATCTCCTTTCTTACAGTAAACAGCATGCATTTTTGAGTGGTTACTGTTCATTTCCTGTCCTGTGGATGGTGAAGCGCTGTCGTAAGCATGGAGCAAGGTTTTTCAAACAAATTGAAGGGAAAAAATTTGAGGCGAAAGGAAGGTGTTGTGAATGGATTTTACCATCAAGACACTGTGTTGAAGCAACATTCATGCCGCTCTGCTAGCAAAGATTCCTGTTTGCAGGATGGCAGTGGAAATGCATGGTGCCATTATTTAGTGAGATCACGTGGTGAGGAAAGCAGCATGGCAAAAATGAAACAAGCCCTGGCCTCCAACCCTGTCAGGACACCTGTGACCCTGGCTAGTGCTTTTACATGTCCCCTTTCTCCTCCCTAGGCCTCTGTTCCTCTACCTGTTGGAAAAGAGGGCCTTTGAGCAAGCCAGCTCACTCCTGTTAGCTGCCACCTGCTCTGCAGCTCAGCATTTCCTCTATTGGTCCTCTGATACTATCTACAGCATTTTGGGAAAGGAGACAGATGTCTTCTAAATATTATGAGAAGTGCTCTTTATCTTTTTGGAGTCTTGAACCCATTTGGGAATCTAATGAAAACTACAGATCCTTTTCCCAGCAAAATCCACACATCCCCAAGCATTTGGCTCATATCTTTAAGAGATTCCTAGAACCTTCTCTCAATGCCCATGGATCTCAAGTTAAGAACCTCTGGTGTTGAGTGACAGTATACTTGAAGTTTGGAGATAGAAGCACGACAAATTGGGAAGGCAATGCATGGATAAAATATGAACAGTTTCCTGACCACAAGAATGTTCATTGTTTTGAGTTCCCAAGTTTTAGGGTAATTTGTTATATAGCAATAGGTAACTAATACACTCATAATCTAACAACTTCCATTTGCAAAATACCATGTTAAAGCCCAGGAAGCATCACTGCACACCTCCTGAGAATAATACTCAGTAGATTCAGTGCTCTTAAGAAGCATGAAAGCATCTGCTACCCTTACTCGAGGCTAGGGGTAGCAGATGACCTTAAGTCTTACAGGAATCCCATGCCACCCAGCCATAGCCAACGCTAGGCCTCCCACGGGTGTCCGAAATCTGGCTTTTCCTTCTCAGGTTCTGGCTTTGTTCTATGGCCAAACAAAATAGGAAAAGAAAGTTGACTGACTTTCATCGCTAGGAATGATGAAATGGTCATCAATTCATCTCCCTGGGGCAGATGTTCTATTGCCACTGAGAAGGGGTGACCTGTGCTCACCCTGTGGATGTGACATATTATTTCTGTCGGCTCCCTGGTGGGCCTGTGGGAGTCATGCCACAGGAGCTTGAGAGGCTGCGGTCTGGACAAATGGCTCTGGGCAAGCTGGCAGCTGTGACGAAGGGCAGGTCGTGCAAATGTTGGGCATGCCAAGCTGGATAACCATCAGAGTGCAAATCATCCCAGCAGGAAGACATAACATCAGCCACCATAAAGCATGTGGCCTGGAAACTGCCAGGGAGGCTTGAATGAGAGAGGCGTGCCTGAGGATGATAGCACAGGTAGGGGAAAGCCTCCGTTAATTTCCAGACGTTTCGAGTCCTAGGGGACCACACACTCACAAGGAGGAAGCCATTTTCTACCTTATTGGTTGGATACTGTCCTGTGAATGGCAGAAAGGCCTAGCCCAAGGGAAGATTGTGAAGGAGGAAAGACACCACGGACCACCTTCCTCTAGTATCTTCCAGGGGTATCTGAAATTTCAACAGAGGACTCTTAGAGTTAGGAAAAAGGTCAAGGTCAAAGAGAAATGAGCTACAAAGGTTGTTCTCTGCGTTGTTCTCTGTTCATCAGTGTCTCTGCCCTTGGTTCCAGAAATTACCCTTCCCTGAGTGTTTTCAGTGTTTCAGGTGGGAAAAATGGGAGGATCAGTTAGAAATTCTGTTGTGCAGCATTAAAGAAAACCTGATCACAGTGCTCAGTGCAATGCAACAAAGGCTCTGAACCACTATTTTTGTGCCGTGACCTCGTTTGGCAGTCTGCAAAGCCCGGGGACTCCTTCTCAGAGAACGTTTATATATGCATAAAATAAAGTACACCTGATGAAGAAGGAAACCAATCACAGTAAAACCATTTTCACAATATTTTTAAGACCAAACTTGAGATATAGTAGTATATGTGCTTTTTAATTAATGCGTTAGTAACCAGGTCAAGAAGTGTGTCTAATAACCTACCACTGGCACTTCAAAATAGTGACAACTAACTGTAGGTGATAAATAGAGATATTGGCAACAACTGTAATGTTAGGAAAACATCTGTGATTTCTATTAACAAAGTGTATTAGATTAGTCAGGGCTCGCCACAGGAACAAAATCTATCTATCTATCTATCTATCTATCTATCTATCTATCTATCTATCTATCATCTATCTATCTATCTTTATTAAGATGCAATCATGGGAGCCAAGAAATCCCACGATCTGCTATCTGCAAGCTGAAGAACCAGGGGAACTGGTGGTGTGATTTGGTCTGAGACTGAGGGCCTGAGAAAGTGGGGGGCCACTGCGGTCCAAAGGCCCAAGAACCTGGACTTGTGATGACCGTGAGATTTGGAGAACATGGGGATATTCCAGTTCCAGAAAAGAGAGCAATTTGGCCCTTCCTCTGCCATTTTTTTCTATCCGGGACCTCAATGGATTGGATGCTGCCTGCCACACTGGTGAGAGTGGAATTTTTTTACTAACACCGTCACAGACACACCCAGAAATAATGTGTTACCAGCTACCTGGGTATCTCTTAACCAAGTCAAGTTGACCTATAACATTAACCATTGCAAGTTCACCCCTTGTCAAGTTGGCACCCATATGCATCTGCTTAAGCCATACGTAATCTCCAAATAACCAGGTCATAATTCTTCCTGACATGATACAACTATCCTGTGTACAACCGAAAACACACTAATTCCTTCTTGGAAGAGTGATGTTTACTCTTCTAATGCTATCCCATAACTTAAATATATGATGTACAACTAATAATGCTTAAATGCTGGTAACAAAGTCAATACATCTTATTTTACATGATAGGGGAATAAGAGAAGAAAGAAAAATGAGATATATGTTTAATATACATATATGTACACACAAAAATATTAATAAAAAAGGAGGATACACTCATGACAATTACAGTCTTTGTTTCTGTAACCAGTCATGTGGTCATAGCTGGTCACGTGGTTGTACCTTCTTCTACTACCTGTTCTGTATGCCCTTTGCCCTCAGCAAACGCCTCATCTGGTCATGGTTCTTTACCTGGGGTGGGGTGACCCAATCCTTCATTCCTGAAGTGTATGGGCCATTTGTAGTCCTGTCTGGATTGGGTTCTTGTAGTTTTCCATTGACCTTAATCCCAGGGTATGGTAATACTGAGATACTCTAAGGGTTCTCTTGTATTCCAGACATACTCTTCCTTACCCTCATGTGAAGTGGTAGCCCAAGTTCCCCTAGGTAGTCTGGATTAGCCACTCCAGCCAACACTATAACTCCCTTCTCCGCCTGTTGACTCAGAGGCAAGAGAAGCCCTAAGTGGCTGGGTGTTAGTCTTAACTTTCAGTTCAATGGAATCATTGTTGTGTCTCCTACTGGAAGCATTCCTCCTCTGGAACTAAGACCTTTAAACCAGCAGGGCACAAAGTCAAGGGAATAGGAAGCAAAAATTTTGCTAGTGGGCAACTAGAGGTAGTGGTGAGTGGTGTTACTTCCATTTCCATTCCTTGATTCCTGGACCTATGAATTCTGACTATGGAAGAAACAGCACCATATATTGGATGCTGATTCAGAGCATATATGGCCTTCTGGAGAACGCTGCCCCAGCTCTGTGAGGTGTTACCACCTAGCTCGTGTTGTAACTGAGTCTTTGAAAGGTCATGCCACTATTCTGTCAAGTCAGCTGCTTCAAGATGGTAAGAAATAAGGTAAGACCAGTGAACTCCACGAGCACGGGTCCATTGCTGCACTTCTTTGGCTGTGAAGTGAGTTTCTGGGTCAGAAGCAATGCCATGGAATACCACGATGGTGGATACGGCATTCCATGAATCCACGGATTGTAGTTTTGGCTGAAACATTGTGTGTAGGGAAGGCAAATTCATACCCAGAGTAAGTATGTATTCCAGTTAGGACAAAACACTGCAACTTCCATGGTGGAAGTGGTCTAATGTAATCAACCTGCCTCCAGGTAGCTGGCTGATCTGCCGGGGGAATGCTGAGCCATGTCAGGGGATCAGTGTTGGTCTCTGATTATGGCAGACTGGGCACTCAGCAGTGGCCATAGCCAGGTTGGCCTTGGTGAGCAAAAGTCCATGCTGCTGAGCCCATGCATAACCTCCATCCCTGTTACCATGGCCACTTTGTTCATGAGCCCATTGGGTGATGACGGGGGTGGCTGGGGGAAGAGGCTGAGTGGTATCCACAGAATGGTTCATCCTAGTCACTTGGGCATCAAAATCCTCCTCTGCTAAAGTCACCCTTTGATGAGAATTCATGTGGGACACAAATATCTTCATGTCCTGTGCCTATTCAGAGAGAAACATCCACATACCCCTTCCCCTACATTTACTTGTCATCAAACATGTTCTTTGGAAGTCCCTGACCATTCAGCCAAACCATTGACTACAGCCCAGGAAACTGGTATATAATGGCATGTCTGGCCATTTCTCCTTCTAAGAAAAGTGCACAACCAGGTGTACTGCCAGAAGTATTGCCCACTGGGAGGATTTCCCTTCACCGCTGTGCTTTAGAGGGATGTCCCAGAGAGGAACTGTCGTGCTACAGTTGTCCACTTTCAGGTGGCACCAGCCTTTATATTGTGCAGCACCATCTATAAACTAGGCCTGAGTTGTCAACTAATTAGGGGGATCTCTCCATGACACCATAGGTGCAGGCTGGGAGAGAGAAGGCAGTGTAGCGGGAGTGGGGACCACGGACATTTGGGCCACTTCTTCATGTAACTTATTTGTGCCTTTAGGTTCTGCTTAAACTGGATCATGAATACACCACTTTCATTTGGTGATGGAGTGCTGCTGTGCATGCCCAACTTCATGGCTTGGTAGGTCAGTGATATGGTTTGGCTGTGTCCCTACCCAAATCTTGTCTTCAATTGTGGTTCCCATAATCCCCATGTGTCATGGGAGAGACCTGGGGTGGGAAGTGATTGGGTCATGGGTGAGGTTTCCCCCATGCTGTCCTCATGATAGTGAGTGAGTTCTCATGAGATCTGACGGTTTTATAAGCATCTGGCATTTCCCCTCCTGGCACTTCTCCCTTGTGCTGCCTTGTGAAGAAAGTGCCTGCTTCCTCTTTGCCTTCCACCATGATTGTAAGTTTCCTGAGGTCTCCCCAGCAATGCAGAACTGTGAGTCAATTTATTCAATAAATTACCCAGTCTTGGGCAGTTCTTTACAGCAGCATGAGAATGGACTAATGCAGTCAGATAATTTTTTTTTTTTTTTTTTTTTTTTTTTTTTTTTTTGAGACGGAGTCTCGCTCTGTCGCCCAGGCGGGACTGCGGACTGCAGTGGCGCAATCTCGGCTCACTGCAAGCTCCGCTTCCCGGGTTCACGCCATTCTCCTGCCTCAGCCTCCCGAGTAGCTGGGACTACAGGCGCCCGCCACCACGCCCGGCTAATTTTTTTTGTATTTTTAGTAGAGACGGGGTTTCACCTTGTTAGCCAGGATGGTCTCGATCTCCTGACCTCATGATCCACCCGCCTCGGCCTCCCAAAGTGCTGGGATTACAGGCATGAGCCACCGCGCCCGGCCTGCAGTCAGATAATTTTTAACACCCAGGTCATGACAGGCAGCTCAGATCGCATGGTAACATGGTGGCCTGTTCAAGTATTCAGTTTCTATTAAGGCCCAGTAGCAGGCCAAAAGTGGTCTCTCACATGGAGAGCATCTGTAAATTATGGCAGGCCTTGCTCCAAAACCCTAAAGGCCTGCACTGCGATTCTCCTATGGGGGTCTGCTAAAGGTTCCAAGCAGCATCCCTATCTGCCACTGACATTTCAGGTACCATTGGGTCTGCTGGATCCTATGGCTCAGGTGGCAGAGAAGCTTGCACAGCAACTCCCTACTGGGGATCCTCCTCCTGTTCTGGGCCTCACTCAAAGCTAGCAGCTTTTCAGGTCACTCAGGAAAAGGGCCAGAGTAACATACCCAAACGAGGCATATGTCTCCTCCAAAATCCAAATAGGCCCACTAGGCATTGTGCCTCTTTCTTGGTTGTAGGAGTGGCCAGATGAAACAACTTACCTTTTGCTTTAGACCTTCTAAAGTACCCTACACCACTGGACCCCTAGAAATTTAACTAAGATGAAAGGCCCCTGAATTTTAGTCAGCTATTCCCCCATCCTCTGACATGCAAATGCCTTATCAATCAGTCAAGAGTAGTTGCTACTTGTGGCTCACTAGATACAATCAGTGTAATGTCATCAATGTAATGAAGCAGTGTGACATCTTGTGGAAGGAAAAGGTGATCAAGATGCCTGCAAACTAAATTATAACAGGGCTGGAGGGTTGATATATTCCTGAGGGTAGGACGATGAAGGTGTATTGCTGGCTTGCCAATTGAGAGCAAACCATCACACAAAACCAAAAGCATTGCTGATACTACCCTGGTCTGCCGTCCACACTCACAAAGCAGGGGAATGCTGAATCTCAGGGCTTTGTGAAAATGAAAATGTAATCTCTTTCCGCTCAAGTTCATGAAACTCTGAATTGTGTCCAAGGATGCTTTGGGATCTGTAGACAAAAGATGCTTATTCTTCTCATGTGAAATGTGTTCTGGAAACTGTAGTTCAGGATGAGTATAGATGCTCAAGGAAGAAGTGAGGACCCACACTTCCAGGTTCTTGTCCTGATATCTTTAGAGTGTGAGTTTTGCCTTCACAGTTGCAAAATGGCTGTAGCACTTCCAGACATTTCTTCTGCATTTCAGGTAGGAGAAGAGAGAAGAAAAAAAAAAAAGAAAAAAGGTACATGCCTTTTATTCTGGGTCTGTCCATTGTTATCAGGAAAACAATGCTTTTTCTGGAAGTCTCATCCTGAATACTTTGGCTGGCAACTTATTAGCTAGAACTGGTGACTTGATCATCTCCAGCTGGATGAGACTCTGGGGAGGGCGTATTCTAACTGGGTATACTGCAGCCCAAACCAGAGTTGCATTAGGAAGATGAAGGGAAGGAGAAAATTGGGTAAACTAACCAATGATGCCAGTCATGACTGATGTAGGGCTTCTTAATAAGTTCTCTTCTCAAAAGCTTATGATTTTTACCATTCCCATTTGGATAAGCTATGGAGAAATTCAAGTTTGGCTTCATTCATTCAGTTTATCCATTCATACTTTGATCCACTACTTATTGGAGGCCAATTTTGTGCCTGGCCTGGTTAGGTATGGGGTCACATCATGTTGAACAAAACAGCCAGGTTCCTTGGGTCCTACAGTTTAAGGGAAGCAGGGATAAAAATGTGGTAGGATTATAAAAATCACTCACACTGCACCCAGATGGCAAGGAAAATGCCACTTCTTTTATTTCCTCTAACTGATGGATCTCAGGCTCTTCTGGTTTCAATGGTCTCATTTCAGTTTAAGTATCCAGTTTATTCAAAATTCATTTGCTTCTGACAAGATTGCTAATTGGCTCCCAGCTAATTCCTTCTCACCCCAGAGCATGTGGAAATGCAGGATTCCTCCATGTGACCCTGCAACAGTGGGAGGCTTAGAAAAGCTAAGACTCCAGGCCTCCCCTTCCCCTGGGCCTTCCAGTCTGTATCCTCTGTCCACTCTGGGGCACCTGGTATATCAGAATTAGGGCAGATCCACCTGAGAGCCAATTCCACCCAGAGCCATGAATATGAGGTTGACAAGCCCCTTGTCCTGCGGGCACTGCCAATCTGCCTAAGGCACCTCTTCATTCTGGAGCTTTGGCCCAAAGAGGGAAGCCTCACCTCAGCCTCTCCATCTGTTTCCTTTGTTTCTCCTCAATTGCCTGAACCTGAAGAGGTGGGTACCCCATTTCTTTCTGCCATATCCCCAGTTCTCCCTAACCTGGCATTGTGGAAATATCCTGGTCCAATTGGCCTGCTCTTGGTATGCTAAGGAAAATCTTGTTAGTTATATACTGATCTCTTCTCCCTGCAAGCCAGAAGGCTAATTAATCTGGGGAGGGAGGGCTAGAACATGAAGTTCTGATTGGTTTTAGCATTCTTAGTAAGATGATAGTAAGGAAAGCCACAATTTTTGAAAAAATGCTGCTTTTGGCCAGGTGTGGTGGCTCATGCTTGTAATGCCAGCACTTTGGGAGGCCAAGGAAGGAGGATCACTTGGGCCTAGGAGTTTGAGACCAGAGTGGGCAACGTAGGGGAAACCTCGTCTCTACAAAAAAATAAAAAATTAGCCAGGTATGGTGGCACACGCCTGTAGTCTCAGCTACTTGGGAGGCTGAGTAGGAGGATTGCTTAAGCTGGGGAGGTAGAGACTGCAATGAGCCATGATTGTGCCACTGTACTCCAGCCTGGATGACAGAGTGAGACCCTGTCTCAACAAAAGAAAAATGCTGTTTTGGTGACTGTTTCCCTGATGCAAGCTTACTTTGCCATGGGCCCCTTTATACTGAGTGAGTAGCGTTCTAGTTAATCGAGGTCTTACTACATACACTGTCAACTTCGTGTGGGCAAGGGTGGAATGTAATTTGCACACCAGCTTCAGTGACTACCTGTCATGTAGTAGATGCTTTGTAATAGCATGTATGTGAATGAATGAATAAAATGCATAGACTTGTGTTAGCAAACGGTTTACTTTGCAGGCATGGAAGATCCTGTGTTCTACCCAGATTTTTCAGCTACAATTTTTTTAAGTGTCCTTTTGGGAAATAGCACTATTTGATAAGACAGAGTCTCACCTGGTTGGGGCTGGGCTTGATGAACTTGTTTTTACCCACCTCTTGAAATGTCATTATAATTCTGGTTTGTCCGCCTGTGTCTCCCAAGAAAAGGGGAAACAGTGGTTTGGCTTCTCTCTTCCCAAAGAGCCAGCTCAGGCTTCCCTGTGTTACTACTTTTGGGTAAGAGGCTGAAAGCACAGAGGTGAGGTTAAGACCATGGGCTTAGGAGTCAGACAGAACTGACTGGAGTCCACATTCCAGTAGACAGACCACTTGGCACTCTGCCCATGCAAACCACTCTGGCTTTCCCCTGTCCTCGGACAAGCCAAACACAGTCCATCTCCAGGCCTTCGTACTGGCTGTTATCTCTTCCTGGAAACCTCTTCCCTGAGCTGCCAATCTGGTTAAATGTCTCCTTGGAGGGGCTTTTTCTGACCATGCCATCTCAGGTAGAGGCCACCTTCCCTGTCTTGCCATCTCAGGTCAAGGCCACCCTCCCTGTGAGTTCCTCTCTAAACTGCTCCCTGCTTCAAGCTCTTCAAGCAAATTTCATCTTGTGCTGTTGTCCACGTGTTTATTGGATTCCCCACTAGAATGTAAGTACTGTGAGGACAGGGCCTTTGGCTGTCTTGTTCACTGCTCAGAGCAAGGCCTGGCAGAAAGCAGACACACAAAGCCTGATTGTTGAAATGAATGTAGAAATGAATAAAGTTGTTTAAGTTCTCTGAGCCTCAGTTTCCTCATCTCTCAAGTGGCTATAAACATACCATAGAGAGTTGTCAAGATTGAGATATGTATGGAAGTGATGGCCTTGATACAGGTTCTTGATATAACATGGTGACTCTGAGGACCTTCTTGACCATCTAATACTCCCTGGGCTCTAAGGGTCAGTAGATACCTCCAGAGGCTTATTAACTGCTCTGACTTTTAGTCTGCTGGGTGGAACAGGCGGAAGAAATATCCTTGCCAACAATTAAATTGTTTAAAGGATAGTGCTGCCAGTCGCACATTATTGTTATTTCAAAGCTGGTGCTTTGAGGAATTTGGAAACAATCTTCTTGGAGGCATTCCCATGGCTAGGCATTACAGCTCGGACTATAATCTCACTATAAATGTGCCTTTCCTCTTTAAGCAGAGGGTTATTAAGTTTAACAGTGTCAAAGTACTCTCCATATTACATACAACTTAATTAGTGTACAAGGCAATATTAAACAGCCCATTCACACTGAGAAATATTTATACTTCTCTTTCCTTGGCTTATATTGATTTATCCCATGACACACAGAAATGTAAATTACAAAGGAGTAATTATTTGTTCCTATAACAAAGGAAGAGATTGAGACTTGTGTGTCCACATGCTTGCTTGGGATGCGGCACTTGGGGAGGGTGGCGGGAGAGGAGAAGCACTTGGTGGAAATCTCATTTCCTCAAGAAAACCTCCTCAGACTCCAAGGCTAGGTTAGGTTCCTCATTTTTCTCTCCCAGAGCTTTTCTTTCAACACATACCTCCAGAGGGTTTATCTGTTTATCCTCTGTCTCCCCATCCACATGTGAATTCCAAGATGCTGGGAGTGGGATTGTCCCAGTCACTACTGTATTCCCACATCTAACACAGCGTCCGGTGGATAGGAGGTACTCAATCACTATATAAATATGTTCCAACACGTTTATTAAACACCTTATCTGGGCCAGGGATTGTGTACTTCTGGGTGCATGTGTTGGGGCAGGGGTTATCAATGGTCACCAAAATCAGAGTTAATGACCTCATGGAGTTTATAGTCAGAATGAAGAGATAGACATTTTTTAAAAATTACAACCATGATAGGGTACCTAGTGCTATGAATATTTATTCCAGGAGTCTGACCTAATGAAGAAGGTCAGGGAAGTTTTCCACAAAGAAGCGATATTTAAGCTGAGATCTGAAGGATACGGGGGCATTAATACATGCAACAGGGAAGGAAGGGAGCAAGTCGTAGCACCCAAGACCCCAGGGTAGGAGAGCCCAGGGGAAAGTAAAAGAACCCTAAAGAGCAGTGTGGCTGGGGAGAGAAGAGCCATGTGGTCCAGACAAATCTGGAGGGAGGGGGAGGACTGTATCCCACAGGACTTGGATGGCCACGATGCACAGCATCTAATTTGTGGATTGAATGGGAAGGGATTTTCCCAGAGATTTCTGCCCTGGGATCTCTATTCTTTTCTCAACACATTCCTTTCAGAGAACCAGGGCAGGAATCCAAAGTGGAGACCACCAGGCTCTGGTCATGTTGGGGTTGATTTTATTTTCCTAAGATTGTGGCAACACGAACTCCCATCCCACAGGCCCTTCTGTGATGTGACCTGGCCACAGCTCCCTTGAGCCTGGGCTGGCCTGAACTGTAACCAAGAGGATGTGGTGGAAGAGAAGCTGTGTGACTTCTGGGACTAGTTCAGAAAAGGTCATGAGCTTTGTTTTCTTTTTACCTAGCTCACTTGGAACATTTGCTTTCTGGATGCTCCTCTTGGGAGCCAGCTGCCATTCTGGGAGAGAGTCAAGCCATGTGGAGAGGCCACATGTAGACCCTCTGGTCAATGGTCCCAGCTAAAGCCCAGCCTCCGGGTCATCCCAGCCCAGGCACCAGGCATGTGAGAAGCCTCCCAGTGATTCCAGCCACCAAGTGTTCAGTCACCCCCACCCCTTTGAGCCTTTCCAGCTGAGGTCCCAGATATCATGAAGCTGAGTTAAGCTGTCCACGGAACCCATGCGTGTACTACTATGGTAGTGGTCTTATATCACTCAAGTTTGGGGTGGTTTGTTGTGCAGTGAGAGGTAACTGGGACGCATGTTAAAGGAGCCATGATAGGCAATTTTGCCCAGAGCAGCAGGGTGGCAACTGAGTCGGTTACAATCATCTGAACTATCATCAGATTGGAACTCAGAGGTTCTGTTTAAAGGACTCTAATTCTCTCTCGTGATGGAGTAGAAACCTGAGAGATGCCACCTTCAACTCAAAAGCCCAGCTCTCCCCTTCGACGCAGGGTCAAGGCAAGACAGGGAATAAACAGGTCACTCCCACAGTTCTCGTTTGCCTTTTCCCAGATGTGAAAGTTACACACTGACTGTGATTTTCTGCCCGAGTCCTTATTTAATTGTTATTTTGGGATCAGTTGCTTTTGAAAGATCCCCCAGCTGATACAGACTGCTGGTATCCTGCCAAGAGAGATAAACAGTCTCATCTTGCACTGCATTTGGATTCAGTGTCAGCAGAATATAGCAGCTGCCTCCCAGCAGAACTGTCTGTGGTGGAAATACCTGGGTGGTCTGATTCAAATTCACCTTTCAAATCTTTACCTTGTCAATTTTGGTAACATGCAGCTGCCACATTCATGAGCACATGATCAGGTTTCTCAAACAGTCGAAATCCCTGACAACCATGCTGGTGAGCAACCTATCCTGATCACCCGAAATACTAGTGATTATTCTTTTCAACTAAAATATGTAAACAAAACCTGATGCTAAGCAAATGTTCACTTTTGTGCTCTTTAAAAAATGTTATGAATTAAATTGAAATTACTCAGCACAATAATAAATACTTACCAAGTGTTATTTTGCACTTCAGGTGGTAAAACTGTAACTGTGAATAAATTGCTTATAGTAAGATTTTTTCCCCTTGAATGCTGTAGCAGCAGATGGGCTAATAAATATGCAACACTTTGTAACATTTGCAATTTCAGAGGGGTAGAGGTTCCTCCACCTTTCACATAAACAAAACGTATAGTCATCCAATATTATACTTTTTAATGGAAAAGCTTAAGTCATGTAATGTAAATACCACTTCACTTTCAACAATTTTACTAGTTGCGCAACAGTAAGATGAAAGAACACATAAGATGGTATTTATATTCTCTCTTTACAAGAACATTTTCTTCCTTTCTTGGGAACTTTTCTGAGTTTGAAAACAAGAAGGATTCTTGTACCTTCATTGGAAACGAAGGTGGGGAGCATCAATAAGCAGCAATTTATTATATGATTCTCTTTGCTTCTGGATGAATGTGAGTGGTGGTTAGGAGCAGATTGTGGTGACAGGCAGGTCTCTGCTCCTCATTAGCTTGATGACCTTTGGCAGATCCCATTCTCTTTCTGGTACCAAGTTTTTGCCTTTGTCAGGTGGGGTGTAAGTAGTAACCTTCCCCTTAGGGCTAGTAAGAGGATTAAATAATGCAAGTAATGCCTGGCATGTGGCATATTCAATGACCACTGTTTTCATTATATTTAAGGTGACTGAGTGAGTGGCATAGGGTTTAATAAAAAATGTTTTTTTATGGGAAAGGACAACCATGGTTAAATATATGCCCGTGAATTCTGACAGAAGAGGTAGGTGCCTTAGGCGCACATTTTTTGTTGTTCTAGCCTGTCTCACGTGGATAGAGGACAAACATTCATTCGCTGGTCTCTGTTCTTGGGGAAGTAACATAGATACAAATCCTTCATTCCAGGATGCTGAGGTTTAATCCCTTTGAAAGGAGGGTGCTCCATGCTGTGGAGGGGCCTGGGGAATTCTCAAGTTGGTTTGTGGGGGTCAAGCAGGTTCTTCCTTTTCCCTGCTGGGGCTGGCTGGAGGATGGGAGGCCTCTAACACCACAAAGGTGGTGAAGGCAAACTGGAAAATCACCATGGGGAAGAGACGTGCAAGGTGACTAAAATCTTGGGAGCAGCAGTGTTGGGAAAAGGGCTTGTGGGGTGCCTGTATAAACTGGCCATAAAAATATGGGACAATAAGTTGTGGAAAGCCACAAGAGGTCTCTGAGGAGGAAAGCCTCCTAATAGCCCTCATGTTCCCATGCTTAGAGCGAGACCCTCTCTCTTATCTGTAAACACTGTGTTCAAGGAGAAAGGCACTCCTTTGAAGCACTGGAATGTGGACAGACGTGTGGGCTCCTATTTAAGCCCGCTCCCACTAGCTACTCTCCGATAAGTTAAAGATATGCTGTTTGAGCACAAAGGAGATTCGTTTAAATCACTCTTGCTACAGATTACGCCTATGACGCACTGCCACCCTTTCACTGTTTCGCCCGGAACATCTGCTTCTTAGATCTAAGTGATTGTACTGAATATATAGCATGGAGACCAGAGCTCGGCGCCTTTTGCAGCCTCCATTTTGCAACTGGCCCCCTGGCTCCCACCTTTATGAACTCTTAACCTGTCTCTTCTCAATCCTTTGTCGCCACCGGACTTCGGGTACCCTACGGGTGGGTGGTGTTGAGGCTGGTCCCCAACACAGCAGCAGTTGGGATCTGGAAGTCAGCCCCAGGAAGCAGCCAACAAACAGATTAGTGGAGCATTGCCAGGGGAGTCCCAGAAAGAGCTGAGCAACACTTTGATGGAGGTAGGGGAGCAGAGGTTCTGCTATTATTACTTTGGAGGGGACCACCGAACCAGTAAACATTTGGGTTATGTTGATATTAATGACAATTATGGCAATAATAGCTTGGTATGTAGCAGTATTCTTCGAAGTCCCAATAATTGCCTTCAAGAATTATCACTTCAAGTTTGAAACAAAGTTATCTATATTTTTATCAGACACAAAGACAGACTTTTCTTTCTACCATGTCCTTTATGTGCAAGGAAGGCAGATCAGTGAAAGTTCCTTAGCTGTTTTGAGAGTCATTAACTTCCTCTCAGCTTCTGTGAGCTGTCATCAGTGGAGAGCTCTGGCCACAGCCCATACTATCCTGGTGTCCTTGGGAAGTAAAGAAGGTAAGGAGTGATCTGAAGTGGAGCTCTTTGGACTGTTTCTGGGTTGCCGGTTGTTGTGGCTATGGTTTGGTTTTTCCCAGCACCCTTTCCCCCTGCTTCTGCTGGCAATGGATCATGTCCCACCTCCTCGCTATCACAGTGACTAGTCACTGGGTCAGTAACAGTCTGACTGTAACCAACACGACGGGTGGTTCAATCACCTGACAGGTGTCAGTCGCATGACCACAATCAAGGAGGATTTAGCAAGGGGATTTTATTACTTGCAAGAAGTAAGGACACCCACGACAGTTCCCCAAAGCAGTGCCTCCACAAACAAAGGTGAAACAGGGCTTTTTTTGAGCTGGTTGGCTGAGTCATTGTGTGTGGAGGTGGAGTAAAGGCAACACACACAGGTGCAGTCACCCATCGTGCTTCTTCATACATTGCATGTGTAGAAAATGGCAAATAAACTCCTCTCTGGACTGGATTTTTAGTATGGTAATGAGGAGAGTTCACCAAAGTTCATCTCCAACTCAGGCATCTCTGGATCCATCTGGTTTTTATTTTTTTGGGGCTGAGCTTCTTTCTGGAGCTTTTTGGAACAAGAAGAACTCAAGGTGCAACAGTTACAAGTGAGTTCTTTTCCATCGCGTGCACCCTAAAGCCTGCGACCCTGAGTTAAAAGAGTAGCACATCCCCTTGGCCAAAACAAATGGATTGCTTTGTGATTCAAGCTAAGCTGGGAAAGAGAAGTCTTCTTTCATCTTGGGCCACTGTCTGGGAATGATGGAAGCTTAGCACTGCCTGTTAGAGGAGGCCTAGTTCATAAGACTAGGGGCTCAGGATTGGATCTGACCATTTCAATACCATTTTAGCCCCAGGATTCACTAGGTAAGGCATACGACATATTCAGAGAAAGAACTATATAGGGTAAATCATTGGAGTTTCTTCATAGATGGGATTTTTTGCTCCAATGGTGTATCAGTGATAAGTAGGTAATGCAGAAGCATACGACCCTCAAATCTAAGCTGAATACAATGAAAGTTTGTTTCTTGTCCACACAGCATGCTGTCATGGGCTGGCAGGGGCACTCTACTTATCATAGGCTCTCAAGGATCCAGTCTGGCAGAATGATAAAGTCTTTAAGCCAGAAGGAATAAAGTGTTCTGCAGGACCTCTCACTGGAAAGTAAGAAACACACTCAGCAGGAAAGCAACCCATCCCTTCCACTCACACCATCAGAATAGATGAAAGTGACCCATCTCTTCCACTCACACCATCAGAATAAATGAAAGTGACCCATCCCTTCCACTCACACCATCAGAAGAGATGAGAATGACCTATTACTTCCACTCACACCATCAGAAGAGATGAGAAGGACCCATCACTTGCACTCACACCATCAGAAGAGATGAGAAGGACCCATCACTTCCCTTCACACCATCAGAAGAGATGAGAACAACCCAATACTTCCACTGACACCATCAGAAGAGACAAGAATGACCCATCACTTCCACTCACGCCATCAGAAGAGATGAGAAGGACCCATCACTTCCACTCACACCATCAGAAGAGACAAGAATGACCCATTACTTCCACTCGCGCCATCAGAAGAGATGAGAGCGACCCATCCCTTCCACTCACGCCATCAGAAGAGATGAGAGCGACCCATCCCTTCCACTCACACCATCAGAACAGATGAGAATGACCCATCACTTCCACTCACACCATCAGAAAAGATGAGAAGGACCCATCACTTCCACTCACACCATTAGAAGAGATGACTTGGCTCCACCTCCCATAGGGGGCCAGGAAGTGCTATCCTACAGTGTTCTCATTCTGTTGCTCCTCAGTCCATTTGGTTCTTTCTTCTGCAAATTTTCCTTTACCTTTCCTTGCCCACATCTAAAGTGAGCATTGAAGAATATGTCCTCCTTGGGGGCAGAACAGCTTTCTCAGCCTGCCTCCTGCCTGGGGAAAGGGGGAGGGCCCAGGGTAGCTTTAAATTTTGAACAGTTGTAAATATTTCTAGTTCAGGCTCCTGATTTCTCTGGCTATACAACTCTCTCAAAAACTTAATTGGCTTCTTATCTATTTAATTCTGATCAGCTTCATGTGCCCACAGTTACACTCAGTTCTTTTCTTTTCTTTTTTTTTGAGACGGAGTTTCGCTGTGTTGCCCAGGCTGGAGTGCAGTGGCGCAATCTCGGCTCACTGGAAGCTCCGCCTCCTGGGTTCACGCCATTCTCCTGCCTCAGCCTCCCGAGTAGCTGCGACTACAGGCGCACGCCACCATGCCAAGCTAATTTTTGTATTTTTTCAGTAGAGACGGGGTTTCACCATGTTGGTCAGGCTGGTCTCAAACTCCGGACCTCAGGTGATCCACCCGCCTCGGCCTCCCAAAGTGCTGAGATTACAAGCGTGAGCCACCGCGCCCAGCCCACTCAGTTCTTTTCAAGACGTGCGTTGCTCTCTCTTGACTTCAATCTATTGGGCTTGATAGAAAAGTTGTGTTTTCATCTTTTTCCCAGGGCCACTTTGTTTTCCCCGTTCTGGGATGCAGGCTGATGGAGAAGCCAGCATCTTGAACATTACAGTTGCTATGTAGAGTGGAAAAAAATCAAGTGGCAAAGTATGCCAGTTCTTAAATCTGTCACCTGGAAGTGCATCACTTCTGCTCACATTTTATTGGCTAAAGAAGCAGGTCATGTAGTCAAACTTCATTTCAAGTGGGCCACAGGGTGCAGGTGGCAGAATGCAGTTAGAGTGCATAGAAAGCTGCAATCTTTGTGGACAGAATGAGCGACCATAGCATGGTATTGCATTTTGGTGAGCATGTGCTGCATAAACAGAAAGTAGAAAGTGAGATTAAACTGTAAAGACCACTGATTATTCTGGTAAGTGGGCTAAGTCTATAGTAACATGTTATTATAATTAAATAACGTAATAATGTAATGGGACTGCCTTGAAAGTTTTGCATAGGAAAATACCTTTGGCTGTCCCATTGGGGAGGAAATTGGAAGAAGATTCACGTCCTCATATTAGAGAAATAGCTGGCTAAATGAATAGATTCCTGAAAGTTGGTTGTTCCATGGGATTTATGCCAAAGACTAAAGAATTTTGATGTTTGTGTTATTCAGACCTTTACGTGATTTGTAAAAACTTCACATGGCTGCAAGAGAAGATATTCTTTCAGATATTATTTGGGTTAATGAGGAAATTGGACATGGCCTTAGGATGAAATGGAAGGCAGGCACAGATTGGGTCAGTTGATTATTCTGTGCTGAGCTAGCACAGAATTAAGTCAGTAACTTAAAAACATAAATGAATGAATGTCAGAGTTCCATTCATTTTAGGCTGATTGTGGAGGAAATCATATGCCAGAGCTTTGGTAAATGCATGAACTCTACACACCGTATTGGAGAGAACTGACATTTTAATAATATTGATTCTTCTCATCTATGAACATGGAACATCCTTTCAATTACTAGGTCTTTGTTGTAGCCTCTTTCCAAGACATCTCTCAACAGCCCTAGCCTCCTGAAATTTACACCCTGTGTAAATTTGGTGCAGTCTCTACCGCATTGACTCAGAGCTGGTCTGTGTGACCAATCAAGTATGGATGATGATGATGTGTGACTGCTGGGGCTAGGTCATAAAAGGCATTGCAGCTCCCTTTGTGGCTTCTTGGATCATTTCTCTGAAGGAAGCCAACCACAATGTTTCATAGTCACTCAGTCATATGGAGAGGCCCATATCCCAGCTCAAGTAAAACCTTCAGATGGCTGCAGTCTGGACCAAAAAATCTTGACTGCAACCTCATGAGAGACCCCAAGCCAGAACCACTCAGTTAGAGCACTCCTGAATTTCTGACCTGTTTATTCTTATTTTAAGCAACTAAGTTTTAGGGTAATGTGTTATGCAGCAATAGACAACTAATATAATATTTTAATTCGTATCAATAAATGTTTCATAATTTTGTGCACAGAAAACTTGTACTTTTAAAATTAATTAGATTTTTATTAGATTTATTTCTAGGTATTTGATGTTCTTTGATGCATCTATAAATTGTATACTTTAAATTTTATTAATATTTTGTGTCTTGTATACAGTAAAACAATTGATTTTTATATAATGACTTTTATCCAACAACATTAACGAATTCTTATAACTTTTATTAATTTATGTGTAGATAAAAGAGTTGTTTTAAGACACTAGATAAGTTTGTTAATTTTAGTAATTTATCTGTAGATTTTCTTGGGTTTTCTATGAATGCAATAATGTCATCTGCAAATAATGACAGTGTTGTGTCTTTCTAATTCATATGGCTTTTATTTTTAATTCTGGCTTTATTTGTATTTATTTGTATAAGCTTTTTAGTTGTTCCCAATGCAAGGCCTGGTCTATACCAAATTAGTCTGCTATTATTGAAAGTTGAGGCTGGGATCGGTGGCTCATGCCTGTAATTCCTAGCACTTTGGGAGGCCGAGGAGGGTGAATTGCCTGAGGTCAGGAGTTCGAGACCAGCGTGACCAACACGGAGAAACCCTGTCTCTACTAAAAATACAAAATTAGCAGGGCATGATGGTGCGCACCTGTAATCCCAGCTACTTGGGAGGCTGAGGCAGGAGAATCACTTGAACCCAGGAGGCAGAGGTTGTGGTGAACTGAGATCACGCCATTGCATTCCAGCCTGGGCAATGAGAGCGAAACCTGTCTCCAAAAAAAAAAAAAAAAAAAAAGAAAGTTGAAATCCTCTGCAAGGTTTTCAGCAGGTGACACAATATGCTGTCATTTTGTCATTTTAAGGCTCACTCTGAATGCTGTGTTGAGGATTAAACAGAATAAATAAGCTTTTGAGATCTGTTGCATAGCATGATGTCTATAGCTAATGTAATGTATATTTCAAAATTGCTCAGAGTAGATTTTAAATGTTTTCACCACAAAAATTGGTAAGTACTGTATGGGAGATGATGAATATGTTAATTAACTTGATTAATCATTCCATCATGTATGCATATATCAAAACATCACATTGTACTTCGTAAATATGTAGAATTATTATCTGTCAATTAAAAGTTAAACAAGAAAATAGATTGCAGGCAGTGGTAGAAGCAGGCAGATGAGTTAGTAGGCTGTTCAATGAGACAATAAGAAATGATGGTGGTAGTGGTCCCAGGTGATAAAGGCCGGGGGGTGGAGGAGAAAAGGCATCGCATTCTGAATATACTGAGAGTAAAACCAGTAGGATCTCCTGACCATTTGAAAGTGGGACATGAGATAAGAGGAGGAATCAAAGCGTCTTTCCAAGTTTCCTATCTCAGCAATCAGATGCATTTGCCATCCGTTGAGGTAGGGGTGACTATGGCTGGAGAAAGACTATGAATGAAGCTGGTTTGGTGAATTTTGAATGTTTACATTTGAAAAATTATTTTAGCCTCCCCAAATGACAAACACATGTAACTGGGCTATTCATAAAATAACTACAGAATTTTTTTTTTTAAAGTAATTCATCATACACGGTAAGCAGTGTGGTTCAGTGATAACACAAATTGAAAGGTGAATGACAACCATTTTCTCTGCTAGGGGATGTTGGGTATCCCTGCGAGTGTGTGTCTAACTCTGCTTGGAGAAAACACGGATGCCTCTGTGGTCAAGAGGTCCAGCTCAAATGGCTCTTTTGCCTCTGCCATGACAGGCCCTAAGTACAGAGCTTATTTGTTTATTAAATGCAACAACAACAGAAAAGCCTTGTCATATCCTGTTCCGTAGATGAAAAAGCTAGAGGCTTTTCAGGAGAAAAAAATTACACTAATCTTAGCAAAGATAATTTTCTGAAACTTTCCTTTCGTGGATGTGGCTGTATCCCTTATCAGTTGTAGTCTTCACTGTGTATGCAGTAGGGGAAAGTGAAGGATGGAAAGAGGGTTAGGCTGACTCCCAAGATTCCAGAAAACAGTTTGTTCTTTTTATTAGTTGTGAAGCTGAAAGCTGAATCCTACAACACCACAATTCTTGATATTTTCACTCCTCTGAACATGTGAGTTTAATTCAAGATAAGAAATGCTTCGAGTCCTGTTAAACTTACACACTGTCTGTTGTGTTATGAATTGTAGGGCACATTTCAGAACAAGTGGAGGGCTGATTATAAATGATCCTTTGGTGCCAGCAAAAAAGGTGGTAGCTCAGGATGCTAGGTTACTATAAAAACACCAGGGGAATGGGAAGAGTGAAAGGATGCCATGTGGAGAAGAAATAAATTTCTGAAATAATACCTGCATGCCACGTCTAATGTTTTCCTTTCATTAAATTCATAGGTAATAAGAAGAATGCTGCTAATATGCAAAAATATCAATAACCTTGAAATGTATTTAGGTATATGTGAAGGTAAATTCTCAAGGGCTTTTAAAAAATATAGATTCTTTTTAAGTATGCGGTACAGCAGATAAACAGAACAAAATATTTTTCAAGCTGCAACCACGGAGCTAACAACTAAGCAGGAAGAAAGGCGCCATGATTAATGCTCCATCTATTAATAAGCAATTTGGACTTTAGCCATCAATAGAACCATTGTTGGTCAATAGTGCCACCAACAGTTAAGTCATGAGGTTTGACATCAGCTAGGTCTGATAGATTCCTGCATCACCACTCAGGACAATTCCTGAGCCTGTTTGTGCCTCAGTTTCTTAATTTGTAAAGTAGATGAACACAGTTGCGAGGATTAAATGAGAAAATATGCACATACAGTTCAGTGCGATGCTTGGGAGTGCAGTGAGAGCTCAATAAATGGTTGTGCTGACAATAAAGATGATGAGGACAATCATCAAGAGAGTCATTTCAACTCAGTGGTAAGATTACAATTTCCAGGGCAGAATAAAGCATTCAGCAGAGTCACGGTCCAAGGCCTACCCTAATGACTCGTTAGGTCAATTAAAAAAAGAGGACAATTTCTCATTGATATAGAAACTGATGGTATTTGTCAAATTCAGCTCAGTAGAAATGCCACAGGAATAACACAAAATGCATTTTTAAAAACTACTGAGCTTTGCATAGAAACCTAAGTAGTACTTGTTATGATAAAGTTGTAGATATTGTTTATAGAATGTGATCAGGTGGCAGAGTGACAACCTGAACCTCGAGTGGTCCAGGATGAATCAAGAGATGCTTTCACTGACCTTTATCATTTCACGTGGATGAAATTATAACTTTCAGAAAGCATTATAATAAATTTATAGTGCACACTATTTTAGAGGCTGACATGTACAGTTCTTTTTCCAGCTCAGTATTGAAAATGGAAATAAAACCGAATGGTGCTAGAATTAGTAGGAGAATTAAGAGAGTAAGGAGAAAAACTGCTTCTCACTCTAATGGGTTTATAACACCCAACGTGGCACGAAAGCCGTGGCAAAAACAGTTACTCAAAGGAATTGTAAATTTCCCTCCTCTTCTCTATTTTCTTGCCAAAGGCAGAAAATACCTCAGAAAGAGATGGAAAACCATGGTTTTGAAGACACTGGTATGTCTTTGGTGAAATGTTCTATATCTATAACTTGTGATTAAGCTCAGGATAGACATTTGGAGAGAACCATTTGTAGGGGATGGCTGACCTTCCGAGTAGAAAATAAATGCAAAGCTGAAGAGGATTATTTCTATAATTTCTTAACATAATCTTATCCAATCATTAGAAAAACCTCATTAATTTTGTCTACGGGGAAGAGAGCCAGTCTGAAATTGTATAAAATCTTGATTATAGGGCAGGCGTGGTGGCTCACGCCTGTAATTCCAACACTTTGGGAGGCCGAGGCAGGTGGATTGCCTGAGGTCAGGTGTTTGAGACCAGCCTGGCTAACATGGTGAAACCCCGTGTCAACTAAAAATACAAAAAATAGCTGGGCGTGGTGGCGCATGCCTGTAGTCCCAGCTACTCGGGAGGCTGAGGCAGGAGAATCACTTGAACGCAGGAGGCAGAGGTTGCAGTGAGCCAAGATTGCGCCACTGCACTCCAGCCTGGGTGATAGGGCAAGACTGCACATGTACCCTAAAACTTAAAGTATAATAATAAAAAAAACAAAAAAAAACTTGATTACAGACTCTGTTTAAACAAATATACCTTATTTCAAACATTCGTCATATACTCTGAGGGAAAAAATGTATTAACAGATAAAGATGAGGTGATTTGGAATAATCCTACACCATACCATGAAGAATAAAAGTAAAAAAAACCCTTTAACATACATGAGCTGCTTGGCCCAGAACTGATCATTTCTGAAAACCTTGTTTTAAAAAGACACTGTTGATTTGGTCTTGGATTCTTATTATTTTACTCAGGAGTAGGATTCTGAACATTTATAGTGGAGTCAATTATTTTAATCATATGGGTCAGACCCGAAATATTACAAATACTAAATAAATACAGCTTCAAAGAATTTCTGGAGTATCTATTTTCTAACTACATGGCCCCAGGTGTTAATCTATAATCAGGGTTGCCCCTATTTCTCCAAATTCTCAGGAAATTGTTAGTTTTCTTTACAACTTATTGCATGAAACTAATGGTCCCATTTTTTTCAGAGTATTAATAAAACATTTGTTTTAGCTTAGTCTTATAATAGGGTAAAATATGAAGCTCTAACTTTAATATATTAAAGCATGTGATACGGTTTTGCTGTGTCCCCACCCAAATCTCATGTTGAACTGTAAGCCCGTGTTGGGGGAGGAACCTGGTGGGAGGTGATTGGTCATGGGGCAGATTTCCCCTATGCTGTTCTCATGATAGTGAGTGAATTCTCAGAATATCTGGTTGTTTAATAAAAGTGTGTAGCACATCCACATTCACTCTCTCTCTCTCTCCTGCTCTGCCATGGTGAGACATGGTGGCTTCCCTTTTGCCTTCTGCCATGATTATAAGTTTCATGAGGCCTCTCAGCCATGCTTCCTGTACAGCCTGCAGAACGGTGAGTTAATTAAATTTCTTTTATTCATGAATTACCAAGTTTCAGGTAGTTGTTTAAAGCAGTGTGAGAATGCACTAACACAGTATGTATGTGCCCATATATACTTTCAGGAATGATGCTATAGTCATTGTTTATCACCAGAGTTCCAAACCTGAAAGTCCTCGGTCTGACAGGCCTAGGCTTAAATAATAATCACACCAGTGAACATTTACTGAGTGCTTACCATGTGCTAAGTGCTTTTTCTTCGGTGGTCCATTTGTCAGCATCTTGGATGTCTCCAAGCTCTCCAGCTTTCTGGGATTAAATCATCCTTTAAGGTTTTAGAAAAAAAACAAACTCAGTCTCACTTCACAAATGGATGTCATCCCATTTCTGCTCTGCAAAGCTCCCTGGGCAGGTGCCTATGGTCCCCAAGTTCCCTCTAACTTGGTGATTGCCTTCCTGTCTCTTGGCCTCCATTCTTCCTTTCCCTTTCCCCTCTTGCCCTCTCTTTTCTGCACCATGTCACCTCACTGTGCATCCACTGTTTCAGTTCCTTCACAGCCCAAAGCACTTACCATTCAAGGCTGTGTACAAAACAGACTTTACAAAAGGCTTACAACTTTGAGGGGAGTTATTGAAGCAAGATTTTAAATTCCTAGTGCTCTCCCATCATCTCGTATTTAGAAGAACGCTACAGATAATGGGAAATTGAAAGCCACAGGTCTACACCTTTGCTCAGATTGAAATAGATGGCATCTTTATGTGGGAAAAAAGAGACCTGACTCACCAGGGGCTACTATAAATGGAAAGACTCCAAAACCTCCTAATAATATTTAACTTAATAATGCTAAGTCACAAAGGTTTTGTAAACTGGTGGATCCTAGTAATAAAACAGATACACACAGACACACACATACTAATTTTAATAGTCTAAACCAGTGGCTTCCATCATTTTCACGTGGTCACTTAATAAACCTTTCTCCCTTTGTTAATTTGGAAGCTGAAACCTAGCTATGTTCACATAGCATATAATCTGACACCTGGGAACGAAAATGAGTTTTGCTCAAAATGCGTACAAGACAGAGTGAAGAAAGCCAAACAAAACAAAATAGGTCATGTTTTCCATTCTAGTGATCATCAACCACATGGGGTTAAGGCAAGTTGTCAGAACATTATTGGATTGCCCACAAATGAAATCCATCAAGTGATGGTTAGTCTGTTGATTGAAACTCTCAAACGTCACTGCTACCATGTGCCTTTGGGAATTCCCAAACTGCTCATTCTGGCACCACAGGAAGTGAAGAAGAGCAATAAAGACAAGAAATGAGAATAGGTTAAGCCAGAGGGTCTCAGCCTTGGCACACATTAGGATCACTTGGGGGAGCTTTTATATATCATGATGCCCAGGCCACAGCTCAGGCCAGAGGAGGTAGGAATCTCCATGAATGGGACCCAGGCAGCAGCATATCTTAGAGTCCCCAGATAATGCAATGTGCAGTCAATGCTGACAGCCACTATATTAGATTGAAAGCAACAACTAGCAAAACATGGAAAAGGTGATCAAAAATGTATTAAAAATGCAAACAGTGATGTCCCTTATAAATTAAGGATATAAACATTACCAGTGATAATGTATTTGCTGACCACAGCCGATTATAACAGGAATCTCTGGACTTACTATTTATCTGGACTTTGTAACACTCATAGATTCTTATGCTTAGCTAAAAAATGGCGCCACCATTTTTTTTAACTTAAATCAAATATCTCTTGATAATGGTGATGTTCTTGAGAAGTACCTGACCTGAGAAGATTAAAATCTCTTGAAACAGGTGAATTGAAAAGATATTATAAGTATACTGTCCAGACCTAGGTACTGAGATGAATTTTAGAACTACATAGATATCAAAAGTCAAAGAAAACACAAGTATTGGAGGGAAAAAGATACTATGCTTACTAAGATTAACCCACAAGAAGATGCTAGTAATATCAATTTCTTTGGCCAAAAAAGTTTTAAAGGAAAAAGGAAGCTCTCTTCAACTGAGTTGGCTAAAAGGTTTGTAAGTTTTCAGGGTCTGAAATGTCTGAATCATTTTTGCAAGTAGTGGAAAAAACAAATGGTGAAATTTTGATTGATTTTCTTTGAGATAATCTTTGGTTTATGAAGCCATAAAGCAAAACTGGGGATGATTCTAATCCCATTATTAATCTCATGATTTATTTATAGATTACTAAAACTCCATCATTAATAAAAGTTATACTTCAGACTGGCATACTATCAGAATAAATAAAGAGAGTTTTTCCCTCCTGGAATTCTTAAGCCAAATACTCTCATATAATTTTGCTTATCTCAGTTTTTAAGGTCTCAAGAGCACCTCACTCCCATGGCTTTGGAAGTATCCGCTACAGCACATTAGAGCTAATTTCTCCTGATCCACCTGTTAAAATATTGACCGTACTTATTACCATTAGGAGCAAGTTTATATGCTTAAATCTTGCCAGGTTCAGCATAAACATTGACAATGATAAGTTGGGCTGATGAAAACCAATCAATACTATTTCCTACACATCACTTTCGTAATGCCTCACAGAATTACAGGTGATTAACTGCAGAAGAATATGTCAGCAGTAAAAATTAGTGTTATCTGTGGTCCATGTTTATTGGTCATTTAATTCTTATAAGTCAAATTATTTTGACTTAATGTGATTCTAAATTACATTAAAACCACGCAAACCAGAACCAAAATATTCATTAAGATGTAAGACTCCAATATTCATGATGAATGAACTTTCATTTAGATTTATCCTTTGTTATAAGTTAACCATATTACCTACAGTTATAAGTTTGTATAATTTAAAATATGACAAAGAAAATATCTGCAAGAGACCAAAGCCTCAGACTTAAGAAATGTTCAGGCTTCAGCATACCTTGTTTTGGATGAAAAGTGGGTCTAAAAAATCATCTTGTTACAGCCTGGTCAGGAGTGTGTGAAATATCTGGGCAAAGCAAAAAACAAAAAGCAAAGAAACACACAAAATTCCACTAACCACCCCCCACCCCACTACCAAATCTCTCTCACACACACACACACACAGACACACACCCACCCACCCAACTAACCAAACAAGCAAGCAAGCAAACAAACAAACAAACTGAGGATGGGGGACACATTTCTTGAGTTCTGGTGGGAGTCAGGGCTCCCAGCTCTGGAGGAGTGATCTACAGCAGCATTTCTCAAAGGATGTGAGTGGATAAAACCCTTGAGATGTTCTACAGAAAAAGAGTTCTGTAGACAAATTGGAGAAGTGTCACTCACCCACTGGAGATTACCTGTGCATGTTAGTCTATTAAAGCCACTGAGAACTACTCCAGTAAAGACAAATGACAATTACCACTAGTCCAGTATTTTCCACCTTGGTTTGACAATGGACCTCTTCCCCACTCCCACTGCATTTATTAACATTTAGTGGAAGTTCTGTTTCTTGGAAAACATTTTGGGAAACGCTGATCCTTGAGGTGTAAAGGCTGACAACTGAGGGAAAAAAGAGTGTGCATGGAGCAAAAGAAACGGAAATGCTCAGTGAGAACCAGAAATCCCAGACTCCTGAAAGGGTGCCAGTGTCCTCAGGTGACCTCTGTTCCGGGTTTGTGATGTCCATCTCCATCTGTCATTTGCATTCTCTTCTCAATTCCCACCTTGACAGGACTTCTCAATCTGAATCTCACTTTTCTCAATTGTAAAATCAGAGCATTTAAAGAATGATCTTGATTGTCCTTTCTAGGCCCAATTAGACAATTTTATCTTAACTAGTATAATGGAGAAAAAGAGAAAATAGAATTTGCTTGACAAGAATTCTCTTTATGACTAACTTTTCTGGAATGCAAAATGAATGATGTACGAAATAGAAATCCTATGATAAAACCATATGTGAACAGGTGATAACAGGCAATTCTTTTTTTTTAATTTTTAAGTTCCAGGGTACATGTACAGGATGTGCAGGTTTGTTATGTAGGTAAACGTGTGCCATGGTGGTTTGCTGTACCTATCAACCCATCACCTAGGTTATTAAGCCCAGCATGCATTGGCTATTCTTCCTGATGCTCTCCCTCCCCTCACCCCACCCCCAACAGGCCCCAGTGTGTGCTGTTCTCTTCCCTGTGTCCATGTGTTCTCATTGTTCAGCTCCCACTTATAAGTTAGAACATGCATGTTTAGTTTTCTGTTCCTGCATTAGTTTGCTGAGGATAATGGCTTCCAGCTCCATCAATGTCCCTGCAAAGGGCATGATCTCCTTCCTTTTTATGGCTACATAGTATTCCATGGTGTATATGTACCACAATTTCTTTGTCCAGTCTACCATTGATGGGCATTTGGGTTGATTCCATGTCTTTGCTATTGTGAATAGTGCTGCAATGAACATATGTGTGCAGGTATCCTTGTAGTAGAATGATTTATATTCCTTTGGGTATATACCCAGTAATGGGATTGCTGGGTCAAATGGTATTTCTGGTTCTAGGTCTTTGAGGAAGGTGATTCTTAATTTTCATTATTCTGGCCATTTTGATTGAAGTTTGACAGTCACAGGGTGTAACCTGGAACAAACCATGTTTTGATAGTGTACTTGATGTCATTCCACAGTTTTTAAAAAAGAACAGCTCAGAAACTTCCAGAAGCAAGATCTTTAATTAAAACCATGGGACAATTTTTAAATTAATTCTTTCAATTAATTGTGCTTCAGGTTGTACATTCTGTGACTACATTATTCTTATTAAACACAGTTTGCGCCTAAAGAAGGATCAAGATGTTATTGAAATGACTGATTTAAATGAAACTAATCTAAAAATCAAGAAAATATAATAGGGCAAGATTTTTTTGGCAAAAGTGTCTATGTATTATGAATATATCAGTATTTTCCTTTAATAAAAGTTAAATTAATTGGAGATAGCAAGAACTTATAATTACCAGGGAAACTAAATCATTGATCTGATGCCACTATTGCTGACAGTTGTTTTCCCATAATTCCCACTAACCAGCCTCTGTAATTACATGATAATTTTGAGATTGATGACTTAAAAGTCACTTGTAAGTTGCATCCCGATTATATGAAACAAGGAACTGTTTGAATCAGTCCCCAAACTGATACCAAATTATCTTAAGATGTACTTCTACATTGAATCAATCTATTTTTTTTAGTCTCCATTTGCAATCATTTTGGATAAAAATGTTTGGTACACACTTGATTAGAAAAGTAGAAATTAAAGTCTTAAAATGAAAACTAATAATACAGGCTCTTCCTCACAGGTGCATATGCCATTAGGCAAAGCTCCTGCCTTCTCTGCATGTCAGATCTAATCTATAGCAATGGTCTCAACCCTGACTGCATATTGGCATGGCTGGGGAGGTTTTAAAAATTTCCAGTGCCCAGGCTACACCTGAAACTAAGCAAGTTAGACTCTCTGGGTGTAGAACCTGGGCATCGGTATTTTTATTAACTTTCCAGAAGATTCTAATATGCAATGAAATTTGATAACCAGTGAACATGTATAGCCTAGTTAATGAATTTCCAAGTAAACTGGTGGTACCAATTTAATTTAAAATTGGCACTGGGAAGCACATCTATTTTTGTTTTTCAACTCTTCTGTAGAAATCTCAACAGAAATGAAGCTATAAAAAGGGGATAATAAGACCTTGTGGTAGACACCTTTAGAATGTCTACTCAGATCACAGGGACTCCTTAATTGCTTTCCTCCTTCATCCACAGAAGAGGGTCCTGGTGGCCCCTGGAACAAACAAACTGGTGAACTGGAATCCCAATTCTGGGATTTTTGAATTGACATTGGGAGTTAACATTTCTGCATGGTTGGGTATGTGGGCACTGGAGTGGTTGGGTGCTCTGGCAGGTGGACTGAGTAGCTGAGAAATGTATGAGAAGAGAGAAGAGAAAAGAGAGAAGAGAGAAGAGATGGCAAAATCAATCAGAGATGAGCGGCAGAGCCAATGCTTCTAGACTGCCAGGATAGACATCTGTGGTTTTTGCCTGTCTGACACCCCTCCCCATTTTCTTAACAGTGCCCTCTTCTCCTTCAGGGAGTATCTCATTCCCATTCCATGCGGTCCTGGGGATAACTGATGAGTTAATCCTACCATCCTCTTGCTCCTTGAGCAGAGACCTGAGGCAGAAAAAAGTGGTGCTGTCAATTTGGTGGCCATCATCATGAGAAACTGTTGGTTGCTGCTATAGGGATCTCTGGGGCTGCTCTGATGTCTGTGCCTCCCAGAGCTTGATTGTTCAGCAAGTCTTTGAATTCTGGGATCAAGGGTGTCTGTTGCTTGCAATTTAAGAATCCCAACAGAGTTCACTACAGTCCTCTAGGTCCCAGCCCAAATCTATTCAGAGGCCTTATAGCCTTACAGCATTCTGTTTTGGGGCATTTGAGGCATTCCTGTATCCTAATTTTTTTTTTCTTCATCTAGCTCATGTTGTTTTTGATATTTATAACTACAAGTCTTCACGAATATAAATTTTAATTGACTCTCTTATTTATGTCATATGTCCCTTATATATGGTCCTGAGACTATTTAAAGCAGAAACAAGGCCTTCCAAGCCCTATTACAATCTTTAAGGTCATAATCAACAAACCCAACTCTTTTATCATTTTGCATGCTTTGGAAAGCTTAATTTATTCATTTTCATTTTGTTAAGTATGAAGATCTTGGAGAGAAATTCATAACAAAGGCATACTTTGTGAACAACAGGATTAAAAGCTTATCAAACACAAATATGGTTCTAAATAATGTATGATACTTGGAACAGGAGTCCAAATCTACTCCTGTAAAAAGAGCTCTTACTTCCTCTATCAAGCAATATTAAATGAAATTATAGTACCACCATTAAATCCAACTGTACACCAATAAATTTTCATTTCCAATGGTACTCTTCTTTATTAAAAAATCTTTATTAAATAACAAAATATGCCAGCTAATATAATAAGTACTTCCTTGAGCTCAATATTAATATAGTTGGCACACAATTCGAGGCTGTCTACCCGAATGCAGAAGCACATGACTTTTTCCTTGTGATCCGGCAAGCAGAGTTAGACGGACATCAACTGAAAAACCAAAGAAAGCCTCTGGGATTTCTTCAGGCCCAGGCAGGTCACAGGAGTGGTGATGAGTGTGTGTGTGTGGCAGTGGGGGGATTTCAAAGAGGTTATTTCTATATAGATCTAGATGAATCTATTATTAGAATTCAGAGATAATTGTCAAAATATTTTTTTTTTTTTTTGAGACAGAGTCTCGCTCTGTTGCCCAGGCTGGAGTACAGTGGGGCGATCTTGGCTCACTGCAAGCTCTGACTCCTGGGTTCGCGCCATTCTCCTGCCTCAGCCTCCTGAGTAGCTGGGACTACAGGCGCCCTCCACCACACCCGGCTAATTTTTTGTATTTTTAGTAGAGATGGGGTTTCACTGTGTTAGCCAGGATGGTCTCGATCTCCTGACCTCGTGATTCACCCACCTCTGCCTCCCAAGATTTTTTTTTTTAAAAGAAAAATACAGTGCTAAGCAGCTTAAGTGATGAACAATGTTGTGATCTCCAGCAAACTCTGGATGAACAATAATGAAATGGAAATAGTGGGTCCAGTGCCAATAAAATGTGATCATAAAGTCTGACCAGTTCACAATGTTTCTTTTTCTAAGAGTCGAAGAGAAGGAAAGTATCATATAGGAATATTCTGGAAAAGAAAGTGGGGTGAATGAAAAGAAGCAGTTTAAAAGCTATTCTTCTTACCATCATACTTTATTTTTAATACAAATGCCATAAAATAAAAGGTACCCAGGCATCTTTTAAGCAAAAATACATTTTCTGTACATCAAGCCATCATTTACAGATTAACACTGCAAAAAATTTGAATGAATAACTCTTAATTTGTTTACATAAAATTATCTGAAATAAACAAAATTATATGTAGAATGAGAACAAACAAGAACCAATTCAAACTCCTAAAATCTTGCCTCTGTATTAATTTCTTCAGTTTCAAAATCATACTCATCTACAAAAGGAATATAGGTATTCTTAACGTTGAACATTATTTACAAAATGAATTCGTTTCTCTCAGTTACTGTTGATTTTGTGGTCACCCAACACATAAGTTGTGGTGACTCCTTAAGCGACCCTGAACTGCTATTCTGCTCCAGCTGGGAGTGCCTGCTCTCTGCCCCGGAAGGAGGCATTATACCAACTCATAGTATTTCCCTGTTTGGGGGTCAAAGTAACAGTTCAGACAAGGGTCATACAACAAAGTCAGTACTTCCTCGTCCTCTTCCACACTGAGGTCTTCTTCACCTGTGGGGAAGGGGAACCACAGACACATTAGCTGTTGGCTTGGCCCGGAATCCCCAAACAAGGGCAACGAAGCAGGAATCACCATCTCTCCTGGGGGATTTTCTTTATGCAGGTAGAAGGTTTAGGCCTGAAGGAAGAGCACTGTGGAAGTGGTGAGACTCTAAACATGTGGTTCCAGGTGGAGAAGAAACACCAGTGACCAGAAGGACCAACTTCTTGACAAAGGACAAGAAAAACTGAGTGTGGAGAACTGGCAGGAGGGGAAGGAAGAAAGGGAGAGGGCCAAAAGACTTAAGAGTTATGCTTATTAGGATTAGGAAACTTGCCAGGATCCAAAACTAATTGTCACAGTTCTAAACTTCTTCATGGGCCAGAGCTGTACAAAATGCAAAACAGTGCAAACTAACTAATAAAATAGAAAACTTGATCCGCATTCAATCATCCTAAAAAGGCTACCAAACAAATATGAATTAAAATAATAGAACTATAAGATACATAGAACAGACAACATACACAGAAAAAAAATGTCAGGTGATTTGTAGTTTTATTAGTGGTGGCGGGAAGTCTGCTCAGTGTTTTGGGGATAGAACATGGCTTGATGTTTTCTCTCGTGACAGCCATTTAGATGGATTGGACAGAGAGGACAACTGTCTAAGTCATTATCGAGGCCTGCTGGCTTCCAACAAATGGCATGAAATGAAAAAAAAAAAACAACTGTTCTACAAAGATGTTTCCTGAGCACCTTTTATGTGTTCAGTGTTGTGCTAAGTACTTTTGTATTCAAAAGTGAGTGCATTCTGAGTACTTCTGAAAGTTCATGTAATGAGTTCAGGGACTGAGAGGTCAAGACCTTCCCAGCCAGAGAAGATCAGAGAGTAGGCTCAGGTAGAAAGAGGTAATAAGAAAACACTCCTCTCCCTTCAATAGCACAGGCTATTAAAGACCGAAACCAAACCAAAACCAAACCCCAAACCCAACCCAACCCTGAAGCTTTGGGCTATGTGCTCACCAGGGTGAGCTTCAGAAGAGTTTGGATGGTGGGTATGGTGCAGGGCTCACTCATAATAGAGGTGCAATAAAAATGGAATGTTTGTTGAAGGTGTAAATAAAAGCCCATGATCTTAAGTGTCACTGCCTAGAGGAAGGGAGGATGGTGGTGGTGGTTGTGGGGTTCCATCTTACTCAGCCAAAATCAGACCAAGCTGGTGCCTGAACATTGTCAGGACATTGACAAACTGGAGTTAAGTCCAAGGGAGTGGTGCCTACATGGTGAAGTGGGGGTTTAAAACTGTACCACAGCCACTCCTCTGCCCACTTTTCTCCTAACCATCCAAAAACACATTTAGTGTGATCCTTCCATGAGCCGGACACTGAGTTAGGTGTTCAGGACATGATGACAAGAAACAATCCCTATTCTAATGGACTATGCAGAGAAACAGGTGAAATGTGAAATCTGCTGATTCTTGTGAGTTGAGTGCAGTGCTAGCAGTCTTTAAAAGTGGAGTTCAACTGAGGAATGATTACATCTGCCTTGGTTGCTAATACCTCATTGGTAGAGCCCTTGATGGTTTAGAAAGCTCTTTCTCATGTAGTAGTTCATTTGGCCCTCATGACCCTGTGGAATACGCAGGAATTATCATGCCCATTTTATAGATGAGGAAACCAGGGTTCACAAAGTTGAACAGCTCATCTGAGGTTTGTTGGTGAGTTAGAGGCAGAGCTGGGGACACTCTCAGTTTCCAGAGTAAGAGTTCAGTGTTCTTTCTACCAGTCAGAGTACTTTGTACCAGTCTATTCAGTCGGACCTTGATTATGCTAAAGGAGTGGTGTAACATGTTTAATTCGGAGCTATTACATTGAAGGAATTTAGACATAGAAAAGACTAATAAAAAATTTAAAAGTGTCCTACATTTTAATAAGTCAGGTTTGGAAACAAAGAAATCTGATTTCTCATAGTTCAAAAATATTGTTAAAGATGAGAGAGTCCCTGGGGGAGGGCAGAGGCAAACAGTTCAATAAGTCCAAAGGAAATGGGCTTGTTAACTCCAGAAAAGAGAAAGCTTGATGAGGTGACAGCAGCCCTTCTGGATTCAAGCATATGAAGGGTGGCATAGGAGTGAGAAGTTAAGAAAATCTGGGGTTCCAGGAGGAAGCCATAGGATCAACAGGTGGAAGCTAAGAGGAGCCATTTTTTTGGGGAGGCTTAGCACAAGGAAGAATTTTCTAAGCATTAGAGCTGACCAGCAAATGAAACATGTACTCTGGAAAGGGTGAAGCAGAGAGTGGGGCAACGATTTGTGCAGAATTTTGTAGATGAACTGTGCTTAGAACAGGGGACCAGATCCAATGATCCCTGTAGTGCTTTTGATGAGCTTCTGTGACTCTGGGCTGCAGCAGTTTATATCTTTGAAGTATGAAAGGACTTTGCTAACAACCACATTAATAATGGTAGCTGACCTGACCACCCTGCACAGTTTCTAATTAAGAACAGGAACTCAGAGAAGGAAGGCTGCGTTTCCTTTATCTTCTTCTGTTGTCTTCAGAGTCCCCAGGGCCCTGCCTCTATCCTTGAGAGTATTCCTCAAATGGTCATTCCATATTGAAAATGACCCCCTTTAGATCACTTTTTCACATCAAAGGAGAGTATGTACATCCTCTACTTTCAGATATTCAATCCATTATGCCTTTAAAGTTTGGACTACTTGAGAGAAATGAATAAAGTTAGTTTATCAATTAGTATCTGCTATGTGATTGAGCTGGGCATAGTCTAGTTGTGAATGTGACACAAACACATGAAGCAAAAGCAGCTACTAAAGATTAATGAGGAGTTAAACTGGAAGGCTCTACTGCTGAGTGGCTAAGAGCACTCAAGGGCTCTAGAATCCAATACACTGGGGGCGAATGGAAGCTGGGCTGCTTACTGCCTAAAGCTGGCTACAGATCATTTCACCTCATCGGACCTTGGTTTCCTTGTTTACAAAATGGGAATAACAATGCCTATTTGGTAGGGTTTTGAGGAAGATTAAATTAGACACTGGTAATATGCATAACACAGCACACATAGTAGTTGTTTAATAAATGATAGTTACTATTAGGGATGATAATATAATAAATCATGAACTATAGGCTATAACTTTCTTAGTAACTCAGGATGGAAGTACTGATGTCGCTTAAAGTGTGAAGAAAAGGCTTCATAGAGGCAGGAAGGATGATGTTTAGACAATGGAGTCAGACAAACTCAGGTCCAAATCCCATTTCTACCATATCACAGCTGTGGGATATTGGGAAATTCACTGCTCTGAGCCCCAGCTTCCTCATATGTAAAGTACAGATAATAAAAGTACCTGTCATTGTTCCTATGAGGACTAAATAACACTCAGCACATGTACACAGTAAGTACTCAGTAAATGTTATCACCATCATCATGGAAAACAGGATATGTGAGCCAGACACAAAAAGGGTTATGTACGTTTATACCTTATTCCCTACCTGAAAACTCAATCTGTTTGATTTTTTTTACAACCCCAAAACATAGTGGATTTGAAAGAAACAGAAAGACCCCCAATTAGTTTTATATAGAACATTAGGATAAATTCATCTTTAAATAAAAAAACAGTTCTTATACCAAAAATTGTGTATGTTTCCAAAAGTAAAACTAATTTTTTCCATCAGGTGTAATGTTTAAATCACATATCCCTGAGGTAAATGATTATAAGTGAAACTCTCAGGGACCTGCCATTGGATTCTGTCTTACTCCATCAGCACATCATGGGGAACTCAGACCTCTGGCACGTAAGAGTTATATGCTATATAATTATTCAGTGTATTCTGTGCCTATGTTTGCAAAAAAGATACATTTTTAAGCTGGTGCTATTAAATGAGAAAACAAAATATATTTACAACCAGTTGGGAATCTTTCAAGATGAAAACAACCATTGTAATGGCCATGGGTCTTTATCACCCATTTGCAAAGGGATCGAGGTAGATCCAATTCATTAGTAGAGGTTTTGCTACATAATGCATACAAACTGGAGCAATAACTGCGATATAAATGCATTCATTCCAATACATATCACTATAGAATGGGACCCTCGCGCATTATAACCATGGGGACTAAGATAGGTTTTTTGGTTTTTTTAGTACCAAAGCTTCAAATGGATGAATTTTAAAACTACCAACAATGACATTCATACAAAAATTGGGTGAGATTATGTATAATTTTATGTTGAAGTAAGTGCTTTAAGCTTACATAAAAGGTTTTGTTTTCATTGTAACTTAATTTTCAAAGCCTCCAACTTACATCATTTTGCCATTATAATCCCTACGTAATGAAATTATAATATCATTACGCAATTACCACTATGATGTCAAGCATTGGGAAATGTTTTGAAAGGTAATTATCGTGGATGGGTATGGGGTAATTTTCAATTATATTCTTGGATAGAGCTGAGTTTGTTTTTCCTCAAAATGCTAAATTGCTCTATTTAAAGATTGGCTACAGAAACTCTAGAAGGACAAATTAACAAATAAAACCATTTTCTGCTACTAGACTAAGAGCATCTGGATAGGGGTCCAAATTACATTTTTTTCTCTTCTACACACAATAAAGCCATTTCTAGTGAAATAAAATTACCTTTCAGATAATAATCTATTTACAAACTTTCAGCCTCATCCACTCTGAAATTGGTTAACGGCAATAACAGAAGAAAAACCAATGGAGCCAGACCAAATGCAGCAATACGGGCTGCCCTTCTCTGGGTAGATCAGCTCGGGTAAATAATCCCTCCAGTTCACCTTCTGAAAGTCAATTAATATAAATGTTTAATTATCTATATTTAATGCATTTTAACTGTAGATAATAGAAAACCTACACACCCAAGATGTCTCTTCAAGCTTGAAAATAAATGATGTGGCACTAGTTTATCAGATTTAAAATCTCTGAATCAAGACATTGAACTGGATTTTCGATTTTCTGACACTGCCGTCTACATTTTTTTTAAAGTTAATGTATTTTCTCTCCTATAGATCTTGAGAACTGATTGACTGTATTTTTATGTGCATACTAATACACTATTGTTTAAGCAGTTCAACAGTGAGGGATCACCATTTGGAGCAGTCAGCCTTAGGATCAATGAAGATGACATTTTAGATAAGTTTCTGCTGAGTACTGGGTGCTTGCAAACTCTACCACCAACATATCTCACAGTAGGGCAAAATTAACTCACACTAAAGTCTGAGAAAGTCCACTGTGAACTGCTGAATTTCAGTTCTCAGCAAACATGTACCCTCAAATGGGAGAAAGATAAATAACCAACAATGGAAAGAAAACAATGAAATGCTACTTTCTTCCAATTAGAGGGCTATATTGTTTTTGAAAGGTAAATAACATTGCATTATTATATTTCAGGTGTCATTTGGGCAATAGGTACATTACCCCTTTTGTAAAAACTGGTGGCTATATTTTACTTGGAAAATGCCATTTTAGGGAACATGTTGAAGAACTTGGATCATTAATTAGGAATTATTACAATTTCATTATTTTCAGGTAGTCTCTACTTACAAATATGCAGTGATTCAGATGTGCAGTTGTAACCCTGTGGTTTACAACTCTAAACGCACTTTGTTACACGTGAAGGAGGGCACCTCTCCAAGGTACTGAGCTCTGAAGCCAACAGAGCCCATAATCTCTTAGGAGCCTGATTTTAAGCAAGGTATCAACGTTGAGCTATGGGAAAATGCATCCCAATTCCAGCAAGGAAAGCTGGGACCAGCCTTCTGGGTTGCACGTGGTGGATAGGTAGGTGGGGTGGTTCTGGAATAGGAGAAAGAGCCTCAGACACCTGCAATGTGTTTCGCTCTACTGGAGAGTTCACTTCTAGTGGCCCTGAAAAGAAGGCACCTCTTGATACTAGTGAGGCACTGATTTCCCCCGTCTGTAATCACTTCCTGCAGAGAAGACTCCCCCAGGACCCTGAGAGCTATGTAAGAGAAAATATCACCCTACTCACAGGGGAAGGGGCGGGGTCTCTGCATTAAAGGAATGTTAGAAAAACCAGGAATCATTTTATAATCTGAGAGTTGAGGTGGGGGTGCTATGGGTCTAAGAAGAGTACCAAGGTAAACACTATTTTATCCAGAAAGCTTCAAGAAAATACAACTTCCTAAATTAAAAAAATTGCAGTGGATATTTCACTCATGTGGTTCTTATCCACCTAAATAGGGATTCTGTGGTCACACTACAGTGTGGGATTTAAGGGTGTGGACACCCTGGTCAGACAGGTCTGGGTCAGTGTCCTGATGCACACTCAGGGTCTGTGACCCAGGCTAGCCCCTTACCTCATCTGTAAAGTGGGAACATAATATAACCCCACACTAAGCAGTGTTGGGAGGAGGTATGAGGTAATGCACAGAAAAATTCCAAACAGTGCCGGGTACACAATGGTGCTTTATTAATGCTGGCTTATTATTTTCATATGACCAATATTGCTCTTTTGGGAAAAGTCTCCTTTGCATCTGAAATAAATCTTCGAGGTACAAAAAAGATCAAAAGAATAGATCAAATCATTCTCATATTTCCTATGGCCAGTAGAGTCACTCATTCACTCATCAAATATTTATGGGGCATTTACTGTGTCCTAGAAGCCACACTAGGCATTGGGGATACCAGAGTTGTTCAGCAACTTTTAGACTCAGAGTATTAGGTAAATGTCAAAGAATTATGTGGCAGTTAATAGGAGGGCATGAAAGAATTCCTCTGTTGGAGAAGAGCAGGCAGCCAGATCCTAACCCCCACTTTACCCACAGAACAGAGCTTTTACCCACAGAACAGAGCTTCTATCTCCTCAATACAGGAGGATTCCTTCTTTCTGGTTAGCTGTGAGAAGCCATAACATTTCTGTAAACTCTTTACTAGTAATTTGGATATTACATCTATAAAATAAGCATCTGCTACCCATTTATATCTCATGGGAGATTAATCAACAACCATATGGGAATATTTGGTGTGGCTTTGCCATAAAAAAGGTATAAGAATATTATTTTTATGAGAATCAGGCAACTCCCAAACTCCTTCTGAATGCCTTTCTTACTCAAAATCTATGTAAACTACAAGACAGGGCTACAGGCCTGAAGACAGAGGTTATTATTCCATTTTGGAGCTGGTAAGCATGAATAATTTAAGGGTCATAACTGTAAAGGAACAAATGTCAAAAACAAATTGACAACTATTCTTTGAGCAAAGTATGGTTCATTTTCAAAAGGTCATTTTAGTAGTTTTCTCAAATAAGTTCTGAAATCTTAACTTCCCATTTTTACATTTCACACAAGTTCCAGGAAAACACATTTTAGTAAGTGTTAAGGGCACCATGTCCGATAGTAATTGATATTCAGCAAGTGTGTTATAGCCCAGGAGGAGCTGTGAAGAGCTGATCATTTCCCATCCAGTGGGATGTCAGAGATCCGAATGCAGTGCTCTTCCTGCTGGCCGGCTGTGATGGAAACCGGGCTGTTCACATGAATGTGGCATTCATGCACTTGAGACATTCTGGCTGAGCAGAAACTGGCTGTGACACAAACTCCTACTGAATAAAGTAGGGACAGGAACCTCTGACTCAAGGGCCAGATATAACTCATGCATTTACTTTTGTATGGCCTGGGGCAAGTTTTCTAGAATTATGTATCAGGCAGAGTATATTTCCCTGCTGATAAAATGCAGTAATTCCTCCAGCTGCAGAAATGCATCTTGGCTTCTCCATCTCTGATAGAGGTATGATGGCTCAGCACATCACTGCACTGCCCTAAGTCCCAATGTAACCATGTGGAAGATGGGATAATAATAGCATCCACACCTCACTAGGCTATTGTGAGAATTCAAGTGCACATGTAGGCCCGGAACACAGGAAGATTAAATAAATAGCTATTATTATTTATATCCTAGAAGTCCAAAGGTGGGCGATACCTTTCCCTGTGAATGAGCCCTCAGGCACCACATTCACACCTCAGTGAAATGGTTCTGTAGAAAGGGCAATGATGTGGGGGAAGCCTGGGCCCTAATCCCAGCTAGGGCTCTGACTGGGCATTTGATCTTGGTCAAGTCATTTACCTCTTTAGGCAAATTGAGGGGTTGGACCACATCAGTGTTTTTAACTGGTTCATCAGAGCCCCAGGGCAGGATTCTGAGATCCTAACCCCCACTTTAGCCAGAGCAGAGCTTTTATCTCTTCCATACATGAGGAATCCATATGAGATTTCACTTGAAAGAAAAGTTGTTACTGCTTATGAATAAAGTTTAAGAGCCACGGCATAAGGTGATCTATAACTCTTTAACTGCCAAAATATATGGGTCAAAGTTCAATACTCTCATAATTAAATTTTAGAAATATACCAAATATACCAAAAAAATTGGAATGGGGGGAAAATTGAAAGTCAGATTTCAATGAATTGCTCTACTTTTTTCCCCCACGCTTGTAATAAAAAAAAGGACGAGTTAAAGAGTATTTCTCAACCTCCTTTCCTCCCTTTATTCCTTCTCTTCTCCTTTCTAATGAGAACATAGAGAATCTAATATATGCTGGAATTTGCACAGGGCACCAAGGATCCAGGAGTGAGCAAACTGACAGTCTCCTAAAAACTCAGAGGCTACTTAGGAGGAAAGACAATAAACAAGTAGACAAATCAAGATTTAGAAACTGTTAAAAGGCATGCAGATTATGTTAGAAGGTGAAGTGAGAGAACACAGTGAGTGGCAGACTGATCTACTTAGGTAAGACTGTCTGGGAAGGCCTGTAAGAAGATAAACAACATGCAAATACCCAGGCCCGGCAGTTCCATATCCAACGATCCTACCCTTCATTCAGCTGTTCACTCCCTTGGCCTTGCCTTAGATCTGGTCAACTGCGGCTCCCTGTCATTTCTAACAAGCATGGGTGGGAGGAGAGGGGGCCGGCTGAGGGCTGACAGGTGACCAGAGGTATCTCTCTCTTTTTTAAAGAACTTAGTCACTGAGCCCTTGAGATATTTTAATTAATGCTTTTCCTGTAGATCAGAAACTCTTAATGGAAAAATAATATTTCAACTCCTGGTTTTATATATACATATATTTTTAGTAGGTAATCTACTTACCCAGTTCAAAATCCACAAAGGATAAAAATATAATGGCTGGGCTCTGGGGCCAGGCTGCTTGGGTTCAAATCCTAACTTTGTGACTCAGTAGTTGTGGGACCTTGGGCAAGTCACTTGAGAACTTTGTGTCTCAGTTTCCTCAGCTGTAACACACACACACACACACACACACACAAAATTTCCTCCTGGTGGTGGTGTGAGGGCTAAATGTAATGACTTGGTGTCTGGCATAAAGTAAGTGCTAAATGAATGGTGTCGTGCAACAAGAACCCAGGAAGGGTTCCAGACTGCTCACAACCATACTTCCCTTCCCCTTCTGATGATATAAACTGGAAACTTGAGCCCATAATTTTTCTTTGACACTTTAGCAGAACAGATGGAAACACTATCTCAGCATACTGGTTAAGTATGGACTGTCTTATGCTGCCTAAAACTATGCAATTAACATGCCATTAACCAAATAGGAAACACTGTTTTTTGATGGTGTTAATTAACTACAAACCACTCAAGCATATCAGAAAAGGGGAAGATGAGTAAATAGAAAATGCTTGTTTTTGGAGGCATTAATCAACTACAAACCACCCAAGCATATAAGAAAAGGGCCAGGGGACAGCTGATAAAAATCCAGGGTGACAGGCAGAAGGGATGCTTGATCTGGATAACACTGGCCAGCACATTTCTACAATGTGCTGTAGAATGGCCAGCACACTTCTACAATGGAAGTTCTGTTTAGCTTCAACATAACTGAGCTCCTGCTGTCAGAACCGGGCTTGGCAATGGTGACTTTAAGACATCCTTCCAGCTGTTTCTTGCTAATATATACCTTGGGTGCCTTTGCTCAAGGACCACGCTCTCAGTTCCTGTGGCTTATTTAGGACACCTAACATAACACATTATTTGTTCCCTCACAGCAAGGTCTCCTCCTGACAGCCAAGATTCTATTTTTCTGTCATAAGTAATTATAAATGCACACCTCTAAAAAGATTCCCAATTTGAGGGGCATAATCTATTTTAGATAATAAATCACAGAGACATCTCCATCCCTTGGGCGGCCAAAACGTACAACTCAGATGTATGGGCTCTCACTCTGAATTCTCCATACCTAAAGAAAAATGCGATGCTCTACTTTTTTCCCTGGGGCAGTTAGGAAAAAAAACAAAACCTGGCACTTTTGTTGGAGCAATTTATATTGGTTTCACTCCCACTTTTTTTAAAGCTTCAGATATAACATTTCTATCTTCAAAATTCCACCCAGAAAACTGTCTGAGAGAGTCCCACTCTGAGGTTATTTGTCACTCCAATTATGCACTTGAGATTACCCCATGCCTCTGCCATCTCAACTCCTCAGTTTTCACCAGAGATTCTCTTATGTTCCTCTACCACGCACACCTGACAGTCAAGTTCCCTGCTCACAACCAGAAACTAATGGTTCATCTTTATGGCTCATGCCAACCAAACGAACACCTGGCAAATTTTCATTGCTGGTTCCTTCTGATTTTTATCTTACTAATACCTATTGTAGCTACGTGACAACTTCTGCTTTAATGCAAAGGTTGTATCTTTGCATTCATGGAAACAGGTATCTGAGTGATGTTGAAATATCGTGTCTGCTGTATAATAATGCCAACAGCTGGTATTTGGTAGGCACTATTCTAAGTGCTTCATATACAGCACCTCATTGAATCTTCACAAGGAATAATCGGGGAGGCACTAACTATTATTCGTGTTATTTTATAGATGTAGTAATCAAAATTCATAAAGGTCACACAGTGGGAACTGGTAGTGCTGAAATTCAGATGAAGGTCAATTTGACATCCAAACCATATTCTTATACCTTAAACTGTATTTTGCCCTGGTATTAACCTTTAGAAGAACAAGGGTAGTTTCTCTCATCTTCTTTTTAGTTGTAAAGAACCCATTATTCTAAAAAATGAGGCTCAGGTTACCTCATTTAGGGTGTGTAAGACTAAGTGATCAACATTTAATAAAAACAGTGGCATCTCAAAGTGATGGATTCTCTCTATTTATAGTAAATTATTTTTATTTTCTTATGCATATCGTTTTTCATAGTCCCACCTTGAACACTCAAACTTTCACAGGAATCTGGACGCTGCTCAGCCGGCTGTTGACTGGGAGGAACGATTGGTGGGCTCAACATATTTAACCAGTCCCTAAAAAGAAAACAAAGTGAATGAGCATGTCTGGAATTCCATATATAGATTTTAGGTTTCCCATGGATTTTCAGTTCCTTGGGGCTTCCAAAAAGAAACACTTTTTTTCCTCCTTCATATTTCAGAAAGACAGATGTCCAGATATCAATATCCAGTTTTGTAAATTGGTTAATATGGAGTCAATCACTTAACTAGCCAGTTTGAGAAATACTTCAACTAAATGAATATTCCACTCAAAAGTTTATTATTGTTGTTATTAAATTACAGCAGAGTTCTTTTCACATAAGAAATTATTTCAATAACTCAGAGGAAACGTAGCTGAGATGAAGCTCCTTATGAGCTTTGGGTAAGAAAGCGTGACAAAGTCACATGCCACATGTCATGGATGGTCACACTCCACAAGGTGACTCAGAACTGAAGTCAGTCTTGGAGCTGCCATGGACCCCAGCAGTGGTGGGAGTCAGTCTCTCTTAACTCGGGGCTTTTGAGCAGTGAAGGCAAAGGAAGGGGGAGTGAGGGCATTTCCCCATCTCTTTACTTTCCTTCCTACTGCACTCTTCCCCAGTCTCTTGCTTCCTCTCGTAGATACCTGGGGGGTAGAATTCAAGCTGGTGACATCCAGAAGGCTTGAGTCACTGCATATTCTACTTTAAGCCCTTCTCATCTCTAAACTTACCACTGAGCTTCACTAGTGGTAAGGAGCAGGCAGGAGGATGTAAAAGATTTTCCAATGTGAATTCTATTTCTTGCACTGCTATTAGTGCCCGTTATCATTTACCTTATTCTTCTCAATAGAAGTATGTCTTTATAACTAAATAATTTCTTTCTAAATTTCTGTACTTCCTACGGTATTAATCTACAATGGGAGACAGTTCTAGACAACAGCTAAGAGCACTGGCTCTGCAGGCCAGTTCCAGCTCCGTGCTTCCTACAGTAAGAACTTGGCCACGTCACTTAGCATTGCTAAGATTCATGTGTGAAAAGGAGATAATAACAAAAGAGTTGAGTGTTAGGATTAAACAGAAACAAATGGAAGAAAAACATTTGGTGTGAATATGGGTACAGAATTAGCACTCAATAAATTTCAGCTTTGACCACTATCATCTTCATTATCAATGAAGATCATGGTGTGGACTTACCTACAATGATAAATAAACCAAGGTAGAAATGGACTTTGTTGGAACTAAACCGGTAAAGGATGGTAGAATGATTAACAGTCTATACAACAGAGATTTTCCTTACAAACTATTTGCTTTTCCAGCATAAAAAGCATATTAATGTCAAAATTACCTAATTCCTACTTATAATATTTTACGATACTTTCAGTCACTGCTCACCACAGCTATCACTACATTGTGGCTGGTGAAATATGCAAGGTGAGCATGCTGTGTAATTGAATTTCATAATAACACATTAAGGGCATCAGAAAGGATTTGTCACAGACTTCCAAGCTAATGGGGCATTTCTGATAAGCACTGTTTATTTAGGCTACTTAATTATAGCAGACCAAAAACTTCCTGCACTATAGGAAATTACAAGGTCATATACAAATTACCAGCGCAGTGACCTCATTACTCAATAAGGGTGATGAAGAACAAGGATGAACAGGAGAAAATAATGTAATCACATCATGACACCCCCAGCTACAAATCAGAAACTATATAATCACAGTAGGAGCTACCCCAGTGGGGAAAGTGTAGGTGGGAGTTGTGTGAATGTTACGAAATGTAAGACACTCACTTCTTAGGTCAATAATTTGATCAATGTTTTTCCTTTTCAGCACTAGCTATGAAAAATACAGGGCTCTTCTTTTTGTGATTAAAAAAATTTTAGATTTATAGAAAAGTTGCAAGAAGAGTATAAAGAACTACTGTATATCCTTCACCCAGTTTCCCCACCTTTAACATTTTATCATATTTGCTCTCTATCTCTTAATCTATGTATCTACTGACCTAACTATATATCTATCTAAACAGGAATCAGCAAACTATGGCCCATGGGCCAAGTCTGGCCCACTGCCTGTTTATGTCTAGCTTGCAAACTAAGAATGGTTTTTACATTTTTAAATGGTTAAAAAAATTAAAATAATGTTTCATGACAGATGAAAATTATATAAAATTCGAAATTCAGTGTCCATAAATAAAAATGTATGGGAATACAGCCATGCTCATTTGCTTACATTTTGTCTATGGCTGCTTTTGTGCTACAATGGCAGAGTTAAGTAATTTATTATCTGCTCCTTTACTGAAAACATCTGATGATCCCTGACCTCTGTAACTGTGCACTCACATTGGTTCCTCCAATACTAATCCAACACCACAGGTTCATTCTCATCTTTCTTCTTTCCGTATTTGTAACCCCCCTCTGACAGTGAGGAAACTGGCCCTCAGTATCCTCAAGATATTTACCTACTTCCTGAATTATGGAAGTTACCGAAAGTAGCTTCAGAATTCCCAAGCAAAACAAACAAGAAACACTTACCCTAAACCTACTCTCTCAAGTTCTCAATTTGCTTACAGATATTTTTCTTCTCTGGTTAAAATACTATATTCAAAACTGACTTCGGTTCTTTTTTTCCCCATTTTCAATGTGAGTATATTAGTCATTCGAAATACAACGAAAGTCATCTGCTTCCTTTTGTGTTACATTTTAGGCTTTTTTCTCCTTTCTTGTTGATTTTTATTACTTTTGTTGTTGTTGTGGATTACATACAACATTAACAATCAAAAGTCAAAACTACAGAAGGGCACATTTGGGGTAAGAGTCACATCCTCCTATCTCTTCCTGTTTGTTCCCATCCCCTCATAACTTCTACTCTATTCCTACCCTCACCTCTAGAGGTAATAAATTTCATTAGTTCTGGTGTTGCCTTTCTGTGTTTCATTTTGCAAAAACTGAACAGATACATGTCTGTTTTTTATTCCCTTTCTTAAGCAAAAGGTAGCATATTATAATACTCCTTTGTACTTTTATCTTTTCAGCTTATAATTTATCCTGGAAATCATTCCATACCAGTTCATGGAGAGCTTCCTCATCCTTTTTTTACAGCAGCATAATACGTTACCCTATGGAGGTACTATCATTCATTTCACCCTCTTCTATGTTTGAGCATGTTTTCAATGTTTTGCAATGATTGCAATGAACACTTAAATGAATAACCTTGGGTATGTTTATTTTTGTATACTTAGAGGTAAATCCTGAAAAGGTAAATTTCTAAAAGTGGGATTCCCAGAACAAAAGATAAATGTATACTTGTCTTTGTTAGATATTGGCAAATTCTCTTCACAAGGGTTGTACCTGTCTTCATTCTCACCAGCAATGTATGAGAATGCTGATTTCCCGAGAGCAACTTTAGAGGAATATGTTGTGAATATTTTAATGCTTTCTGATATGAGAGGTGAGAACTGATACTTTAAAGCAGGCTTGATTTGAATTTGTTCTCATTATACGTGGAGTTGACTGTATTTTCATATATTTAAGGGCATGTATGTAATACACATGTGTACATACATACACACACACACATATATATATGCATGTGCCATATATATGATTGTTCACATCTTTTGCCCTTTCTTCTATCAGATTTTTTATCTTTCCCTCACTTTATAGTTTGTCTTTGTTTATGGTGGTTTTTCTTTGTGCCATACAAAAGGTTTTATTTTTATGTAGTCAAAGGTATCAGCCATTTAAAAAAAATTGTCTCTGTATTTTGGGTCATTTTTATAAAGCCTTTCCCTACAACCAAGTTCTGTGGAAATGCACCCATGTTTTCTTCCATTTACTTAAATGGATTCATTTTTCACAATTAGATTTCTGGTCCATTTTTAGTTTATTCTGGTATATGGTGTGAGTTTGTTCTGGTATAAGGTATATCTAATTTTACCTCTTTAAAATAACCATAGAGTTATTTTGACAAATAATGTTATTTTAACACAGATTTAGAAGATTTTATACAATTAAGAAATTTTTAATCAAAGCAACTAACTCATTTGTTTAGCTTTTTACTAAGTAAGCATTTACAAAGTATAATGTAAAAAGAAAGGTTTCTATTTTAACTAAAATATAAAAAACTTTGGGCTAAACAAAATCAACCAGGACTTTTCTTGCAGGACTTTTCAGAGCTTTGAAAACACTGTGAGTATCCCAAGAGGAGGCTGGAGTATGCAGCATTGCCCAAATTTATGTATCTAGAACTGTTACATCTTTTGGGACCACAGAACACACCTTGGGAAATGATGCTCCAAGTTATACAATTTCCCCACTCTGGTGGCATTTTGTTTGTTTGTTTTGTTTTTTATTTTACTTTATGTATGTTTAATAATTTTATTTTTAAGCAGAAATGTGCAGTCCAGCATCTGTATCTTACATGTTTACATTTTTATATGTGATATTTAATGCTGGCCCATTGTCTTGATCCTTGATCAACTCCTTTAAACCTCCATGCTTTCCCCTACATAAGCAGCAAACATTCAAGGAATGGGGAGTTCTAGCTGAGGCTCCTTCACCACATGCCAGTCTTAGCTTTAGTTCTGAACCATTTCGTGGGTTGGCTTCTTACCCAGACACCTGTGCTTCAGAATCTACTCCTGCTTGCTGTTCCACCATTTCCATACTTGCCCCTTGGACTTGATACTCTGGTTGGTTTCCTCAGCTCTGACTATAATCCTTATTTATTTATTTATTTATTATACTTTAAGTTTTAGGGTACATGTGCACAACGTGCAGGTTTGTTACATATGTACACATGTGCCATGTTGGTGTGCTGCACCCATTAACTCGTCATTTAGCATTAGGTATATCTCCTAATGCTATCCCTCCCCCTTCCCCTCACCCACAACAGGCCCCAGTGTGTGATTTTTCCCTTCCTGTGTCCGTGTGTTCTCATTGTTCAATTCCCACCTATGAGGGAGAACATGCGGTGTTTGGTTTTTTGACCTTGCGATAGTTTGCTGAGAATGATGGTTTCCAGCTTCATCCATGTCCCTACAAAGGACAAGAACTCATCCTTTTTTATGGCTGCATAGTATTCCATGGTGTATATGTGCCACATTTTCTTAATCCAGTCTATCATTGTTGGACATTTGGGTTGGTTCCAAGTCTTTGCTATTGTGAATAGTGCTGCAATAAACATACATGTGCATGTGTCTTTATAGCAGCATAATTTATAGTCCTTTGGGTATATACCCAGTAATGGGATGGTTGGGTCAAATGGTATTTCTAGTTCTAGATCCCTGAGGAATCGCCACACTGACTTCCACAATGGTTGAACTAGTTTACAGTCCCACCAACAGTGTAAAAGTGTTCCTATTTCTCCACATCCTCTCCAGCACCTGTTGTTTCCTGACTTTTTAAGGATTGCCATTCTAACTGGTGTGAGATGGTATCTCATTGTGGTTTTGATTTGCATTTCTCTGATGGCCAGTGATGGTGAGCATTTTTTCATATGTCTTTTGGCTGCATAAATGTCTTCTTTTGAGAAGTGTCTGTTCATATCCTTCACCCACTTGTTGATGGGGTTGTTTTTTTCTTGTAAATTTGTTTGAGTTCATTGTAGATTCTGGATATTAGCCCTTTGTCAGATGAGTAGATTGCAAAAATTTTCTCCCATTTTGTAGGTTGCCTGTTCACTCTGATGGAAGTTTCTTTTGCTGTGCAGAAGCTCTTCAGTTTAATTAGATCCCATTTGTCAATTTTGGCTTTTGTTGCCACTGATTTTGGTGTTTTAGACATGAAGTCCTTGCCCATGCCTATGTCCTGGATGGTATTGCCTAGGTTTTCTTCTAGGGTTTTTATGGTTTTAGGTCTAACGTTTAAGTCTTTAACCCATCTTGAATTAATTTTTGTACAAGGTGCAAGGAAGGGATCCAATTTCAGCTTTCTACATATGGCTAGCCAGTTTTCCCAGCACCATTTCTTAAATAGGTAATCCTTTCCCCATTGCTTGTTTTTCCCAGGTTTATCAAAGATCAGATGGTTGTAGATATGCGGCATTATTTCTGAGGGCTCTGTTCTGTTCCATTGATCTATATCTCTGTTTTGGTACCAGTACCATGCTGTTTTGGTTACTGTAGCCTTGTAGTATAGTTTGAAGTCAGGTAGCATGATGCCTCCAGCTTTGTTCTTTTGGCTTAGGATTGACTTGGCAATGCGGGCTCCTTTTTGGTTTCATATGAACTTTAAAGTAGTTCTTTCCAATTCTGTGAAGAAAGTCATTGGTAGCTTGATGGGGATGGCACTGAATCTATAAATTACCTTGGGCAGTATGGCCATTTTCACATACTGATTCTTCCTACCCATGAGCATGCAATGTTCTTCTATTTCTTTGTATCCTCTTTTGTTTTGTTGAGCAGTGGTTTGTAGTTCTCCTTGAAGAGGTCCTTCACATCCCTTGTAAGTTGGATTCCTAGGTATTTTCTTCTCTTTGAAGCAATTGTGAATGGGAGTTCACTCATGATTTTGCTCTCTGTTTGTCTGTTATTGGTGTATAAGAATGCTTGTGATTTTTGCACATCGATTTTGTATCCTGAGACTTTGCTGAAGTTGCCTATCAGCTTAAGGAGATTTTGGGCTGAGATGATGGGGTTTTCTAGATATACAATCATGTCATCTGCAAACAGGGACAATTTGACTTCCTCTTTTCCTAATTGAATACCCTTTATTTCCTTCTCCTGCCTGATTGCCCTGGCCAGAACTTCCAACACTATGTTGAATAGGAGTGGTGAGAGAGGGCATCCCTGTCTTGGGCCAGTTTTCAAAGGGAATGCTTCCAGTTTTTGCCCATTCAGTATGATATTGGCTGTGGGATTGTCATAAATAGCTCTTATTATTTTGAGATACATCCCAGCAATACCTAATTTATTGAGAGTTTTTAGCATGAAGGGTTGTTGAATTTTGTCAAAGGACTTTTCTGCATCTATTGAGATAATCATGTGGTTTTTGTCATTGGTTCTGTTTACATGCTGGATTACATTTATTTATTTGCGTATGTTGAACCAGCCTTGCATCCCAGGGATGAAGCCCACTTGATCATGGTGGATAAGCTTTTTGATGTGTTGCTGGATTTGCTTTGCCAGTATTTTATTGAGGATTTTTGCATCGATGTTCATCAGGGATATTGGTCTAAGATGCTCTTTTTTTGTTGTGTCTCTGCCAGGCTTTGGTATCAGGATGATGCTGGCCTCATAAAATGAGTTAGGGAGGATTCCCTCTTTTTCTATTGATTGGAATAGTTTCAGAAGGAATGGTAGCAGCTCCTCCTTGTACCTCTGGTACAATTCAGCTGTGAATCCATCTGGTTCTGGACTTTTTTTGGTTGGTAAGCTATTAATTATTGCCTCAATTTCAGAGCCTGTCATTGGTCTATTCAGAGATTCAACTTCTTCCTGGTTTAGTCTTGGGAGGGTGTATGTGTCGAGGAATTTATCCATTTCTTCTAGATTTTCTAGTTTATTTGTGTAGAGGTGTTTATAGTATTCTCTGATGGTAGTTTGTATTTCTGTGGGATTGGTGGTGATATCCCCTTTATCATTTTTTATTGCACCTATTTGATTCTTCTCTGTTTTCTTCTTTATTAGTCTTGCTAGTGGTCTATCAATTTTGTTGATCTTCTCAAAAAACCAGCTCCTGGATTCATTGATTTTTTTGAAGGGTTTTTTGTGTCTCTATTTCCTTCAGTTCTGCTCTGATCTTCATTATTTCTTGCCTTCTGCTAGCTTTTGAATGTGTTTGCTCTTGCTTCTCTAGTTCTTTTAATTGTGATGTTAGGGTGTCAATTTTAGATCTTTCTTGCTTTCTCTTGTGGGCATTTAGTGCTATAAATTTCCGTCTACACACTGCTTTGAATGTGTCCCAGAGATTCTGGTATGTTGTGTCTTTGTTCTCTTTGGTTTCAAAGAACATCTTTATTCCTGCCTTCATGTTGTTATGTATGCAGTAGTCATTCAGGAGCAGGTTGTTCAGTTTCCATGTAGTTGAGCGGTTTTGAGTGAGTTTCTTAATCCTGAGTTCTAGTTTGATTGCACTGTGGTCTGAGAGACAGTTTGTTATAATTTCTGTTCTTTTACATTTGCTGAGGAGTGCTTTACTTCCAACTATGTGGTCAATTTTGGAATAGGTGTGGTGTGGTGCTGAAAAGAATGTATATTCTGTTGATTTGGGGTGGAGAGTTCTGTAGATGTCTATTAGGTCTGCTTGGTGCAGAGCTGAGTTCAATTCCTGGATATGCTTGTTAACTTTCTGTCTCATGGATCTGTCTAATGTTGACAGTGGGGTGTTAAAGTCTCCCATTATTATTGTGTGGGAGTCTAAGTCTCTTTGTAGGTCTCTAAGGACTTGCTTTATGAATCTGGGTGCTCCTGTATTGGGTGCATATATATTTAGGATAGTTAGCTCTTCTTATTGAATTGATCCCTTTACCATTATGTAATGGCCTTCTTTGTCTCTTCTGATCTTTGTTGGTTTAAAGTCTGTTTTATCAGGGATGAGGATTGCAACCCCCGCATTTTTTTGTTTTCCATTTGCTTGGTAGATCTCCCTCCATCCTTTTATTTTGAGCCTGTGTGTGTCTCTGCACATGAGATGGGTTTCCTGAATACAGCACACTGATGGGTCTTGACTCTTTATCCAATTTGCCAGTCTGTGTCTTTTAATTGGAGCATTTAGCCCATTTACATTTAAGGTTAATATTGTTATGTGTGAATTTGATCCTGTCATTATGATGTTAGCTGATTATTTTGCTCGTTAGTTGATGCAGTTTCTTCCTAGCCTTGACGGTCTTTACAATTTGTCATGTTTTTGCCGTGGCTGGTACTGGTTGTTCCTTTCCATGTTTAGTGCTTCCTTCAGGAGCTCTTTTAGGGCAGACCTGGTGGTGACAAAATCTCTCAGCATTTGCTTGTCTGTAAAGGATTTTATTTCTCCTTCACTTATGAAGCTTAGTTTGGCTGGATATGAAATTCTGGGTTGAAAATTATTTTCTTTAATAATGTTGAATATTGGCCCCCACTCTCTTCTGGCTTGTAGAGTTTCTGCGGAGAAATCAGCTGTTAGTCTGATGGGCTTCCCTTTGTGGCTAACCTGACCTTTCTCTCTGGCTGCCCTTAACATTTTTTCCTTCATTTCAACTTTGGTGAATCTGACAATGATGTGTCTTGGAGTTGCTCTTCTGGAGGAGTATCTTTGTGGCGTTCTCTGTATTTCCTGAATCTGAATGTTGGCCTGCCTTGCTAGATTGGGGAAGTTCTCCTGGATAATATCCTGCAGAGTGTTTTCCAACTTGGTTCCATTCTCCCCATCACTTTCAGGTACACCAATCAGACGTAGATTTGGTCTTTTCACATAGTCCCATATTTCTTGGAGGCTTTCTTCATTTCTTTTTATTCTTTTTTCTCTAAACTTTTCTTGTCGCTTCATTTCATTCATTTGATCTTCCATCACTGACACCCTTTCTTCCAGTTGATCGAATCGGCTACTGAGGCTTGTGTATTCATCACGTAGTTCTTGTGCCTTGGTTTTCAGCTCCATCAGGTCCTTTAAGGACTTCTCTGCATTGGTTATTCTAGTTAGCCATTCGTCTAATTTTTTTTCAAGGTTTTTAACTTCTTTGCCATGGGTTTGAACTTCCTCCTTTAGCTCAGAGTAGTTTGATTGTCTGAAGCCTTCTTTTCTCAACTCGTCAAAGTCATTCTCCGTCCAGCTTTGTTCCGTTGCTGGTGAGAAGCTGCATTCCTTTAGAGGAGGAGAGGCACTCTGATTTTTAGAGTTTCCAGTTTTTCTGTTCTGTTTTTTCCCCATCTTTGTGGTTTTATCTACCTTTGGTCTTTGATGATGGTGATGTACAGATGAGGTTTTGGTGTGGATGTCCTTTCTGTTTGTTAGTTTTCCTTGTAACAGTCAGGACCCTCAGCTGCAGGTCTGTTGGAGTTTGCTGGAGGTGCACTCCAGACCCTGTTTGCCTGGGTATCAGCAGCGGAGGCTGCAGAACAGTGGATATTGGTGAACAGCAAATGTTGCTGCCTGATAGTTCCTCTGGAAGTTTTATCTCAGAGGCATACCTGGCCATGTGAGGTGTCAGTCTGCCCCTACTCGGGGGTTCCTCCCAGTTAGGCTACTCAGGGGTCAGGGACCCACTTGAGGCAGTTTGTTGGTTCTCAGATCTCAAGCTGCATGCTGGGAGAACCACTACTCTCTTCAAAGCTGTCAGACAGGGACATTTAAGTCTCCAGAGGTTTCTGCTGCCTTTTGTTTGGCTATGCCCTGCCCCCCAGAGGTGGAGTCTACAGAGACAGGCAGGCCTCCGTGAGCTGCAGTGGGCTCCACCCAGTTTGAGCTTCCCAGCTGCTTTGTTTACCTACTCTAGCCTCAGCAATGGAGGGCGCCCCTCCTCCAGCCTTGCTGCCACCTTGTAGTTTGATCTCAGACTGCTGTGCTAGCAATAAGCGAGGCTCCGTTGGTGTAGGATCCTCCGAGCCAGGCGTGGGATATAATCTCCTGGTGTGCCGTTTGCTAAGACTGTTGGAAAAGCGCAGTATTAGGGTGGGAGTGACCTGATCTTCCAGGTGCCATCTGTCACCCCTTTCTTTGACTAGGAAAGGGAATTCCCTGACCCCTTGCGCTTCCCAGGTGAGGCGATGCCTCGCCCTGCTTCAGCTCACGGTCGGTGTACTGCACCCACTGTCCGATACTCCTCAGTGAGATGAACCCGGTACCTCAGTTGGAAATGCAGAAATCACCCGTCTTCTGCATCGCTCACACTGGGAGCTGTAGACTGGAGCTGTTCCTATTCGGCCATCTTGGCTCCACCCGACTATAATCCTTTTATGCCATGGACTGACTCTATCTCCCTGTAATGAAAAGCCTCCATTTCCTTGGGTAGATAAACATCCTTTCAGTCAGGCCTTCTCTCTGAGCACATGCAGGAAGGAGCCTCCTCTTCCTCCTTCCTCTTGAGGACTCAGGTATGTCTCCCACCCTTACCCTCCTCTTGAAACTGGAGGGAGAGGGCTACTGGGCACACCTGCACATATTGAGTACTCTGCAAGAAGAGGTGCTGTATTCAAGAGTCGAGACCATGGATTTGTATTAAATACACAAGTAAAAATATTGAACAGATGAAGAATAAATACTATCTTGTGAATTTTTATAATGAACAGATTGATTTAATACTAAAATCTTGGCCGTAAAGGAATACCACATTGTTTTCATTCAACCTGCATGCTAGACAGTGGACATTACCTGAGTAGGGCTGAATCAGTTACCTATAGAACTGAAGACAATGTCCTCAGTTAAGACAGACTATGGCTTCAGTTCCTTTGTCTAAAAACAAGATTGTGTTTACGAGACAATTTTATATACATTTATTTTATTAATGTGCTTCCTATAAGTATACTGTATGTGTATACACACATATATACATCTACACACACACACACGCACACACATATACACATAACATTATATAAGAGCAAGTTAGCTTAATCATCTCTTTATGTATACAGTAAGCATTTACTGAACTGCTGTGTGCCAGGCTGTGTGGGGATTTCAGGATAAATTATTCTTGGTTCCTACACTTAAAGAGTCATGGTCTGATGGAGAACACATTCTAGCCAAAAAAAAAAAAAAAAACCAAAAAAAAAAAAAAAAACAAACAGAAACACAAAACATGAGCTGTACCCATCCATTTGTTCCTGTGAAGGAATTTACTTGCAAAAGAGCTATCTACAATCTTGTATACATTTAAGTAATTATTTGGCGTAGTCACTATTTCAGAAATCTAAAACATGGCAATAATTATTATATATCTTTCAATTACAGCATTGAGCTACCTGCTATCATAAAGCTCTGGGTCATTTTCACTGGGGATCTTATATTAGGAATTTAACAATTTGCAGCAATGTCTATCCATACTTAATGATATTTATCATTTAGTATCAGTGTACATTTCTTATTCACTGAAAGAAATTTAGATTTTAAAAATCTTTTATGGCCAGAGAACAGACTGGGGAGAGGACTAGGAGATAGCTCATTTTTGGGGACAATTCATAGATTCTTATTAAAAGCTGGTGAAAACTGTTTCCCAAAAATATATACATAAATATCAAATTTTACTTCCAATTTCAGGAGGTCAGAGATAGTCTAAAGCCCATATGTGAACCTCTGGGCTCCAAATAAAGAACTTATGCATCATGGGATATCATGGAAATGGTATTTCAAGTAGTGAAAAATCCATGCTTTGCAAAGTTTTTCTGTAAAGGGCCAGATAGAAAATGTGTTAGTTTTATGAGCCATAAAGGTCTCTGTCACAACTGTTTAACTCTGCTGTTGTACTGCAAAAACAGGCATAAACAATAGGTTTACGAATGGGCATGGCTGGATTCTAATAAAGCCTTATTTACAAAAACAGGCAGTGGGTAGGATTTGGGCCTACAGGCTATATAGTTCAATGACCCATGCCTTAGTGAAAGGAACTGTGAAGTAGACAATGCTTGAGGTTCTTATGAAAATTCCTGCCAATTTTTCTCCTAAATAGCTTTGAATCTACCTTTCTCACCATCTCCCCTTCCACCACCAAGGTCTAAGCAACTATCTTGGCTTGTGTCATCTGTAGCAAAAGCTCTTACTTGATCTCCTCATATTCACTCATCCTGGCTTCATTTCTCCTCTGTTCTCCACACTATAGCCAAAATTACTTGATAATATGTCCATCTCTTGTTTCAAAGTGTCTTCCCAGTGTCATCGGGAAGCCATCATCCTCAGGAGAAAGACCAGGACCATTACCTTAGCCTTTGAGGCTTTCCATAGACTAGTCTCTACGTATTTTTCCAACCTCATGTGGTACAATGTTCCATCACACTCCCTATGCTCTGGCCACGCTGGTCTTCTCTGTTCCTAGAGTGTGCCATGCTCCCTACCATCACTGGGCCTTTGCCCAGGCTGTGCCCCCTTGTCTAGACCATGCTTTCCTCCCCTCTTTCTACTGTCCCTTGGCCTGGTGAATTCATACCCAGCCTTTGTATTTTGGCTAAAGCATCACACTCTTGGGAAATCTTCGCTGACATCCCCTCTTCAATCTAGTCGAGCTCCTTTCACTCCTTCTTTTAGAGCAACTGTGATCTTCTCGTTAAGAGCTCTCGTCTCAGCTCATAATTACAACCTCGTTTGTTTGATCATTTGATGAATGTCGCAACCCCATTAGACTCTAGCTCCTAGTAGAGTTCCTGGCACACAGTAGCTGCTCCCTCAATATTTGCCAAATGTATGACTATTGAAATAGTGTCTTTCTTAGCCAAGAATACTGAGTGGTACTTGATATTGAAAGTCTCCATAACAATAAATAATGCTGCTGTTGTAACCCACTCTGCATTCTTCTTTCATCTTGCTCTTTCTCCCCTTGCTAAAAGCATGCTTTTGTTTCCTTACCATGTATTCAATATACACACACAGGTCAGGGACACACACCTGCTTCTTTATAGCCAAGAAAGAAAAATTTAATTTTCTACCTCAGGAAGCAGAATGTTTATTCAGAAACATATTTACTAGCTTAAAAAAACTAAGAAAATTTGTGTTCCTTTTTTAAAAAACTAAAACATATAGAAAGTGCTCTCAATAGCATTTCTTCATAGAATTCATCTCCCACTTCAAGAAGGGATCTTAAAATATAAGTTGGGAACTCTTTTGCATATCTCTTTTTTTCCTATGTTTAAAACTTTCTGTAGAGACAGGGTCTTGCTATGTTTCCCAGCCTGGACTCTAACTCCTAGCTTCAAGCGATTCTCCCACCTCAGCCTCCCAAAGTGTTGGGATTACAGGTGTGGACCACCATGCCCTCTTTCATATATCTCTGGACTTGAATAAGTATTAAGATGCTGTTGTTTAATTTTTGTTTGTTTTCCTCAGAAGTCTCTAACCAGATTCTTAATATTGAAGAATAACCCCCATTGATGTTCTGAAACCCTTCCACAACATTCCCACCAAGTGTTTATCTAATCTATGCTTGATTACCATCAGAAACTGTCTACCTACTGCTTTCAAATATCACATTTCATCTTCAAGTAGTTTTGGCTGTTCAACAGTTTTTCCTCATGTTGAGGTAAAATCCATTTTCCTTTTACTTGTATGCGTTTCTCCTACCCTTACCCCTTATGGCTAAGGAATAATTCTAATCTTTTTTCAAGATACAGTAGGAGAGAGCTAAGGGACTGTTCAAGACTCCCTCCTCCCCCTTCTCCTTGGAATAGCCACCTCTAAGCACATGGCTTTCTGGAGCAGATTGGTCCAGAGGTGGACACCCAACCTAATAAGGGCCAGCTGCTGTGCTTCCCTGGAACTTCTCAAACTGGATCTGAAAAAGAGAGATTCTCACAATGAAGATGGGAGCTAAACAAAGTGAAATTCAGATGCCACTGGTGATCCCATTTCCTGTCACATGGAGGAAGCCACTCTGAAGAGAGAATGAGGAAGTTTAAAATCTGGATTCTAGGGGAATGAAACAGTATTGGCACCACTGAATTAATTGGAAAACTGGGAAGAGGAAACCAGTTTGGGATGATGGAAGTGCTTGGTTTAACACGAGCGGGAATCTGAGGTCTTGAAAGTTTCTCCATGTGGCGATGTGCTGGAAATATTTAGGGATACCTTACTAAGTCTTACACTTAGCTCTTGAATATGTGTCTCCAAACCCATTGCCATTATCCTAGTCTATGTTTCTAGCACCGCTCCCATGCTCTTCCTCTAGCCAATCTGGTCTCTATATAATCCAAACCAGAGTAAGCTTTTCAAAATTTGTTTTTACGGTAAAATCCCAAATTACCACATTGGCTTAAAGCCTTGACTAGCCTGGTTCTATTGCCCCAGCATTTTTTGTATCTTTCCCTTACAGTCACCACCACACTCCCCTCAGGCTTCACATGAAAGCCACATCCGTAGTCTCTCTTCTTACAATGGCCTAGTTGACTCTCTTTATCCTCAAGTCTTCAGCTTTCAGCTCAAATGTTACTTTAGAGGAGCCTTGCTTGAGTTCTAAGTCTACCACAAGTTCTCCCAGTCAATATCCCAGCAGGAAACACTTGGCATACTCACATTAGGAGGAACTGGGGAGAATTTGAGGGAGGGCTTATAAAAAGGTAAGAACAGGCAGGGGATCCAAATGGAACCGTATGAATACCAGGGCTGCTGCCACCCTTAGACCTTAAGGGAAAAGGAAGGGGCAGTGGCCAGACCCAGAAAGCAAAAGGTGTGGAGAGAGGGCCTCCTTGATAGGAGCTGTGACCCTGGGCCGAATTTTGCAGTAAGCCCGAGTTAGTCCTACAGGGAGGGAGATGGGGAAGAGTGCCCCTGACTTCCTTCTCCCTCCTCCTCTGATCTTCATTGGCTGAGTGCCATCAGAAGCCAGAGGACAAGGAAGTCCATTGATGTAGTTTATGTCTATCAGCCTCTCTGGACAGAGAGCAGCATGAAGGGTGGATATAGCAGGGCTGAGAGAAGATGTCCGGAAAGATTCCATGGTTACTACAGATCAGTCATCTCAGTGTGTAATGACCTGCCCATTTGTGTGACTGAATCGTGTCTGGCCATCATGTCTGACTTCTTCACATATTGAATTCTCAATAAATGTTTGCTGAATGAATGCTCTCAGGAGGGCCAGGGCTAAAAGAGAAAGACATATAGATGAGAGCAAAAAGATGGGAAAATGGATGAGTTCTCTGAGGAAGAACTTGTAAGGAGAAGGTCAGGAGAGCATGCTCTGAGAGTGGCGGGAGGAATAACAGGAGCTGAAAAGGCAGCTAGTTGAGAATGACATGAGAATTACGCTTGCCAGACATGTCTCCCCTCCTAAAAGTGCTCCCAGAGGATGTTTACATTATCGTGACATCTGGAATAGGATCACATCTCTACCATAGCAAAAGGCGGGAAACACGATGCATAAACAACTACTACTGTGTTTTCATCTCACATCAATCCAGGTTTATATGGAGGTATGCAATAAACACTCATACAAATGGGAAATCATACTCTTTCTTCTGGTTTCTACAAAATCACCTCTCCTGCCTATGTCTTTATTAGATAAATCCACAAAACAGAGAGGATCCAGTTTCCCACAAGTGCTCAGTGCTCTAAGAAACCACAAGCACCATCTTCTCTATACTCTATTAAATATACTTTATATGTTCTCTGCAGAATATCTTTCTATCTTTCCTGTATGCCAGTACTTTCCCTCAGGTTAAGAAAATATTAATGACAAAGCATCTTGGGACTATTTTCTAGACACTGAACTATTACATATGTAGATAATTCAACTCTGGAGGCACAAATCCAGACATCAGGCATTGAACTCAAGAATACGTGAACAGTAATATCCCATCTACTTGAGATAATATGAAAGAAAGCTGACCCTTTCCTTTCCTTCTATAGACTGTTATCATCATAGTTGCTTTATAATTTTACACTTAGTAGATGTTTATCGAGCCCCTGTGCTGTTGCAGACTTTATGCGGGGTACTGAGGAGTAAGACATGGTTCCCGCCTTTGAGGAATTTGGACTACTGGGAACAGGTCACTAGACCAATATTTATAAGAGAGTGAAGTAAGTGTTAGATAGAGGTAAGCCCAAGGAACCTCTTATAGTCAGGAGAATAGTTCAGGGAAGGCTTTCTAGCAAAAGTCATGAAAGGGTTATTCCTGAAGGATGAGAATGAGGCAGCCAGATAGTGAAGAGATGGAAGAATATTCTAGAAGGAACAGCATGAAGTACAGTAGAAAGGTGTGAGAGAGACCTTGGGGTACTCCCAGCAACTGTAGTCAGTTGTTGAAGAAGCAGGATGCTTAGATGGCAAACTAAGGAGTTCTTACCTTATTATGAAGGCGCTGGGGACCTACTGAAGGATTTTAAGATAGAAGAATCTTGGATTTGCATTTGAGAAAGCTCACAGTGGCAGTGGTGGGAGACTGAATTAGTGGAGAATAAGATAGGGACCAGGAAGGTCAGTTAGGTGCTTGTTTTTGTGTAATTTAGGCAAAATAGAATAGTGTTATTGTGGGAATTTAGTACATAGGTGTTTGAAATCATTCTGCAATAAAGACACATGCCCACGTATGTTTATCGCGGCACTATTCACAATAGCAAAGACTTGGAACCAACCCAAATGTCCAACAATGATAGACTGGATTAAGAAAATGTGGCACATATACACCATGGAATACTATGCAGCCATAAAAAAGCATGAGTTCATGTCCTTTGCAGGGACATGGATGAAGCTGGAAACTGTCATTCTCAGCAAACTATCACAAGATCACGAACCAAACACTGCGTGTTCTCACTCATAAGTGGGAGTTGAATAATGAGAACACATGGACACAGGGAGGGGAACATCACACACTGGGGCCTGTTGAGGGGTGGGGGACTAGGGGAGGGATAACATTAGGAGAAATACCTAATGTAGGTGATGGGTTGATGGCTGCAGCAAACCACCATGGCATGTGTATACCTATGTAACAAACCTGCATATTCTGCACATGTAACCCAGAACTTAAAGTATAATAAAAAACAAAAAAAAACAAGCAAAAAACAAAAACAAACAAAAAAGAAACATAGAGCCTTCCCGTTAACAATATCCATTTCCCAGTGTGTCAAAATAACGTTATAAGGGGATCGGAACAAGCTACCCCCAAATATGCCATATTAGCATATTGAGTTTGAGCTAAAGACCATTGGGAAACAGTAGATGCAAGAAGAGCTCTCTGACCTTCTACTTTGTCCTTAAAAACAGGGCATAAATTTTCCCTGAGAAGGACATTCTTCCTGTACCAGGAGAGGAGAACATTCTTATCACCAGAGATGGGGAGGTAACACTGAGATCAATCTCTACGAACAAATCTTACTAAAACAATCCCTGTCTTCCATTAGTTTTCCCCATACATTTCTTAATCACATCCCCACAATTTGCTGCCCCTAGCCCAAACCCCATTTCCTGTTGTCTTGTCACATCTCCACGACTTATCTCTCATCGTTATAATGGTATATAGTCTTCTGGGTCTAGCCCTTCTTTGAGTCTTAATTTCTTTTCTATGAAGACTTCCATGCACATGTAAAAATTAAAATATTAACATCAAGTAAAATTTGCGTGCTTTTCTCCTGTTAATTTTTCTTTTGTTAGTTTGACTCATGGACCCCAGCAACAGAAACTAAGAAGGCAGAGAAAGTCTTTCCTCCCCTTCACAATGCACAGAAATTTCCAGAGAAATTTTGTTTCTTGTTTTTGTCATTCTGTGAGAGCGAGGATCTTAAGTGATGGCAGTTTGCCTCAAGGGTCTTACACTCTAATAAGGAATATTTTAGATTATTTTTATGTGTCTCATAGTTATTGAGTGTCTTTGTGCCCAACACTGTGTTGGATATGTAAGGATACTGAACAATTACAAGGCATGGTCCCAGAAAAGTAGGCACATATGTGAATGTGCAGGTCAAAAGAAAAGAAATATAAATGTCCCCAAAATACAGAAAAATGCTTGAGCTTGTATATAATTATAGAAATACAAATTAAAATAATGATATACTATTGATACATAGTAGCTTGGCAAAAGTTCTAACATTTGATAAAATAGGGTAAAATTAAGGAGATGGGACACTAGCAGCATATACTGCCAGAGTGTAAATTGGTGAACAGTTTGGTAATATCTTTCAAAATTACCTTTTGACCAAGTAATTCCACTGCTAGAAATTAGCTGTAAACACATACTTGCCCTACCTCATAAATATATGCAAATGAAGATGTTTATTACAGCACTGTCTACAGCAACAAAGAGCTGGAAACCACCTAGATAAATGTCCATTACCAGGGAACTGGCTGAATAAATTATGGTACACCCAAACAATGAAATAATATCTAGCAGCCAAAGTAGAATGTTGTCAATCTATCTGTACAAATCCAAAAAATTTAAAAAAGTTGTAGAACAGTATAGTCTTATCCTTTTTATATAGAAAAAATATATGCATAACAATGTATTTTCTAATATATGCATAGAAAATTTCTGAAGAATGCCCAAGAAACTGTTAACCATAATCACATCTGGCAGTAGAAATGTAGGGTTGGGCATGGGAGGAGTAAGACTTATTTTTTACTTTCTACTTTTCTATGCTGGTTGAATTTTTTTTACTCCTTTTTTTTTTTCTTAAAGCAGTTTCTCTCTTTAGGAGCTTCTAATTTGATGAGATCTATAAGAAAACCCTTCTGAAATACAGCTTCAAAATATCTTTATAAAGTATTTTAGGTGACAAATGCTTATGAAACATAGGTGTTAGATTGGTCCCTTGACCAACTAAGGAGAGAGTGAAGTGGGTTTTCTTCCTCATACTAACTTGCATGGTCTAAATTGATCCTAGCAGCTTTCACCATTAAAAATATGAATTTGGCCAGGTGCAGTGGCTCATGCCTGTAATCCCAGCACTTTGGGAGGCTGAGGCTGGGGGATCACTTATGCCCCGGAGTTCAAGACCAGCATGGGCAATATAGTGAGACCTCATCTCTAGCAAAAAAAAAAAAAAGAAAAAGAAAAAGAAAAAAAAGTAGTCCCAGCTGCTTGGGCTACTTGGGGGGCTGAAGTGGGAGGACTGCTTGAGCCTGGAGGGTCGAGGCTATAGTGAGGTATGATTGTGCCACTGCACTCCAGCTTGGGTGACAGAATGAGACCTGGTCTCAAAAATAAATAAATTTTTAAAAAAGTAAACGCCAATGATGAAAGCTAAACATTTTGGGTCTTTACAAATATTGCTCATGTTCCTGGAAATTGTCAAGTTTTCATTTGCATAAATAACAGTTACTTTATCTAATGCTATAGATATGACTAAAACAAGTAGGTGCTAACTTTTTAATTTAATTTTTAAAAATACATCATTCAAGAGCCTGATTTATTAAAAATAATGGTTCCTGGGCTGATATCTGCAATGTCAGTTCTGTCTATTCAATGATATAACTTGACAAAGAATGTTACAATGGCAAAGCTAGAAGATGCTCTACAATAGAGGGGCAGCCTAGCTAAAATCTCAGAGGAAACTCATAGACTTTTTCCATTTTAGGAGATATATTTACATGAGTTTGTGAAAAGTTTAATATTATGTTTTAATTTTCCTTTCAAATTTTTTTTTTTTTAGTTGCTGGAGGATAAAAGGTCTAAACATCATGGAAAACTATACAGTGACTCACTTATCTTTTACCTTTCATTGGAGGGGAATCATTTCAGGGGTGAAAATTCTCAAGGAAGTCAGTTTATCTGCTTAAAACAGAAAAAACTAATCAAGCATTGTCTGATTAATTACAGACACTTGAAAAAAAATGCTATCAAGGCCTACAGCTGTAATCAATTTAATCAACATGCAAAGAACCAATCTATGGTTTTCTTGATTAACAAAGCTGAATGTTAAACAGTAAAGTGTGACATTGTAGTGCCACTAGCTAGAGCTACAAATTGAGCATTTTCCCTAAATATTCAAAGTCAGGTCAGGATAAAGTGAAAATTCTTTTACACTTTATTTCTTATGATGAGGACCGTAGGCGTGAACATTTCAATTCTTCCCCTTGATATTCCCTTGTAGGAAAAATACATTTTATTTAAGTTGTAGAAATGGTTAGTAACTTCAGAATGCTTCCATAAAGGCACACACAAAAAATCAACTACCTGGAAAGATCACACAATAAAATAGAAGCACAAGAATGTGATGTGAGACTTCTCAGTTTAGTGTCATCCTAGTTGGTGATGGAATTCATCAGGAAAAGACACGCCAGGCAAAAAGAGATGAAATGTCCTTATTAGATTTTTAAGATGTGAATGTGAAGTGCATCTATATACTGTATGATGAGCAAATCAGAAAATTAAATCTGCTTATTTTATTTGCATAAAGTCAATTTAAATGTCAAAATATCTAATACAAGATTGGTTTATTAATGGTGTGTTTCTCACTCTTAAAAATCACAGTTTTAGCTATAAAGTGATGGCTATATTTTGTGTGGCCAAACGCTGTCTGGAGTTTTATCTGTTAAAACAGCAATTCTCAATCTTTTGAGGGTAAAGATCCATTCTCTTTTTGTTCTTAAAATTTAGTAAAAGCACAAATAAATACTTGCTAACTATTGTAAACCCAGACAATCTGAGACAGGTCTCAGTTAACTTAGAAGGTTTATTTTGCCAAGGTTGAGGATGTGCACCCATGACGCAGCCTCAGGAAGTCCTGACGACGTGTGTCCAAGGTGGTCGGGGCACAGCTTGGTTTTATACATTTTAAGGAGACATGAGACATCAATCAATATGAGTAAGACATACGTTGGTTCTGTCCAGAAAGGCGAGGACAACTAGAAGCAAGGAGGGGGCTTTCAGGTCACAGGTAGGTGAGAGACAAATGCTTGCCTTCTTTTGAGTGTCTGATAAGCTTTTCCAAAGTAGACAATCAGAATATGCATCTATTTCAGTGAGCAGAGGGATCACTTTGAATAGAATGAGAGGCAGGTGTGCCCTGAGAAGTTTTCAGCTTGAATTTTCCTTAGCGATTTTGGGGGCTCAAGATAATTTCCTTTCACACTAGTGTGATTGCAACACATTAGTTAGCAAGTATTTATTTGCTAACTAACTACCACAAATAGTTTCATTATGAAAATATGTAAATAATTCACCTAAAAATAAATGGGAAAGAATTCAAGTTGATCTTAATACTATTCATATTCACATATGTTTTCTTAAAGGGAAGTGGAAGGGAAGTAGAAAGAGAAGGGTAAACATGGTATATAGTAGTCACTCAATAAATACTTATGAACTGTTAAAGCCTATCTGCTGGTTATATATTATGGCAACTATAATTCTGGTCAGTCTAACATACTTTTCCTCTCCCTTTTCTGTCTTTTTTTTTTTTTTTTTGAGATGGAGTTTTGCTCTTGTTGCCCAGGCTGGAGTGCAGTGGCGTGATCTCGTCTCACCACAACCTCCACCTCCCGGGTTCAAGCGATTCTCCTGCCTCAGCCTCCTAAGTAGCTGGGATTACAGGCATGCACCACCATGCCTGGCTAATTTTGTATTTTTAGTAGAGACTGGGTTTCTCCATGTTGGTCAGGCTCTTGGACTCCCGACTTCAGGTGATCTGCCTGCCTTGGCCTCCTAAAGTGCTGGGATTACAGGCGTGAGCCACTGTGCCCAGCCTTCCTCTCCCTTTTCTGAGAACTTGGCGCTTCTTTCCTAAGGGCAACTCATTTCATGTGGTTTGAGGGGCTAAGCCTCCCTTAACTCCCAATATGGGGGTGAGCATGAGACCCAAGCTGAGCAACAGTCCACTCTTGGAATTTTGCTGGGTTTATAAGCAGTGAGCATAATGCTGTGGGAGGCCAGAATATGCCACTCCCAAACATGCCTTTTTAGCACTGAGATTGTTGAGCTAAAGACAGTTATGAAGACACAGATGCAGGAAAACTCTCTGTCCTCTATTTGCCTAAAAGTAGGACATAGATTTATAAAGATAAAAGGTATCTTGGTCCCTCTTCTACCAGGGAGGACAAAGGTTAACCACTGAAGACAACGTGAGACCCTTATGGGCCTGAAGATGGCACCAGAGGAATCGACATGAACAAGCTTTACTTACTGGCCTTTATCTGCCATTTATTTGCCTTCCTACAAATTGCTGCCCTTAGAGACTTAAATCCTTTTCCTTTATCTTGTCACTTCTTTCAAAATTTACTGTTCTTTGTTGAAGATAATATATAAGCTAGAATTCAAAGCCACTTCTTTGAGAACTACTCATTTCCCAGGTATCTCGTATGTATTACATACATATTTAAAAATATACATGTTAATTAACTGTTTTTCTCTTGCTAATCTGTTTTATGTTACAAGGGTTCATTCCAACTAAGAACTTAAGAGGATTGAGGGAAAAAATTATTTTTCCTCCCTTACAATGCAAACAGGAACTATGTAGAGGCCTGGTTAGAAAAAAGGCAACAGAAAGAACAGTAAAGAGATGAAGAGACAGTCCCTTCACCATTTGAGGTCTGGGATTCAATCTTGCCTGCAGATCAACCTCTGGACTCTTCCACTGTGGGAGTGTGAAAGGAAAATAAATCTTCAGACCCCCAAATCACTAAGCCAAATGGAAGAGCCAAGCTCAGAACTGCTTAGGGCAAACCTGCCTCCCATTCTATTCCTAAGAAAGAGAGCTATTAAGATTAAAAAAAATATAGCTACTTATCTCCCTCACAAATAATTTCCTTGTGGATAAAGAACAGACAGAACTCAAAGTCATTCTTCTGTTCACTGAGATAAATGCATATCTAACTGCTTTCTTTGGAAAGTTTAATCAGAAACTCAAAAGAATGCAACCATTTGTCTCTTACCTACCTATGACCTGGAAGCCCCCTCCCCGCTTTGTGTTGTCTTCCCTTTTTGGACGCAACCAATGTACATCTTACATGTACTGATTGATGTCTGAAGTCTCCTTAAAATGTATAAAACCAAGTTGTGCCACAACCACCTTGGGCACATGTTGTCAGGACCTCCTGAGGCTGTGTCACAGGCGTGCATCATTAACTTTGGCAAAATAAACTTCCTAAATTGACTGAGACCTGTTTCAGATATTTGGGTTCCACAGCAGCCTATAAATGTGTGACTTGTAACTAATAGGGTCCTCACTCATGTCAATCAAAGTATGCACAAATGAATGATATCTATGGAATATATTTTCCCAACAGAAAAATAAAGGCTAAGAAAAACTGATGAAGTTACGATATTTCTCAGGAGGTCCTTTAGAATCTCTACATTTCTACAGGACAGACTTAAATATTATCTTGTTCTGGGAGTCTGGAGTGGCTTCCTAATGTGGGGAAAAAGTAAGTGGGAGGCCCCTACTGGTCCATAATCCTGCCACAGACTCCTGTAATCCTAGCCACAGTAGAGCCTGTTGACCCTTGAGGGCCGGCCTCAAGGCTAAGACAAGGCGCTGTCTGGAGACTGCGTGAAGGCATGCTGCAGAGAGACAGTTCATGCTCAATCCTACAAACCACCAAGTCCTAAGGAGCTGCAGCATGGTGCCATTTTGAGAGTGTTACCCTCACTAAACTGTGTCCTACTCTGCCACTGGGGCTGAGGTGGAAGCCACAGGTAGTAATCCCATATCCTGCCTCCAGCAGAGGTGTGGCTGTGCATTTTCATGTGTCCCAAGGACAAATTCCACTGCTCATGACCTGGACTGCTACTGCTACAGGTTTTCCAGCTGCCATCCTAATGGCTGCTTCCAGAGAAAGCAACCCCAGCCTGCTCAGTAGAAGGACCAAAGTGCAGCTACAGCCACCCCCACCTGCGCATTTTGCCAGTGGCCTGAGGATCACCTCGTCCTTGTCTACCACAGTTAAGTGCCTGCATGCATCACTGTGGAGGGCCTGAGGGCAGATCTTCCCAGCCTGGCTTTACAACCCCAGGTACCTGAGCACACTGTCTAGGGGGCTGGGAATCACCCAGCACAGTGCATCACTAGAGGAAACTGGGTATTCCTCTTCGGGTGTGAGGTGGGGCGTTCTCTACCTGCTGCTACCACAACAGCTGGCACCCACCTGCATGCCACCTGCAGATATGGGGACTGACTACTGCTCAACCCCTTGCAGCTACTGCCAACACCAGTGTGGACCACTTGGGTCCCAGAGAGTTGTTCTACCACTGCTACTACCATCATTTATGCCACAGTCACTGCCCAGGAACTTGAGAACCCACACACCAACCTGATCCCTTGCTGCTATTTCTGGCACCCAAGTAAGCCACTTAGAGGCCCAAGAATTGGCCTGCCTGGACCCACTAACACAGGATCCAGTGTATGCTGCCCTGGGGCCCAAATACAGGCATGGTCAGCCCACTGCTGCCACTATTGAGGTCCGGAGACTGGCTCACCTGGCATCCCAGTTCCCAGCAAAACTTCACTAAGTCTTCACTAACAAACATATCTTAAGCCACTGAGGAAATAACAGACACCACTGACACTGTTTATAGCCCAAGATATCATACAGAGACTACACTACTGCATGCACCCAGAATCAAAGCCAAGTGTCCCACCCAACCAACACCATAGATACATATTCAGGAAAAATTTCTCCCCAATAAAAGCACATTCAAATTATTGGAAGAAGTGACAGTTACACCAGATGTGCAGATAATCAATGTCAGGATCCAGAAAACATAAAAAAGTAAAGAAATATGACAACTCCATAGGAACAGGATAATTATTCAGCAACAGATCCCAATCAAAAAGAAATTCATAAAGTCCTGGAAACAGAATTCAAAATATTGATATTAAAGATGCTCAATGAAATACAAGATAATTCTGAAAAACAATATAAAAATATCAGAAAAACAATTCAGGATATGAGTGAGAAATTTACCAAAGGGACAGATATCATAAAAAGGAACCAAACACACATAGACTAAAAATAAAGGGATGGAAAAGAATATTCCATGCAAATGGAAACCAAAGGTGGGCAGGAGTAACTATGCTTATATCAAATAGAATAGACTTTAAGCAAAACACTAAAAGAAGACAAACAAGGTCACTGTAATGATAAAATGATCAATTCAGCTAGAGGATACAACCATCTAAATATCTGTGCACCCAACATCAGAGCACACAGATATATAAAGCAAATATTAGTAGATAGAAAATTCTGGAATTAAAAATTCATTGAATGAAATAGAAAATACATTTCAAAGCTTCATCAACAGACTAGATCGAGCAGAAGAAAGAATCTCAGAACTGAAAGGTAGCTATTTTGAAATGACCCAGTCTGACAAAAATAAAAAAGAATAAAAAAGAAGGAGCAAAACATTCATGACTTATAGGACACCATAAAGTGACCAAATATTTGAATTTTGGGTGTCCCAGAAGGTGAAGAGGAGATGAAAGGGTTAGAAAAATCTATTTAGCAAATTGATAATGGAAAAATTCCAAATTCTAGCAAGAGATTCAGATATCCAGATACAAGTTCAGAGATCCCCAAACAGGTATAATTCAAAAAGCTCTTCTCCCTGGCACAGTATAGTAAAAAATGTCAAAAATCAAAAACAAAGAGAGAATTATAAAACCAGCAAGATAAATGCATCTAGTCATTTATAAGGGAACCCCTATCAGACTAACAGTGGATTTCTCAGCAGAAACTTTACAGGCCAGGAGAGAATGGGATGATATATTCAAAGAGTTGAAAGATTTAAAAAAACTGTCAGCCAAGGATACTATACCCAGCAAAATATCCTTCATAAATGAAAGAGAAGTAAATAAAATCTTTGTCAGACAAGCAAAAGCTGAGGGAATTTGTCACCACTAGACCAGCCCTACAAGCAATGCTTAAGGAAGTCTCACACCTGGAAGTGAAAGAACAATTACTATTGTCATGAAAACACACAAATATATAAAAAACACTGGTAGGGTAAACAAACAAAGAAGATAAAATGTTATGATTACAGAATATCACCAAGCCACAATGGTAAATAGTAAGAGCAAAATAAAGGAACAAAGGATATGTAAAACAACGGAAAATCAAGTAATGAAATAACAGAAATAAGCCCACATGTGTCAGTAATAACCTTGAATGTGAATGAATTAATGTTTCCATTTAAAAGGTATAGACTGGCTGAATGAATAAAAAAAAAGATCCAAGTATATGCTGCCTACAAGAATCTCATCTTATCTGTAAAGAAACATATAGACTGAAAATAAAGGGATGAAAAAGGATATTTCACACAAATGGAAGCCAAAAGTAAGCAGGATTAGCTATGCTTATATCACACAGAACAGATTTTAAGATAAAAACACTAAAAAGAGACAAACGAGATCATTATGTAATGACAAAAGTAAGCTAGAAGATATAACTATCTAAATATATATGCAGCCAACATCTGAACACCTAGATATGTAATGCAAATATTACTAAATCTAAAGGGAGAGATAGACTCCAATATAATAATAGCTGGGAATTTCAACACCCCACTCCCAGCATTAGTCAGATCATCTAGACAGAAAATTAATTTAAAAAACCCACTGGATTTGAATTACACATTAGACCAAATGAACCCAACGGAAATTTAAAGAACATTTCATTCAACAGCTACAGAATAGATATCCTTCTAATCAGCACACACAACATTCTCCAGGATAGAATATATATTAGAATATAAAATAAGTGTCAATACATTTTTAAACATCAAAATCTTATTCAGTATCTTCTCAGACAACAATAGAGTAAACCTAGAAATCAATAACAAGAGGAACTCTGGAAACTGTACAAATACATGGGAATTAAACAACATACTTTTGAATGACCACTGGATCAAAGAAAAAGTTACAGAGGAAATAAAACATTTCTTGAAAAAAACAAAATAAAAACACAGTGTACCAAAACCTATGGAATACAGCAAAAGTGGTGCTGAGAGAAGTTTACAGCAATGAACATCTACATCAAAAAAGTAGCAAATAAAATAAAAGTAGATTTCAAATAACCAATCTAATGATGCACTTTTAGGAACTAGAAAAGCAAGAACAAACCAAATCTAAAATTAATAGAAGGAAAGAAATAATAAAGATCAGAGAAGAACTAAATGAACTGGATGCTAAAAAATAATAAAAAGGATCAACAAAACAAAAAGTTGGCTTTTTGAAAGATAAAATTGATAAACCACTTGCTAGACTAGCCATAAAAAGAGAATACCCAAATAAAATCAGAAATGAAACCGAAGATATTACAATTGTTACCATGGAAATACAAAAGATCATTAGAGACTATTATGAACAACTATACAATAACAAACTAGAAAACCTAGAAGAAATGGATAAATTCCTAAACACATACAAACTATCAAGATTAAATCAAGAAGAAACAGAAACCTGAACAGAACAATAACAAGTTATGAGACTGAATCAGTAATAAAAAGTCTACCAATGAAGAAAAGTCCAGTACCAGATGGCTTCACTGCCAAATTCCACCAAGCTTTCAAAGAACATGAATTCTTCTTGAACTATCCCAAAAATTGGAAAAGGAGAGAATTCTCCCTGACTCATTCTATGAGACCAGCATCACCATACCAAAATCAGACAATGACACAACAAAGATAAGAAAACTAGAGGCCAATATCCGTGATGAATATAGATGCAAAAATTCTCAACTCAATACTGGCAAACTGAATCCAACATTATATTAAAAAAATTAATATACAAAGATCAAGCGGGATTTATCCTAGGGATGCAAGGATCAACCTATGCAAATCAGTAAATGTGATACATCGCATTAACAGAATGAAGAAATGATCTATGAAGAATGAAGGTTTATAATCAACTCAATAGATGCAGAAGTAGCATTTGACAAAATTCAACATCCCTTCATGATAAAAACAACAAACTAGGCATAGAAATAATATACTTCAAAATAATAAAGGCCATATATGACACACCCAGAGCTAACATCATACTGAATAGGGAAAAGCTGGAAGCCTTTCCCCTAAGAACTAGAACAAGACAAGGATGCCCACTTTTACCACTCCTGTTCAACGTAATACTGGAAGTCCTAGCCAGAGTAATCAGGCAAAAGGAAAAAATAAAGGCATCTAAATTGGAAAAGTATAAGTCAAATTGTTCCTGTTTGCTAATGATATAATCTTAACTCTAGAAAAACCTAAAGACTCCAGAAAAACTCTAAGATTTGATAAATTCAGTAAAGTTGAAGGATACAAAGTCAACATACAAATATTAGTATCATTTCTATACACCAATAATGAACTAGCTAAGAAATAAGAAAGCAATTCCATTTACAAGAGCTACAAAAATATCTGGGAATAAATTTAACCAAGGATGTGAAGAATTTCCATAAGGAAAACTACAAAACACTGATGAAAGAAATTGAAAAGGATATAAACAAATGGAAAGACAGCCCATGATCATGGATTGGAAGAATTAATATTATTAAAATGACTGTAATGCCAAAAGCAATCTACAGATTCAATGCAATCTCTATCAAAATGCCAATGTCATTTTTCACAAAAAGAAAAAAATCCTAAAGTTTGTATTCAGCCACGTAAGAACCTGAATAGCAAAAGAAATTTTGAGCAAAAAACAAAACAAAACAAAACAAAAACAAAGCTGTGAGGCATCATATTACCTGACTTCAAAATATATTACAAGGCTATAGTAACCAAACAGCATGGTATTGGTATAAAAAGAGACATATAGACCAATGGAACAGAATAGGGAATCCAGAAATAAATCCATATATTTAATAGTCAACTGATTTCCAACAAAGATGCCAAGAACATACATTCAGGAAAGGATAACCCCTTCAATAAATGGTGCTGGGAAAATTGGATATCCATATGCAGAAGAATAAAACTAGATGCCTACTTCTCATCATATACAAAAATCAACTCAAGATGGATTCAAGACTTAAATCTAAGACCTGAAAACATAAAACTGGTAGAAAAAAACAGGAAAAACACCTCAAGACACTGGTATAGGCAAAAATGTTATGGCCAAGTCCTCAAAAGCACAAACAAAACCAAAAATAGATAAATAGGACTATATTAAATAAAAAAGCTTCTGCACAGCAAAACAGAAGAACAAAAACCAACCAACCAAACAAAAAACAAGAGTGAAGAGACAACCTGTTGAATGAAAGAAAATAAAAATATTTGCAAACTACTCATTTGACAAGAGAATATCCAGAATATACAAAGAACTCAGCAAGAAGAAACCAAATTATCCCATTAAAACATGTGCAAAAACCACGAATACATATTTTTCAAAAGAAGACATACAAACGGCCAACAGATATATGAAAAAGTACTGAACATCAGTAATCGTCAGGGAAATGTAAATCAAAACCACAATGAGATATCGTCTGACCCCAGTCAGAATGGCTATTACTAAAAAAACAAAACAAAACAAAACCCCAAAAACAAAAAACATGATGGCAAGGATGTGGAGAAAGGGTATTCCTTATTTTTTCAACTTTTATTTTAGATTCAGGGGATACATGTGCAGATTTGTTATGTGGGTATATTGTGTGATGCTGAGGTTTGGGGTATGAATGATCCCATTATGCAGGTACTGAGCATGGTACACAATAGTTCTTTAAACCCTTGCCTCCTTCCCTCCCTTCCACCACTAGGGGTACCTATTGTTTCTATTGTTGCCATTTTTTTTTTTTAAGACAGCGCCTTACTCTGTTGCCCAGGCTGAAGTGCGGCAGCAGTGTGATCTTGTTGCCATTTTTATGTCCATGGGTATCCAGTGTTTAGTGCCCACTTATGAGTGAGAACATATGGTATTGGTTTTCTATTCCTGGGTTAATTTGCTTAGGATAATGACCTCCAGCTGCACCCATGTTGCTAAAAAGGACATGATTTCATTCTTTTTTATGGCTGCACAGTACTCCATCATGTATATGTACCAAATATTCCATGATACATATACATCATGAAAGACTATAGCAACAATAGAAACTGGGGACTACTATAGGTAGAAGGAAGGGAGGGAGGCAAGGGTTAAAAAAACTATTGAGTTCTATGCTCAGTACCTGCGTAATGGGATCATTCATACCCCAAACCTCAGCATCATGCAATATACCCACGTAACAAATCTGCACATGTATCCTCTGAATCTAAAATAAAAGCCATAGGTAGGAATGAGATAATATTCTTTATTCAGTCCACTGTTCATGGACACCTAGGTTGACTACATGTATTTGCTATTGTGAATAGTGCTGTGATGAACATGACAGCGCATGTGTCTTTTTGGAAGAATGGTTTGTTTGCTTTTGGATATATACCCAGTAATGAGACTGCTGGGTCAAATGGTAGTTCTGTTTGAAGTTCTTGAGAAATGTCCAAACTGCTTTCCACAGTCGCTGAACTAACTTATATTCCCACCAAAAGTATATAAGCTTTCTGAAAAGGGAAGTCTTATAAACTGTTGGTAGTAATGTAAATTAGTACAGCCACTATGGAAAACAGTATGAGAGATTTCTCAAAAAGCTAAAAACAGAACTACCATTCGATCCAGCAATCCCACGACTGGGTATTTATCCAAAGGAAAAGAAATCAGTATATCAAAGGGATACCTGCACTTACCTGTTTATTGCGGCACTATTCACAATAGCAAAGATAAGGAATCAACCTAAGTGTCCATCAACGAATGAATGGATAAAGAAAATATGGTATACATACACAATATACTATTGTTCTCTTTTATGGCTGAATACTATTATTGTCTTTGCAGCAACATGGGTGGGACCAGAGGTCGTTATGTTAAGTGAAATAAACCAAGCACAGAAAGACAAATACCTCATGTTCTCACTCATATGTGAGAGTTCAAAAAGTGGATCTCATGGAGGTAGAGAGTAGAATGATAGATACCGGAGGCTGGGAAGGCTGTGTGGGTAGGAGCGGGGATGAAGACAGGTTTGTTAATGGGTATAAACATACAATTAGATAGAAGGTATAAATTCCAAAGTTTGATAGCAGAGTAAGGTAACTATATTTAGCAAAAATGTATATGTCAAAGTAGCTAGAAGGGAGGACTTGAAATGATACCAACACACAGAAATGATAAATATTCAAGATGGATACCCCAAATATTCTGTCTTGGTCATCACACATTCCATACATGTAACAAAAGATCATATGTACTCCATAAATGTAAAATATTATGTATCGGTTTAAAACAGAAAAAAAACTATCTTTTTACCCACCAGAAGGATACACATAGAATGAAGACCTCATCTCTGATAAACACAGCATCATTGAAGATGTAGGGGAAGTAACTGCCTCCCTCCCATAACGGGTTTGCTTCATATGGAAGGAAACCAAAATATGTCCCCCAAAATATGCTTCCGTGACCTAAAAATTGTTTTCGAGCCAAAGGCAATTAAGAAGAAGCAAACACAGGAAAAACTCTCTCTACTTTCCCTCTTATCTGCCTAAAGACAGGATATCAAGTCTCCTTTACTGGAGACAACTCTAGACTTTTAGGAGCTCAGAGATGGCCACAGAGGAATCTGCAAGGAAACCTCACTCCATTGGTTTCCTCCCATATATTTACCTTCTCACAGTTTCTGGCCCTTGAAAGCCAAAAACTGCTTACATTTGTCCTGTTGTTTCTCCACAAATGTACTGTTCTTTGTGAAAGATGTTACGTAAGCCAGAGTTCTAAGCCACTGCTTTGAGTTACTTTTCATTGAGGTTTCTCCCACAGGATGTGTGCTGCAAATGTTAATAAACTCGTTTTTCTCTTGCTAATCCTTCTTTTATTACAGGGTCCATCCCAACTAACAACTCATGGAGGTTGTAGAAAATTATATTTCCTCCGTGGTGATATCTTTGAAAACATTAAGAAAATTACTTGAATGCCTGCTCTATCCCACTTTATATTTGTGTTCTAGGTATTCACAAGAGTGGTATCAAAAACACAGAGTCTCTGCTCCCATGGAGCTTACAATCCAGAGATGGAGGCAGACAGTAAATACAGTAGTCCCTCCTTGTCCTTGGTTTTATTTTCTGTGGTTTTAGCTACCTGAGGTCAATCATGGTCCAAAAATATTAAATGGAAAATTTCAGCAATAAACAATTCATAAATTTTAAATCAAGTACTGTTCTGAATTTGTGAAATCTTGTGCTGTCCCTGTCTGTCTTGTCCCAGACCTGAATCCCTTTTCTGGTGTATCCACACCCATTAGTTTCTTAGTAGCCGTCTCCATTATCAGATCGTCCGTGATAGTATCACAGTGCTTGTGTTCAAGTAACTCTTATTTTACTAAATAATGGCCCCAAAGAGCAAGAATAGTGATGTTGGCAATTAAGATATGCCAAAGAGAAGCTTCAAAGTGTTTCCTTTAAGTAAAAACCGCAAAAGTTCCCGACTTAATAAGGAAAGAAAAAAATCATATACTGAGGTTGCTAAGATCTATGGTAAGAATAAATCTGTGAAGTTATGAACAGTATATTACTATAATTGTTCTATTTTATTATTATTCTTGTTAATATCTTACTGTGTCAATTTATAAATTAACTTTATCATAGGTATGCATATATAGAAAAAAATATAGCATATATAGGGTTTGGCACTATCTGTCGTTTTAGACATCCACTGGAGTCTTGGAATGTACCCCCTGTAGATAAGGGGGGGCATTACTGTAAATATACAAAGAAAGAATATTATTTCAGATAGAAAACAGTGCTATAAAAATATAAAAGTAATTTTATATAAAAGTAATTTTAAAAATAAAAAGATTTGATGAGTATTTCTTATTAACAGCTCTAGCACAGAGTAACGCTGATACAAGATTTCATAAAAACTCCAATTCATCATTCTCAGTAAACTATCGCAAGAACAAAAAACCAAACACTGCATATTCTCACTCATAGGTGGGAATTGAACAATGAGATCACATGGACACAGGAAGGGGAACATCACACTCTGGGGACTGTTGTGGGGTGGGGGGAGGGGGGAGGGATAGCATTGGGAGATATACCTAATGCTAGATGACGAGTTAGTGGGTGCAGCACACCAGCATGGCACATGTATACGTATGTAACTAACCTGCACAATGTGCACATGTACCCTAAAACTTAAAGTATAATAAAAAAGAATAAATTAAAAAACCAACAAACAAACAAACAAAAAACTCCAATTCATTGTGTTAATTAGTTCAACCATGGTGGAGGACAGTGTGGCGATTCCTCAAGGATCTAGAACCAGAAATACCATTTGACCCAGCAATCCCATTACCGAGTATATACCCAAAGGATTATAAATCATTCTACTATAAAGATGCACATGCATGTTTATTGCAGCACTATTTACAATAGCAAAGACTTGGAACCAACTCAAATGCCCATCAATGATAGAATGGATTAAGAAAATGTGGCATGTATACACCATGAAATACTATGCAGCCATAAAAACGGATGAGTTCATGTCCTTTGCAGGGACATGGATGAAGCCGGACACCATCATTCTCAGCAAATTAACACACAAACAGGAAACCAAACACTGCATGTTCTCACTCATAAGTGGGAGTTGAACAATGAGAACACACAGACACAGGGAGGGGAACATCACACACTGGGGCCTGTTGGGGGGTGGGGTGCTAGGGGAGGGATAGCATTAGGAGAAACACCTAATGTAGATGATGGGTTGATAGGTGCAGCAAACCACCATGGCATGTGTATACCTATACATATATAACAAACCTGCATGTTCTGCACATTTGTCCCAGAACTTAAAGTACAATTTAAAAAAAAAAAAGAGGAAGAAAACACTAAAAAACAAAGCAAAACAAAACAAAACTCCAACTCACTGCATACAGACAGATTCTGAGCACGCAGTGAGAAAGGGAACCACAGCATGGTTGATTTGGGGCCGTCTATTGGAGATGGATGTTTCTAATATAATGGGCCCCTCAGATGAACAAATTAAATTCACATTTAAACCACGGTTACCGGGGAAATCCTATTGGTGAGAATCCACAGACATTTTTGAGCTTCTAATGTGGACAGCGCTGTATGAGAAGTAATGGGGAGCAAATGGGGAATCAACGAGAAAAATTTCTTACCTTTAGTTTATCACCTCAACTTCTAGCACGACTTTCCTAAATCTCAGCAAGACGTGGCTGGTCACAAAATGGGATGCTAACATATTCCCGTGCTGCATGTCTGGATGAACACATGGCTAGGCTGGGATTGTAGCAACAGCAATGACTACCACCACCACAGTGGAAAACACTTTGACAATCCAATGTGGAACTGTATATTAGACACACATTTAGGGCACTAATCTAGTATATAAATTGCACAGTTTTTAATCTCAGCTTAAACTTCCTTTTAGCCTTGTGACCTTTGAGCCAAACTCTGTGTCTCTTGTTTCCACATCTGGAATATGGGAATAAGAGAACTGACCCTACTGGGTTGTAGCAGGGATTAAATAAACTAGTCATCCCTCAGTAGGAGTGGGGATTAGGTTTCAGTTCCCCCTCCCCACATATACCAAAATCCTCAAGTTGGCCATGCAGAACCCACATATATGAAAAATGGGTTGGAAAAAATCTGTGTCATAATTTGTAAGGGAACCCATATAGTTCAAACCCATGTTGTTCAAGGGTCAACTGTAACATAAAATGTATCAATTCCACACAGTGGCACACAGTATAAAACTCACCACACAGTAATAGCATTAGTAGTTATTATTGTTTAAAATTACAGAAAAAAGTTCAATCCCAAGCAACTTTATATAACACCTTTTAGAGAGTTATAAGGCAACTGTAGGTTAAATGCTTTGTAACTAAGTCATTAGCAAATCAAGAGCAAAAAACTTTGCAGCCTTTTCTAACTTTAACGAGAGAATAATTGCCTTAAAATTAGAATACAAAATAAAACCATCCAAATCTTTCTGTGGAATGATGGGACTTAATGGTGCAGAAAGAGTAGGTGGGATTTAATTTAGTGCTTTAATTTAGCTCTCTGGGCTTTTGTAAAGAATAACTACAGGGTATCATTTTCATTATTGTGTCAGATTATCAGATACCTTATTTATGTACTGATTTCCATTTTCTTTTCAAAGTTTGGTTATACCTTTCTGTTCAGAAGTCAAATAAAACAATGATATGCTAAAAAGGCTCTGTGAGGTGAATGACAATTCAATTTCCCCCAGTGTTGGCTGGTTGCATGAGAAAATAAGGAACTGGAGCAAGTTGACAGGATCTTTAGTTGACTAGATTTATTTCCCAGCATTTTCAGGGTGTGTTAATTGTAACACTTCAGTTAATGAAAAATATTGTGATTAAACACTGATATGGGTGATAAATGGATTTTTGAACAGATGATGGTAAAATGCTATTTTAAAAACATTGGGAGGAAATAATAAAAACTCTTTTGTTGATTGGACCATTATTGTGAGTAAATTAGGCTTCCCAGGAAGGAAATAATTTACTCAAATCACCAGGCTACCATCATCATAATTATTCATGGTGTTACTGAGCTGCTATTCCACTTAAATATAGTCTCATTCTACAGAAAGCTTACATAAATTATAAAAAAGGTAGAAAGATACAGAAATGTTAAAATATTAGAAAAAGCAAACTATTTTAGACTAAGAATTATACCAATTATCCTTATTAACAATTATACTAATTATTCTTATTAATATTGATGTGTAATGTAAACAGAGAAAAATGCACAAATCATAGCTGTATGGCTCAATGAATGATCCCACAGTGAGCCATAATCCCCACCTGGGTCAAGAGGTAAAAGCGTCCCTTCCTCCTTCTTCTAATTATTACACTCTCTTCTCCCTACAAGTGAGCCTGGTGACTTCTAATACCCATGGCTCAGTTTGTCTGTTTTTGAATTCCATATGAATGGAATCATACAATATGTATTTATTCTCAGTTGTATATCTTTGATATGGACCGGAGACAGGGAAATAATGGGTAGAAGAGGGTGGTTCCCTGGCAAAGGCCCCACTCTCAAGCCTGGAAACCTGTGGCCCTAAATGGGAACAGGCATTCCTGTTTTCTCGCCCAAAAGTTGCCATTTGGCCTGCCATGTCCCCTATCATGTACCCATATAAACCTCAAACCCCAGGTTCCATGAGCAGATGAACAGAAGAGCAGAAGAGCAGCAGAGAAGGAGAGGAGTAGTGGTGAAAAGGACATGTGGATCCATGGAGGCTACTTAGAAGGCTATAGCAATAGTCCAGGAGAAAGATGGTGATTTTTTAGGTGACCAAAAGCCAAATGTAAGACATTAGTGGGATATGGGAACTAAAACTATGAATGTGATTTAAGCAATGTACTATACTAGTCAATGGTGTAACTGTAGTCTGAACTCTTTGGATTACATCTAGATTATTGTGTTCATTTTAGAGAATTCCAATTTGATAAATTAAAAGGTATCCAAAGGACGGTGATTAGGACTATGCCAGGACCAGGAATGGCAAAATGGAGTTGGGACTGGAGTGAGAAAATGTGAGACTAGAGGAGAAAACAGAGCAACCCAGAAGTGATATTAAAAAATTCAAGAGGTATTTTATGAAAAGTGATGGTTCTACTTATTGTTCTGGAAACAGAACTAGGATCAATGGGAAGAAGCTATAGAGAAGCCTACATCAGCTCAGTATAAGGAAGATTTCCCATGGTTGGAGTTGCCCAATAATGGAATGGGCTGTCTTCTGCTGCACTGAGCCTGCTTCCCTGGCAGAGATGTGTAAAGTTTGAAGAGATGCTGGGTTAAATCATCTCCCTGATCTCATCAAACCCTTTAAGATTCTCTGATTCTGTTAAAGTATGATTTTTTTTGAAAAATTATTCCTAATATTACTATTAATATCCCTACCAATACTATCATCACTTTCTACCATTTAATAAAAATATATATGCCAGGCCCTATGCAAAACATGTTATGAGTATTATTTCATTTAATCTTTGCAATAACACTTTATGGTGGGTAGTAAAATACAATTCCTATTTTTAGATAACTTAATTGGGGCTTGGAGAGGTTAACTAATGTCATAAGGATATAAACCCAACCTTTTGATTCTAGAGACAGTTTTTTAAACTAGTGCATTATACCACCTCATGAAACCCCTTATTCTACTATATGCCAATTAATCTCATACTGAGTGAATAGTTTAACCAATTTTTAACATTCAAATATGAAAATATATGAAATGCTGTATTTCCAATGACAATGTATATTCAATGTCACAGTTAGCAACTGTGTCAGTCAGAATAAGGGTATGTTATGCTTGATAACAAAAAACCCTCAAATCTCAGTGACTTAAAAACAACAAATGTTAATTTCTTGCTCATGTTAAGTTTTTATAACAGATCATTATAGGGACTCTGTTTGTCACAGTCATTAAGTGACTGGGTTGACTGAACCACCATCATCTTGAATGTTTCTGGTCACAGTGTCAGAGGAAAAGATAATCTGGAAGGTTTCACACCTACAATGTAAATGTTCTTGCCAAGAAATAACGTAGGCCCTTATGCTCCTAATTAGTTGGCTAGAATTAGTTGGGTTAGTTGGCTCCACCCCCAAACAAGGAAACCTAGAAGTGCAATACAACCATGTACTTGGAATCTGGAGAGCTGGGAATATTTGGGGAACAGTGTCAGTAACTACTATAGACAATAAATCTTCAAGGATGTCAGAAAACATGCAAACAACTTTTGCTACATATATTTCAGAATTTCTACCAAGAATATAGACTATTCTCATTGTTTATTTACCCCAAGTTGAGAGAACGTTAGAAGAGAGGAAATCTAGAAAACATGCTGAATTCTGGTAAAGTTCTTCACTGTATATGTAAAATATAACTTGAATCATAATCATGTCTGGGATTCAAGCCCTGGACATGCCAAAGTAGTATATTTATTTGCGTTTGGGCTAGATACAAATGTTTAGATGGTAAATGCAGTATTTTACTCCGAGTTTCATTGTACCTACTTAAGTAAAGCCATTATTGGTGAATTGGGAGAAGAGAATACTAAACAACCCAAGCCTTACATTAGGTTTTGAATATTAAGATATTAGAATAAAAACTATTTCAATGCTTCATAGGAATTTTATTCTGAAAATCCTTGGCAAGGCAAGTCCATCACTGTCAAATTAACTACAAGTGTGCTATTAAAATCTCTATTTTACTTATATAAAAATATAAACCTCTTAAAAACTTTTACTTTCTGATAAATATTTGTAATAATACAAAATAAAATAAGTAATTCATCTTATTTCTTGCAGAGACTCTCAGAGTACTCAATTGAAATTTGAACTACTTTTATCTAGTATCTGTGACAAAATATAGTTGTTTTATTTATAAATACTCCATGAGTTCAACTACAAAACTAAAAACTGACAATGAAAATATAAAGACAAATCAGTGGCATCTTTGAAGCATTTCACTGGAAATGGCTGTTAGAAGATAAATTCTTGTTGTAAGTGATTTAAATGCTTGAAGAAAAAGTACATGTGGTGTTGGTATGCTAAAAATGTAATTAAAATGTATATTACAAATGCTAGTTTAGAGAAGAACTGATTTTAAAAGCCAATGATGTTTCCTGTAAGGGCACTGCTGTGGTATTTTATAATAGATGGTACCTTTTTCTAATTTGAAAGCTACATATTTTAATAGAGAATGGCCCAAAATGTTTTTAAGGTCAAACTGGAAATATGTTGATGATTTACAAAAATGTAAGCCAAGTGCTTTATTATATTATACTACCAGAGTGTTATTGTAGTTTAAAAATATCATTAAATCAGCACAAACCTGCACTTATCATTTCCTACACATTTTTCACACCAAGCTGCCTTCTGACTATGAGTAATCTGTTAATCTACTCTTCGCCTCACAATCCGTCAAAGTGACAGATTCATTCCTTTCCTAATACATAATATCTTCATTTACTGTATGCCTTGCTGCAACTTTCTTTTTTGCTAGCACTGAAATTTAGAAATTCACAAGCAAATTTAGAGAATGTCACATGGCTGGTTGTTTTTGTTTGCTTCCATTTCTTCTGTTATTCCAGCAAAAGAAACTAAAATTTTTCTGGACTTTTAATGTGAATTAGTAGTATTTCCAAAATGAAGGCAGTTTCAGGTTTCAATAGGAGTGTTGTTGAAAAGGTTGGAAGAGGGCAGATGGCAAAAAAAACAAAGTGCATCCTTCACCAAGTTAAAACACTGATCATAATGTAATTTTCTTTCAATGTTAGTGGCCAATGTATAGATTCTCACCCCCTACCCTCAACCCTTACTAAGGTGTCAAGGAAAAGATATTCTTTTGGTAGTTTAGAGATGAGCTGCCCCTCAACAAAAAATGTAGTTTCATTACCATAAATGTCACTGTTTAATTGAAAGCAATACTGTGATTTTACTTAAGCTGAGACTTTCATTTTATCGTAGTATTGAGATCAGACCAGGCCAGATCTCAGGTTTCTTGTTCACTGCTATTTTGATAATACAAATGGTTCCACTGCTTTAAAATTGTTCACTACTAATTCAACAGAAAATATTTTACTCTTCTTTTCTTGCAACAGATTACAGTTGCTTTTTAGTTTATTAGTTCTGCAAATAAAGAGAATCAAAGACTGAAAAATATGAGAGTATGTACAATTCTAACTCACTTACTTTCATCATAAATAAGCGATAACAAAGTACATTATCTACAAATCGCCATTTGGTCTCGCTTGTTACTGAGCCAGTGTCCACACAGTAATTCAAAGGTCACTACTGTTGTTAGCCTCAAAAGTCAAAAGCAAATAAGTTGTTTACCTCAAAATGTGGGAAGCTGCCTTCTAACCAGTCTTGTTTCAGAATATAGTTTTTTTTTCCCATGCCTACACCAAACATCCAACAGCATTTTCTTGTCCTGAGCACCAAATTGCATCTGATTTGTCTTAATGGATGGCAAAGGACCTAAAGGCTTTTAAAAATCAATGGACAAGAAAGAGTCAACAGAACAATAATGATAGTGTTAATTCAGTCAAATACACTAAAAGATGTTTGCCTTTTTGCCTTCAAGTCATCTTAAACAGCCTGGACTGTTGACTTCTATGGTATTTATTATACTGAGCGGGTTTTTATATGGTAATGAACAGCATAATATGAAGCTGTGAATGCTGGTAAACAATGCATTGCTAGAGTGAAAAATTATGTGTTTTAACTTTAATCAATTTCAAAATGTAATGTTTTTCATTAACAACAGAAACAAAAAAATTACAGGGAAGAAGTAACCAACTGGCAACAAAAGCAGAGTCTGTGAGTGGACACATTTCTGGAAAAGCAGTGATTTCTCCTGAGCCAGGCTCAGTAGATGCTCCAACTCTCTTTGGCACTGTTCTGAAGATGCCCACACACTGCCTAATGACATGCAGTGTGGACCTGGTTCTGCTGGAAGGCCACAAGCTCATTAAAGTCACATAGTAGGTACTTCAAAAATACTCATCGAGCGTTGCTGAAAGTATGAGCTACAATACTCTGTGAATCATTTTATGCTGTAGGGGTTCCCTGTTTAAATGACAGGGAAGCTATCCTGTATTAGATTACAAAATGAATAATGAGATCATGAGTCTACGGATGTGACTGGCTGTAGCCATTTAACAATAATTACGGTCTTCCATTTTTTAGGTTAATGTTATTCTCCTAAACCTCAACTTGCATTCCCTCCCCACCTCCAGACAGAATGGAGGTGATTGTTATAAACTAGAATTAGTACTTCTATTTTTTTAAAGGTTCTCATTACTCTTGAGGGGGAAGCTGAATCTTTTAATTAAAAGCTGAAACTATAAAACATTAGAATGGTAAATAATTGCTTTGGTAATTACCTTCTTTAACTGGATTGTGGGCCAAAGGTAATCTGAGTTCAGCATCTGGATGGATAACAATTGCTGGGGAGGCTTCAGTAATCTCAGGAGCCCCGCTCTCCACTGGTTAAAGATGTCAAGATTCTGCCAGGTGCCGTGGCTCACGCCTGTAACCCAGCCCTTTGGGAGGCCAAGGTGGAGGGACGGTTGCTTGAGCCCAGGAGTACGAGACCAGCTTGGGCAACAGGGCAAGACCCCATTTCTACAAAAAAATCAGCTTGGCTTGTGCCTGTGGTCTCGGCTACATGGGAAGCTGGAGTGGGAGAGTTACCTGAGCCCGGGAGGCCGAGGCTGCAATGAGCCATGATTGTGCCACTGCACTTCAGCCTGGGTGACAGACTGAGATCCTGTCTTCAAAAAGGAAAACATAGAAAAAGCAAAAGTAATAGCGAAAGCCAAGATTCTTCAGGTATCTGTCTTTTCAGACACAGAAGCCTTTGGGAGGTGAGGGGAGAAGATGTGATCTATTGTTCTGAAACTCCTAGGGGAATGGGTTTCATAAGTTTATAATTTTCGAAAACATGACAATAACTGAAAATTAATTAGTATTTCCCAGTCTTAATGCCTTTAGACTCTCACAGAGTACAAAGGGAAAACTAGGAAACTCAGGTGGAAGTCCCAGTGGCCCAAAAGAGACCTGGTCAGAGAGGAGGCAGGTGTCTCAACTAAGGAAACTGGAGGGTGGGGTTAGCTGATGCTCAGGCAGGCGGGTCCAGACACGAACATGGAGAGAGTGAAGACAAATAAATCTTGGGCAGGTGGGCAGGGGTGGGGACCAAGACATCTGTTGTGATGGCTAGTTGGTGCCCGGGTCAGTGTAACTGGACCAGGGATACAATTTGAGCAAACTCACTTAGGTAGAAGAAATAATCAAAACCAGGACTGAAAGTGGGCTTGGCAGGTCAACAAGTACCAAGAGCAGAGGAGGGAGGAGGAGTGATGGGTCAGGGGACCACCAGCTGCCCAGCACTGTCCACTCACATTGTACTGCTGGTGAATTGCTGGGTCTCCTGGAACCCATGGGAATAGTGCCCCCTGGAGTTGTGCAAGGTGTGGTCCAGGGTTAAGAGTGGTCAGAGGTGAAAAGCAGGATGATTCTCGAGGGATTCAGTTTGCTACTAGGGGTGCCCTTAACTGAGGCTTTCTCTGGGGCAGGCAGGGTTCAAGAGGTTAGAAAAGTCATTCTGGGGCTTTGCCTCTGCTGTGGATCGGGGAGGAAAGAGGCCCAGCTGGAGGCTTTTTGTATCAAGTGCTTTAAACGTTTATTTTAAAGGTAGAGCAGTTGACTAAGGACCTCTCCAGGAACAGAAGGGGTGGGGAGTCAGTTAAATTTGACAGTGCACCAGCACCACAGCTTCAGGTTCTCTCTCTCTAGCTCTTGAGACACACACATACACACACACAGGCATGCCTTGTTTTATTGTGTTTTGCTATATTGTTCTTCACAGATGCTGAATTCTCACAAATTGAAGGTTTATGGCACCCTGTGTTGAGCGAGTTTATCAGTGTCATTTATCCAACAGCATGGGCTCACTTTGTGTCTCTGTGCCACATTCTGGTAATTCTCTAAATATTTCAAATTTTTTCATTACTGTTCTATCTGTTACGGTGATACGTGACAGTGATCTTTGATGTTACTATCAAATTGTTTTGGGACACCAGGAACCATGCCCATATAAGATGGCAAATTTAGTAAATGCGGTTTGTATTCTGACTAATTCCACTTGATCAACCATTCATCCCATCTCTCTCTCCCTCCTTGGGCCTACCTATTCCCTGAGGCACAGCAATATTGAAATTAGGCCGATTATTGATAATAACCCTACAGTGGACCCTGAGTGTTCACGTGAAAGGAAGAGTCACGTGTCTCTCACTTTCAATCAAAAGCTAGAAATGGTTAAGCTTAGTGAGGAAAGCATGCCTAAAGCCAACACAGGCTGAAAGCTAGGCCTCTTGCACCAAAAGCTAAGATGGGAATGCAAAGGAAAAGTTCTCGAAGGAAATTCGAAGTACTTACTCCAGAGAACACACAAATGGTAAGAAAGTGAAACAGCTTTAATTGGTGATATGGAGAAAGTTTGAGTGGTCTGGATGGAACATCAAACCAGCCACAACATTCCCTTAAGCCAAAGCCTAATCCAGAACAAGGCCCTAACTCTCTTCAATTCTTTGAAGATTGAGAGAGGTAAGGAAGCTGGAGAATAAAAGTTTTGAGTTAGCAGAGGTTGATTCCTGGGGTTTAAGGAAAGAAGCCATCTCGGTAACATAAAAATGCAAGCTGAAGCAACAAGTACTGATGTAGAAGCTGCAGCAAGTTATCCAGGAGATCTAGCTACAATCATTGATGAAGGTGACTACATTAAATAATAGGTTTTCAATGTAGACAAAACAGTCTTCTATTGGAAGAAGATGACATCTAGGACTTCCATTACTAGAGGAGAAGTCAATGTCTGGCTTCAAAGCTTCAAAGCACAGGATGACTCTGTTGTTGGGGGCTAATGCAGCTGGTGACTTTAAGTTGAAGCCAGTGGTCATTGACTATTCCAGAAATCCTAGGGTTCTTAAGAGTGATGCTATTAATAAATCCTACTCTGCCTGTGTTGTATAA